>NC_000003.12:42434242-42737272 GCF_000001405.40 Homo sapiens | reverse complement strand
GGAATAATATGCAGCCATAAAAAAGGATGAGTTCATGTCCTTTGCAGGGATATGGATGAAGCTGGAAACCATCATTCTCAGCAAACTATCACAAGGACAGAAAACCAAACACCGCATGTTCTCACTCATAGGTGGGAATTGAACAATGAGATCACTTGGACACAGGGCGGGGAACATCACACACCAGGGCCTGTCGGTGGGTGGGGGGCTGGGGGAGGGATAGCATTAGGAGAAATACCTAATGTAAATGATGAGTTGATGGGTGCAGCAAACCAACATGGCATATGTATACCTATGTATCAAACCTGCACGTTGTGCACATGTACCCTACAACTTATGTATAAAACAACAACAACAACAAAAACAAAAACTTCCTTGATTAGTAAGGCCATACTGCTTTCCTAACCCTACAGCTTGGACTTTTCTCTGTGGGACCCGAGGCACCAAAGTTTGGTGTCAGATTCCAAGTTGTGCCTGCAGGCCCGGGGCGGGTGATCATGTCTGGCTTGGCTGGGGTGTTTGGGGGGTGCTGGCTCAGGCACCTACCTTAGTTCATGATCACTTTACATGATAGGGTGGTGAGCGGGGCACAGAAGACCAGAAATCTAGGCCTGCCTCTGTCAGTATCTCACTGTGTGACCATAGGCCAGTCGCATCCCCTCTGAGGCTCAGCAGCCAGTTTTAAAAATAAGTCGCAGGGCTGGATGTCCTCTGAGGTCCCTGCATGTCACCATTCTTTGTCATTGAAAGTGGCATGATGAGAGCTGCAAACTAGTCCCAGTCATGCTATTCACCAGCAATATGCCCTTGGACTCTCTGGGCCTCAGTTTCCTCCACTCTGAGGTGAAGACAACAGCCCCCACCTGTTCCAAATCACTGACATTGTCCTTTCTGTTGGCCCTAGGCAGGAAGCCTTTGCCCAGGAGTCTCCTTGAGGGCTTTTCCTTGGGATGAGGCTTCAGTCAGGTGCTAATGGATCCCTGGCAGGGGTCCAGGTACTGCCTCCAAGGGCAGTCTCCCAGCCAAGCAGGATCAGGCTTTTCTTTTAGCTAAATATCTCCCCCACCGGGTGAGGAGTCACCATCTGATCTACTTTCTGTTGTCTGAGAGCCCCTTGGATCTTCTTGGCCCCAAACTCAGAGAAGGAAGTTGAGGACAGGAAAAGAACATGGTCCCCACCTGCCTGATTCAACATCCCCTGATGGCAGGCAAGGAAGGTGTTCCTGCCTCTCGAGGGAACAGGATCCCACTGTTAGGTTCCTGCAGCCTGCTTTGGGGTGAGGGAGGCAGTCTGTTCTTGTCCTCCCCGGCCCAAAGGGCCATGACTGACTCCACCTGCCCTCCTGCCTGGCCCCCCAGGACCAGCTGAAGCAGCTACAGGAGATCCTAGGCAGCCTGAGTCTGCAGGAGGAGAAAACGCGAGTGTCCCAGCACCACCTGGACCAGCAACTGAACAGCGAGGCTCAGCGGAGCAACAGCCTAGTCGCCCAGCTGCAGGCCATGGTAGCTGAGCGGGAGGCCAAAGTGCGACAGCTGGAGATGGAGATCGGACAACTCAATGTGCACGTGAGTAGGGCACTGGCAGCGCCCAAACCCATTTTCAAGCCGGGCAAGTCCATCCAGCTCCTTCCACTTCTTTCCACTTGCCTTAGCTCAGGCCAGACTTCATCCTTCCTGGCTCCACTTTGGCCACCTGCTTCTATCTGGCTCCCCAACCCATTCTGCACACAAACCTGATTGTGTCCTTGCTCTACTTAAAATCTGTTCATGGCTTACTGTCACCCTCGACCTCACCTGGTTCTCAAGGACCCAGGCACCTTCCAGTTTACCCTCTCCCATCCCCAGCTGTGGCCTTATCCTCAGGATTCAAGATGGTGGCAGTAGCTCCAGCAGCAGGATGAGAGAAGGAAAGCCACACTTCATTCAGCTTCTAGGCACCATGTGACTAACTCTTGCTGCCACCCCTCCTGCATCTTCTCTTCACCCCTCCCCTTTCCCTACACTCTGCTACCCAGGCACCATTCAGCTCCTGCTTGCTCCGCACTCCAGGGCTACGCGCAGCGTGAAGCACACTCCCTCCCCTCCTCCCCCACGGCCTCGGTCTGGCCGGCTGCCCCTCAGCCTTTAGGTCTTACCTAGTCAGGAGCTCCTCCAGGAAGCCCCAGGACCCCTGTTCTGTGTTGTGTTCCCCTCCTAGGCACTCTCCTAACTCCCTATGCATCCCCAAACCAAACTTCTCTCACGCTGTGTAGTCATTTTCCTGTTTTCTCCCCTGCACTCTCTGTAAGGGAGCACAGACCGTGGTGCCTCAGTGCCTGGCACTGGAGCAAGCACACAGTAGATGCTCAATAAATGCTTGTCTAAGGCATGAGCTTGTAAAGATATTTTGTCTTGGCAGGTGCCTTGAGGGCACAGCTTGGGGCTGCTAGGAGTCAGGCACCTTCACCTCCCTGGGGTGGTGGTGGGGCTGGGTGGTGTCCTTGGGGAGAATTTCTTGACAGGCATGCAGGTCTCCCAGTGACAAAGGAGCCTTGCAGCCTCTGGCCCACTGGGAAATTGACTGGCTCAGCCAAAGGCATGTTGCAAAGCAGCCCTGCTCTTTGTTTCTGGGGATCCGTGGTTTGTTCAGAGGTGAGAGCCCAAGAGCCCCTCGGCCCTGCCTCAGTCTGGCATTGGCTGACCAGCCTGGTTTGTCCTGTAGCCTCTATTCCCACAGGCCAGGGTAGCCTGGGGCCCCAGGACTGGCTGTGACATAGTGCTGTGAGGCTGAAGGGGAGCCTGGGGGCACAAGGAAGTCTGGGAACAGAGCACATACGGCAGTGAATGGGGACTCACCCTGCTCCCCATCCTGGCTCACTGGGGAGGGAAGTCTGAAGGGGAAGATTCCAGCATCTTCACCTCACCACTGTCCTTTCTCCAGGCACACAGGAGAAGACTGTTCCTACCTCCGAGGTCACCAGCTGAATGGGGGCCAAGCATTACCCACCAGACTTAAGTCGGCACACGTTTCGAGTTTTCTCAAAATGGGTGGGGCTGGGGGACAAGCCAGGTTGTTAGGGGCTTACACCGGTTGTCCACTCTGGTGGCCTGACCTCCTGCTGGGGGTCCTCTAATGTTCCTGTCCAGTCCAGCCCCAGCAGGTATCCAGAAGAGGAAGGGGTTGAGGGAGGGGTGGGGGCCTGGCAGGCTTAGCCTCCACCCAAGGCTGCCTGCCCTCACTGAGTCCCTGCCAGCCTCTCTGGCTGCAGGTGTCTGGAAGGTCCAGGTGTTCCAGCTGAGGAAGGCAGCTGGCCTCAAGTCACACCTGGTGTTCAACCACATGTGGGTGGGGCCGCCTGGAGAAGCGGACCCACTCAGAGACGTCAGTCTCTGACCTGCCCCGCATGCAGGGCCGTGCACCTCCCTCTGGAACCTGAATGTAGAACAGCTTCCTGGCCCAGTCACCGTCCTCACACCATGTAGCTTTCTTTCTGAAGAGAGGCATTATTAGATGTCATTATCATGCAAGTAGTGCCTTCACCAAACAGGCCTCGCTTTTCACTCCTGAAAAGAAGCCTCTTTCATATCCTCTGAAAGCCCCGAAATCAAGCCAAGATCCCCTCCTGCCTTCTCTAGGCCTCTGAGCCAAAGCCCTGAGGATGGAACCCACATCTGTTCCTACAGTATCTTCGGAATAAAGGAGTGGGTGAGGGGTCCAGTGGCCGCGAGGTCAGCCCTGCCTATACCCAGTTCCTGGAGGACCCAGGCCTGACCAAGTCCCCGGCCTCAGCAGGCGATCATGTTGGCAGGCTTGGATCTTCTCGGTAAGAAAACAATGGGAGGGAGGGGTTGGAAAGTGAACATTAATTATTCGGAAGAAAGGTTGTTTCTTGCTACCTCTGATGGGAAGCCACAGGTGCAATTTTAAGATGACTATGCTGTTGTTCTTCCAATACGTGGGCCTCTCCTATGACATTAGCTCTGCGTCTGCAGAAATGAGCCGGTTAGGCCCAGATTTTATCACTTCAAGAGCATGCTGGTTGCAGCTCTCTGTAAGAGCCTTTCTGAGCTGGCCTCAAAAGTTTTCTGCCCCTGGGGCCTTCAAACAGACCCGTGTTGGGTTGTTCAAGGCTCTGGTGTCTCCTGTTCTGTCTCATTTTGAGCAAACAAGAGTTCTGGAAAGAAGGGCAGCAAATCCACAGGACTGCTGCAAGGGTTTCCTGGACCCCTGCTGGCCACTGCTCCACCTCACATGCAGAGGTGAGGCCCAGTAGGGCCTGGTCTGCCTTCCCAGGCTGATGGGCCCCTTCCGCCTTTACACAGCTCTGTGACCAGCCTGGGCCACACACTGGTGGAATCTGCTCTCACGAGGCCTTCCCTGCCCAGTCCCCACAGGACCTCACCTAGGTATGGACCCCCGACCCCCGGACTCTCACAGTTTTTTCCCATTCTTGATTGCTCAACCAGTATTGCCATCCCATTAAAAGGAGGGGAAACTGAGGCCAGGCAAAGTCCAGGGACTCTTCCAAGGTTACATAAAGACAGGGAGGATCAGGGAAGTCCTGTCCAAGATGATAGAGTAAGCAGCTTCAGAACTAGAATCTTGGCCTCTGACTCCCAGGCTAGGGTTCCTACCTGCTACGTGAGAATTAACCTGAGGAACCTTCCTGGGCCTGGCTTCTAGCACCTTCCCTCATCTTCTCTTGCTCATTGAGAATCAGCCTCTAAGGGGAGAATTTCACATGATATGGGTTCCCACTGATATCCCCTCAGACCTTGGGCCCCCTCTTTGTTGACAGAATCAAGCCAGAGGGTGTAAATGGGCCCTTTGTTCCTACTGCCAGCCCATAGACAAAGGACAGCGTTGTCCTGCCTCTAAGCCCTGTCCCGAGCCCTGCCCACTGTCCACTGGAGCCATGCTCCTGCTGTCAACACTCCCCACCCTGACCCCTCAGGCAGGTCAGCTCAGGTTCCAGGCAAAGCCTCCAAGTGGCCCCAGTCCCTCATCTCTGTGGCTCCAGGCAAACTGGTCCTTCTCTGGGCTGCTATCCCCGAAAAGTGGGGGACAGCATGCTGCTGACACTTGGCAGCATAGGGTCTGTGGGCCAAAGCTGCCCCACCCATCAGGCTGGGGTCATAAAGGCACTTGGGGAGAGTGGGCTGACACTGAGCCACAAGGCATGTGCCACGCTCCTTAGGGTGGGAGGTCTTGTCACAGCACAGGGAGATTGGGGAGGCTCTGCCTCTCTGAGGTTTTAGTCACAGTAAAGAGAGCAGGAAGATGGACAAGATGACCCCTTCGAGCCCCTTCCAGGCCTGTGTGGCTGTGACCTCTGTGCCACACAGAAATACAGGAGCTGCTCTGTGCCTTGGCTGCCCAGACTGCTGGTTGTCAGGCTTGTTTCTTCCACAACACACAAATACTTACTAAACTCGACCATGTGTGGGCCCTACCCTCATGGAGCTTACAGTCCCCTCCCACAGGTGACAGGACAGGAATTCACAGGGCAGAGTGATCCCAGAGAGTATGTCTATTCGGGCTGGCATGGTTTGAACCCATTCCCTTCAGGTGACTCTGGTGGGGTGCCTGGGAGGAGGGCAGAGTGAAGAATCGGCCCTTTGCTCCTGCTCCTCCTCTTCCCACATTCTAGAACTGGGGAAATGAATGGGGCTTTCCAAACTGCAGTGCACACACAGAGCCCCTGCTGATCAGCCAGGTCAAGTGTGGGTTCTGATTCAGCAGGTCTGGGGTAAAGCCTGGGATTCTGCATTTCTAACAAGCTGCTAGGAGATGCCAGAGCCACCGATTCAGAGACCACTTGTAGTAGCAAGGCCTTAGAGCATATTTAGGAGTCACAGAGGGGTCTGCAGTTCTCGGAGCCCATCTAAACCACCCCTCTCAATGTTTAGTGGGGGAACTGGGGCCAAGAGAGAGGAAGAGACCTGCCCAAGACCACCGAGAAGTCAGCCCTCAGGATCACATGCCCCAGCCCAGTTTTCAGTACACTGCCCAGCTCTGCAGCCTTCCCTATGCCCTGTACTGCTAGAAAAGTAAGCTCAGGGTCTCACTGGGAAAAGTGGGGGCACAGCGGAGAGCAGCTTGGAACTCACATGTGGGCTCTGGGGGGTTGAAGTTGGGGGGCAGAGTTTACCTTCTGTCCTGGCTCCAGCCAGCAGGTAAGAGGGAAGCAGTGATGGGTTGGCTTAGGGCTGGAGAAAATTGAACAAGTCACAAAGCCAAATGCACAGGCTCCAGGAAAGTGGGCTGGGCTTGGGGACCAAGCCAGAAGATGCAGGAGGGCTGGGAGAGACTGGCAGGGACACAGAGACTGGGCACACCTGACACTGGGTAGGGCAGCCAGGCCCCAAAGGCCACACAGATACCCAGGGCACCCCAGGTCCCCAAGAGCCACCTGCCACAGCACCAGACTAATTCCAGGCCCCCACAGGGCTTGGATGGACAGAGGTACCAGTGTAACTCTAGTTCTGGTAGGTTCAGCTTTGGAGCCTAGGGACTTCAGCAGGACCAGGAATGGTGGGCAAAGAAGCCAGCAGGGGAGGACCTAGAGGGACTGGGTTTGCTTCCTTTGCTCTGGCTGACATTCGCCCTGAATGTCCTTCTAGTCCCTCCAACCATCACAGGGGTAAGTGTTATTTCTAGGCCTCGGATGACCTCTGCCCTCTGCCCTCCACCCTGGTCCCAGGTTCTCGGACTCCCCAGAACAAAAAGGCTGGCAGGCACAAGTGTCAGAGATCAAGGCCCTCTGGCAGGCTGCCGAGGTGGAGCGTGACCGGCTCACCGAGTTTGTCACTGTCCTGCAGAAACGGTAACACATGGCACCCAGGGATCTCTCCCATAGGCCTGCATGTGGTGGGGACTGGGGCCAGGCCTCATTTATGACTGGGTCCTCCTCACCTGAGAGCTCGGCTCCCAGTGTTGGTCCAGGGCATTCCTAGCCACAACTCATGCGCCCCACAACCTTGGGGCCTTGTCGTCACACTGTGTTTTGCCCTTAGGAACAGCCCCATTCTACATGCACCCAATGGGACTGTTGTATGGCATGTGGACATTGCTGGGAGTCTCGGGGGAGAGACACCCAGAAGTAAATCAGTCAAATCAATCCATCAATAATTAAAATCTGTGATGAGCCTGGCACTGTGCTTGGTGCTGCTGGAGGGTTTGGTGGGAAGAAAACACAAGCTAGACTGACATCTGGAATTGGAAAGAACAAGAGAGGTGCTGATAGCTGGGGAGGCAGGGAGGGAAGCACGAGGCCTGAGGCACTGGACCAGGAGGTATGGTTTTCTCTAAAGGGTTGTTGACAGACTTCCGTTCAGATAAATCAGTGCTCCTCGCTCAAATGATCCTTTTGGCAAGAATTGCAGGTGTCCAGGCCAACACATGGCTCAACCATGTGACCTCCACACTGAAAAATATTAAGCACACCACTGAGTTTCTGCCCTAACAGGCTATATCATGTATCAGTCAAGGCTCTTTGATGACAGACAATAGAAAGCAATTCTGGCTGAATTCAGTGAAAGGCAGATTTTTGGAAGGTACTGGCAGACTCCAATGCAGAGAGCAGGAGAGGAGCCTGAGAAGGTGCAGGCATCTTTGGTAGCAGGAAACCCTAGGCAGTTCCCTGGGCCACTGAAATGGCATGGCCAAATGGCTTTTAGCTCTTGTGCCCATGGGTTCTGGGAGAGAAGGTTGAACTGGCCAGTGCTGCGCCCGTATCCACCCCACATGTGAGGGCACTCTGACTGAAGTTCCTCCGGGTGCTCACAGAATGCAGGAAAGGTAGTTTGCCAAAGGGAAAATGGGGGTACTGATAGCAAAAGAAGGAGCTAGGGGTGCAGGGAAGGACAAAACAAAGGATGCCTGCTACCTAAATAGTGAGTGGTCAGCTTTGCTTTCACATAGTACATAGAGATGATGTGAATTTCAGACATACTCAAGTATATGAGAAAAGCAACATTGATTCTTTTTCTATAATTGGAATGTAATGGATAGTACAAGTCTTTAGTCTATCAAGTAGTAGAAACATACTCAATGCAGGCTTTCTCTCTCATTTCTCTTGAGTTACATCCGAGTTTGGGGGTGTGTGAAAAAGGTGACTCAGTTAGCTATTGCTGCATAACAAACCATCCCAAACCTAGTGGCTTCAAACACAATGGTTTGTGCTTTCTCACGATTCTGTGGCTTGGCTGGGTAATTCTACCCCACATAATGTCAGCTGGGGTCACTCACTGGTCTCATGCAGCTGGCACTTCAGCAGGGATGCCTCAGTTCTCCTTCATGTGGCTTCTGTCTCCATGTGAGATCTCATTTTCAGGGCCTCTCCACACAGGGCTAGGATTGGGTGAGGCAAGCAGGGCACCTGGGGTATGAAATGTAAAGAGGTGCTCACACCCAGTCACATACATGCAACTCTCTGTCTGCGAATATGCTGGCCCTTTTTGGGTCCTTGGGTTCCTCCTGCTACTCTGTGTCATCCTGGGGTGTTGGGGCTCTGTGAGGCTGTGCCAGGCCCATCAACCAACACCTGTTGCCTTTTTTCCTTGAGGTTATTGCTAAGTCCCTGGGCTGTAACAAGAAAAGGGAACCCAGGTACCTTCTGCACTCAAATTCCCTCAAATCTATTTGGTTTAAAACTAAATGTTTTAAACTAAAACCATTTTGTTATAACTAAATTGGCCAATCATCAAAAATGATGATTCCTTTCAAAACTGATGATTGGCCAATTAAACCAAAGGAACTATTTTAAAGTAAAACTAAACGTTTTAACTAATGTTTTAACTATCCCAAAGTACAGGACCTTCGTTTCTCAGAGATCCTCAATATCTACTCCTTTCTTTATCTGCAGAGTCTGTCCCAGCCTTGCACAGGGGAGGGTGGGGGGGAGTCTTTCTCTGCCTAGCTTCCCTTCTCCTCTACTCTGCCCTACAATTTCCAGCTGCCTCAGTTGCCCTCCCCCACCCAGTTCCCTAATCCTGTGTGCTCATCCCAGCATCCCAGGGTGCTCTGCGTGGCTGCCCCCACCCCACCCTGCAGTGGAAAGTGCCTCAGGCAGAAAGCCAAGGCCAAGGGCGAGCCAAGCTCAAGTCCTTCCTTTCCTCAAGTCTTGTATCCAGTGTGTGTCGTCCTGTTGTCCATTGTCTGAAAACAAGTTCTTTCTTACATTTTATCAATTTTTCTAGTTACTTACAATAGGAGTTGGTTAGTCCACCATGACAAAAGTCACTAAATATGTCTCTTTTTTAAAAAGCACGTAGTCGGCTTTGTTCTTAAATTTAATCTGGGAATTTCTGTGTTTGAACAGTATCGTTTAATCCACTTTGATTTTGGTAATATTTAATCACTTTAATTAATATTTTCTATTTGCCATGATTTTTCTTTGTTCCTTTTTTTCTCCTTTCTTCCCTTATATTGGACTGATCAAGTTTTATTTCTCTTACTTCTTTGCAAGTTTGGAAGTTAGATATTCTATCTCTGTTCTTTTAGTGGTCACCCTTAACTTTTAACATCAAACTCAGCAATCTAAAGTTAGTTGGTTTTGCTACTATCACTTTAAGCAAAAGAATACATTTAGAATGTTTTAACTTTGATTTCTCCGTTTGTGCCTTTCATGTTACTGTTTCCTAATATTTCTCTTCCACATTCTTTTTTTAAACCCTGAAATTAAACCCTCCAAAGTAAGTCTTGAATACTGAATAGTGAATATTCGTTTCCTTTTGCCAACATGTTTGAAAATGTCTTCACTCACTGTTACTTCTTGTATCTCAATCTTCCTTCTAGGTTCACTTTCCTTCTTACTGAGATGCCCTTTAGTTCAGTGAGGCCATGTAAATAGTAAACTCTCTGAGTATTTGTTTATTTTTATTTTATTTATTTATTTATTTATTTTTCTTTTCTTTTTTTGAGACCGAGTCTCTCTCTGTCACCCAGGCTGGCGTGCAGTGGCATGATCTCAGCTTACTGCAACCTCCGCCTCCCAGGTTCAAGTGGTTCTAGTGCCTCAGCCTCCCGAGTAGCTGGGACTACAGGTGTGAGCCACTACGCCCAGCTAATTTTTGTATTTTTAGTAGAGATGGGGTTTCACCATGTTGGCCAGGCTGATTTCGAACTCCTGACCTCAGGTGATCTGCCTGCCTCAGCCTCCCAAAGTGCTGGGAGTAAGGGCATGAGCCACCACGCCTGGCCTGTTTATTTTTAAATGTCTTTATTTTGCCTGTCTTGAATGAGAATTTAAGAGAAATTTGGGCATAGAATTCTAAATAGATGGGTATTTTTTTCTCAGCACTTTCAGGCTATCCTATTGTTTTTTATCATCTACTATTGCTAAAAAGAAATCTGCTATCAGTTTTATTGTCATTCCTTAATAGATTTGTCCTTTCTCTCCGATGCTTCTTCAGATTATTCTCTTTGTCTTTGAAGCTTTGAAATTTCACTGTGATACGTATATACATATACGTATACACACACACATATGTATATATGTAATATGCCCATATATGTATATATGTATATATGTGTGACTTTACATATATGTAAATATATATTTTATATATACATGTAAATATGTGTGTATATTTGTATGTATGTATATGTAAAGTATACATATGTAAATATATGTAAATATGTTATACGTAATTTTATCTACTCAGAAGTTAGTGTTCTTTTTCAATCCAAGGACTTTATATATTCCCAAGGACTGCTGTCCATATATTGCCTCTTCCTCACTCTCCCTATTCTTTTAATCTAAAATTCCTAGTCCATATATGTTAGACTTATTCTTTCCTCCACATCTCTTTACCCTTACTATTTTGGGCTGAATTCTGGGTGATTTCTTCAAATCAGCTTTCTAGATCACTAAATATCTTCAGTTGTGCTTCATCTACCATGAAACCTATTTTGATAACTGTATTTTTCGGTAAAAGCTCCTGTTCTCAGCCAGGCACAGTGGCTCATGCCTGTAATCCCAGCACTTTGGGAGGCCGAGGTGGGTGAATCACCTGAGGTCAGGAATTCAAGACCACCCTGGCCAACGTGGTGAAACCCCATCTCTACTAAGAATCCAAAAATTAGCCAGGTGTGGTGGCAGGCACCTGTAATCCCAGCAACTTGGGAGGCTGAAGCAGAATTGCTTGAACCTGGGAGGCGGAGGTTGCAGTGAGCCAAGATCACGCCACTCCACTCCAGCCTGGGCAAAAAGAGCAAAACACCCCCGTCTCAAAAACAAAACAACAACAACAAAACCCTCTTGTTCTCTTTCTTATAGCATTTGTTCTTTCATTACAATTTTTGCCTTTCTCCTTTAAATAATTTTGAACTTATTCCCTTTAGAGTTTTCTACCATCTTCATTAATTAGGATCCTAAGTAATGTCTGTCGGCTCTCCCCTTGTAGTAAATTATTTCCTTGTGTGGTTTCAATTTTTGTGATTTTATGAGCTTATCTTCAGTGGGGCTTTTTTCCTTGTAGGAGTTCTTAGGTGATGACCGTGTTTCTGTGGAGGTGTTCTGCATTTGTCTCTGTGAAGCTTTTAGGGTTTCAGTGGTCTCTGATTGGTACTTTATGTGAATTTATTGGCTTAGATTCCCTGAACACATGAATGCTGCCCTTGTGTTTCAGTTTCACATGATTGGTGCTTCCTCCCCTCCTCCCCATTTCCCAAGGCCCTGATAGACTGCAGGCTTCCTTACTACTTTCCTGAACTTGTAGATGGATATTATCTTAGTCCTCTTTTTTTTTTTTTTTGAGACAGGGTCTCACTCTGTCACCCAGGCTGGAGTGCAGTGGTGTGATCACAGCTCACTGCAGCCTCAACTTCCCGGGCTCCAGTGATCCTCCCACCTCAGCCTCTGGAGTAGCTGGGACCACAGGCACATGCCAACATGCCTGGCTAATTTTTATATTTTTATAGACTTACATTAAATGCATCTTTACATTTTTATGGGAGTATATCTGTATCACAAATTCCTAAAAAAGAAATGGCTGAATCAAAGAATATGCACATTTAAAATGTTCACAAATCATGACAAATTGCCTTTTAAAATGAATCAATTTACATTCTTACCAATAATGTGAACTGTTTTCCCCATACCCTCACAGTTACTATGTTTTATTAATCTTTAACATTTTTGCCAAACTAACAAGGAAATGCTAATATCTCCTTGTTTTTATCTGCTTTGCTATGACCAAAAGTGAGGATAAGTATATTTTCCACATAACTTTTATGTTTTTTTCTTTTAACTACCTATTCATGCCATTGCACATGTTTTAGAGTTGTTTATATTTTTATTTGACTTATAAAAGAACACTTTATGTATCATATATATGGTATTATGTATATAATGTGTAATATTATGTATGTTTGTCTTCATGAAGATTTTGTGTCATTATGCTAAATTCATTCTTAGCATTCTTAGGTAGGGGGAAACCTCCTTATCTGAGTATTTTTTACCAGCACCCCCACAGTTACAGTCCCCATGAAAGCAAAATTTTTAATATTAAAACAGTCATCATTTGACTATTTAATATTCTTCACTTCACATTGGCATTGGGTCACTTTGGTCAGACTCTTGAAATACAATGAAAATCAATTATGAAGCAAAAAGGTAAATCTTTCAAAATATTTGGAATTTCATGAGATTGATGAACATGAGTTTGGAGAACTATTAGAATCGCAATCAAATACATTGACAAATTAGGATCTAGCTGAGTTAGGCCTGTTAACAACTGAAGAAAATCAGTGAGACCAGAGATTGGTCAAAAGAGAATAATCAGAATACCAAAGTGTGCAAGAGGTCTTGAAGCTTACGGACATCTGTAGATCCCAGGCAGGAGGAGCAGCCTCAGGTCTGGAGAGGGGGCGAGGACAGAGAAAGAGCTGGTTTTGGTGCATATTTGCAGGAAAAGTTGTAGAGCCTGCTGATAGATTGGAAGCTGAAGATGAGGAAGAAAGAGAAGGCAAGGGTGACCCCCGGGTATCTGGGCTGAGCAACTGCATGAGTGAGGATAATATTTATTGAGATGTGGAAGGCACGTTATAGGGGAGAAGGAGAGAAATCAAGAGTTTGCTTATTCCTAAAATTTTGTGGGAATTCACAATGTGGTTTGCTATTTTATATGATGTTTTGCTGTTGGTTTATTATTTCCCCTATTATAAATGGAGTTAAACAAAATGCATACATTATTGAAATTCATAACAGAAAAGTGAAAGCCCCTCCCCCACAGTTGAGTCAATAGCTGCCACATATTCCTTTTTGTTTTCAGTCAAGTGGCT
This sequence comes from Homo sapiens, assembly GCF_000001405.40. Taxonomy (NCBI): domain Eukaryota; kingdom Metazoa; phylum Chordata; class Mammalia; order Primates; family Hominidae; genus Homo; species Homo sapiens. The sequence goes on along the minus strand of NC_000003.12, from coordinate 42,724,005 downwards.
GAATTATATTAACCTTATATTTATTTGTTTTTAAATTTTTAATTTGTTGTAAATTTTTTAATTAGATCATATAGTATGCATAATCTTCTGCTACTTATTTTACTTAGTATATTGCATTTTCATGTCAGTACGTTTTCCTTTTATGGTTACAGAATATTTTATTGTATAAATCCACTGTTATTTATTTACCATTCTTCTATTGATGGGTTATTAGTTTCTGATTTTAAAATACTTTATTGTGTTGTTTCCTTCTATTCTCATTTTACTTTGAGTTTTTAAAGTCAGGAATAGCTACTGATTTTACCAGTGCTTCTTCAGTATCTATTGGAAGGATTACCTGATTTTTTCCTTTAACCTAATTCCGATGTTGAATCTTACAGCTCTAGTGTTCTTGGAACTATGTTGTGTTACTCTCTTACAATGCCATTGAATTTAATGTTCTTTCTTTTTTCCTCTATTTTTACTGTGGTAGGCAGAATTCTAACATTCCCACCCCCGATATACATGCCTTATAAACTTCTCTTCCCTTGAGCGTGGGCAGAACCTGTGAATATGGTAGGATATTATTGCCACAATTATGTTAACTTACATGGCCAAGGGGATTTTGCAGAGCTATTTAAGGTTACTCATCAGATGACTTTGTGTTAATCAAACAGGAGGCTCTCTGAGTGGGCCTGACCTAATCATATGAGTCCTTTTAGTCTGAGTCTAGCTGTCAGAGACAGAGGAAGCCAGAGTGGAAGCAGTATTTTCTTGCTGGCCTTGAAGACATTCTCCTGCAAACTGTTACAGGAAAGGGAGTTTTGATCCAGACCCCAAGAGAGGGTTCTTGGATCTCCTGCAAGAAAGAATTCAGGCGGAGTCCACAGTGCAAAGTAAACGCAAGTTTATTAAGAAAGTAAAGGAATAGGCCAGGTGCGGTGGCTCACGCCTGTAATCCCAGCACTTTGGGAGGCCGAGATGGGCAGGTCACGAGGTCAGGAGATCGAGACCATCCTGGCTAACAGGGTGAAACCCCGTCTCTACTAAAAATACAAGAAAATTAGCTGGGCGTAGTGGTGGGCACCTGTAGTCCCAGCTACACGGGAGGCTGAGGCAGGAGAATGGCGTGAACCTGGGAGGCGGAGCTTGCAATGAGCCGAGATAGTGCCACTGCACTCCAGCCTGGGTGACTGAGCGAGACTCGTCTCCAAAAAAAAAAAAAAAAAAAAAAAGTAAAGGAATAAAAGAATGGCTACTCCACAGGCACAGCAGTCCCCAGGGCTGCTGGTTGTCCATTTTTATGGTTATTTCTTGATGATATGCTAAACAAGAGGTGGATTATTCATGCCTCCCCTTTCTAGGCCATATAGGGTAACTTCCTGATGTTGCCATGGCATCTGTAAACTGTCATGGCACTGATGGGAGTGTAGCAGTGAGGACGACCAGAGGTCAGTCTCATTGCCATCTTGGTTTTGGTGGGTTTTGGCCAGCTTCTTTACTGCAACCTGTTTTATCAGCAGGGTCTTTATGACCTGTATTTTGTGCCAACCTCCCATCTCATCCTGTGACTTAGAATGCCTTAACCATCTGGGAATGCAGCCCAGTAGGTTTCAGCCTTATTTTACCCAGCTCCTCTTTAAGATGGAGTTGCTCTTGTTCAAATGCCTCTGACATTTTCCCCCCATCCCTTTTATAGGAGAACCATTAATCCTAAGGGTTGCAGAGGGACGAAGATCCATCTTTTGTAACTTCTCCAGGCTGAATAGGGGCGATGATATTCCTCCCTCTTGTGTTCAGGGTAGTGAGGAGCTCAGTCAGAAAGCATCAGTATGGTGAGGGCCATTCATAACTCTTGAGTCCAACAAAAGGTGATATCTGGAAGATTAATAAGTGTTCAATTTAAGAAAGTATTCAGTAAGCTTATCCTGCATTCCTATACAAAGAGTACAACAGCAATATATTCCACAACAGTAAAGCAAGGTAAGTAAAATTATCCCAAGTAAACTAAATTAGAAGGCTTTCCATGAACTGGCCAACTGTTGGAACCAAGCTGATATGGGGTTGCTAGCCAATTCCAATACATGCCCAGAATTAGAATACTGTTCCAGATTTTCACATGACCCATCCCTCGTGTTTCTTCTGGACAGCAGTCAGAGATCACTGGCTGGCTCACAGGAATAAACAAGGTCAGTTGCCCAAGGGGTTTTTATTGGCTCTACAAGTCAAATTTGATTCCTTAAAGGAAAGCACACCATTCAAGTCAAAGTTTTGGTAAAATAACCAATTTCTCCAATTGTGTCCTGTTGCAAAAGAAAACAGATTTGTATTGCAATTATGCAAATAACTACGTTGCCATAAGTTAAGAATACTCACACATAGTTTCCAAATTGTGGAGAAATCAGGTAGAGAGAAACAAATATGTTCCAAATTTTGTTCACAGGAGTATGCTTTACTCAATTGTTAAAAGCTGTAAATAGCTGAAAAGTTTCCTTGACTCTGAAAAACAAAACAAAGGATCAGCAACGTTTGAAACAAAATTAAAAAGATTACTTTAGACTTCTTCAGTTTAGTACATGCAGTTAACTTCTGTTTGATATTCAGGAACATTTCAGCTCTCTATGAGTCCTGAAAGTGTTTTCCTCTATTCTAATGTTACAATTTCCAAAGTTATCAGAAACTTGCATTCAAGAACATCTGTCAAAGTCCTGTAGTTGATTATAAACCACCTTCTAAAGAGGATTAAAACAGGACAACAATTGTAGATGATAAAAAGTCTTAGGACAGCCACTATTAAATCCACAATTGACTAGGAAATTTTGGTTGCCTCTGTGGCACACAATGATTTTATGTAATAATTATTAATAACACATTAAGTCATATCAGAATTATAGGAGTTTTAAAAATAATTTTGGAACATATACCAGTAACACATTTATACAAATATAGCCTGACGAAAGCCAAACACTATTTCATATTTGACAATGCTTTCTATATGATTTTTATACCCGATAAGCCAAATGTTACTGTAGCATTAGTGCGTTATTGATGTCAAATCCAATTCTTAATAAAACCTTATAGATAAATTTATTTAATCTTAATCAGTTTGAACATAAGGTGAGATTCTTACAAACTTTGTATAACCCTTTACAAATTTTTGTTAAAGAGATCATAGGCAGGTTTTTGCTCTAAGAAAAACCTGTTGTGCTTTTATTCCAATGTTTAATTGACGGAAAAGCTGAATAATACCCCTTTAACTTTAGTCAGTATGTTCACACACAGAATGTCTTTTACAATTAATTTTTCACAAACCTTCCACCCCTTGCTTAAACCTTTAGTTTTATTCTAACTTAAAACAATCCTTTAACCTTTAATCTAGGCAAGAAAAATCCACATTCCCATGACTTCTTATAATTTTTCACCAAAAACACATTTCACTTTCTTTACACACCTCGCATGTAAAACTGTTTCTTCAGTAGTCTCAATTACATGTTACAGTGTTAACTCTTAGCAACTTTTACTTTTGGTGAAAACCTTGGTAAGTTTGGGATTTTAATTATGTACTAGTATGGAGCCTAGGACAGCAAACAGAAGTGCAGATAAGGTCTGACTCTTTCCAGCGTCTAACTTCTAATGTGTCCCAGGCCTTACCTAGCTGTAAAGCAGGTAAGTCATACAGTTAAGAGTCATAATGGCATTTTACGAGGCATTTAGGAGGCCTAACAACCTTCAAATTACACAACATTTCTTGCGTAAATTCCCTTTTTTTAAACAACTAGTCATTTTACTTTAGGACGAGAATTTACCATACAACATCCTTTCTTACATAAAATCTCTTTTCTTTATAACCATCTTTGCATAGCTAGGGGGCATGGCTAATTCCACATGTCCCCAGGCCTTATGTAGAATCTAATGCTCCAAAGTAGGTAAATTGAACAATTTTCAAAAGTCAAAGAAGCAGTTTATGATCTTAAAGAATTTAGTAAATGTAATATCTGACCTGCATAATTTAGACTAAATGTTTACATTTTTGAAGATATTTTTATTTTACCAATAATCTTTAAAACTCTATTTCCCAAAAATTACTTAAGTCACAGGAACTAAAAGACATTATGCTTTTTATTTTTCTGATAAAATATTTAAGCTCTTATTATTTTCAAACCAATTAAAGTTCTTTCATGTATAAACATCACACACATAATACATATACATATAGACAGAAGATAAAGGAGTCATCCCCTAAGCTGGGAATGGAACCCTGAACCCAGGCTGCCATTGTGAAAAGAGAAAGCATGGCCACATGGTTACAAGGTCAAGCTCCCAAGGATTTACAAGACAAGAAGGAAACCTCATCCAGGTTTTTCAGGGATCTGCAGCAAAGTTTGTAACTGACCAGTTTGCTGGGCCGTCTTGAAAAGCAGGCTTATGGGTGTCCTAAGCCTGTGTTCCATCATAAGGTACCCCTCTTTATGATGGAACAATACAGAAAAACACGTAAAGCACACCAGATTCGCTGCAGCTTAAGACTAGCCTCACAAATCCTTTTTCTAATTAATTAAAACTTTACAGGAGATAAACAATGATTTTTACCAGTCTGCACAGAGAGAGAGAGAGAGAGAGAGAGAGAGAGAGAGAGAGAGAGAGGAAAGCACTGCCTGAGGCAGAGTGGGGAAGGTGAGGTGCTCAGAGAGGCCAGAGAAAGACCCACCCATTGCAGCGACACTGAAAAGTTCAGGCGGCTGCTTGTCAGTAAGTGAAGGGATCTTTTCCAGCAGTCCCATCTGCTCTCAGCTTTCCCTTTTAGGGAAGAAAAAGCTCCCCATGTCCCACAGTCCTGTACGTGCCTAATCTTGTCACCCACAGCCATCAGCGAAGAGTGCAAGACAGATTAATCCAAAGAGAATAGCAGTTAACATCCCGGAGTGCCAAACCCATTTTTAGCTGAAAGGGACTTTACCGAGAGGAACTTTACTGAGAGGACCACTAACTCCCTACATCTTAGAAGGGACTCTAACCCTCCTAAGTTGGGCCTCTAACCCAAGGTCAGTCAAGCATCTTTGTTTTTTATTAAGAGGGGCCTCTGACCCACTTTGTCTTAGGAGAGATGCTAACTCCCCTAAGTTGGGCCTCTAACCCAATCCCATCCTTTACCTGGGTTTATGTACCCCACTTACCCAAAGTCATCCAATCAGTGCTGAAGTCTATTTCCTTTGGGTTGGGGGGTTCTCCTCAGTATCATCCCTTCTGTGGTTCACCAGAAAGATGTTACTGGATCCCACCACTTACCCAAAGTTAGCCTTTGGGTCAGGGGTTTCCTCACTATAGTCGCTTCCGTGGTCACCAGAAAGATGTTACAGGACCCCAACACTTATGCAAAGTTAACCTTTGAGTTGGGGGTTTCCTCACTTTAGTCCCTTCAGTGGCCACCAGAAAGATGTTACAGGAAAGGGTCCCGATCCAGACCCCAAGAGAGGGTTCTTGGATCTCATGCAAGAAAGAATTCAGGGCGAGTCCACAGCACAAAGCAAAAGCAAGTTTATTAAGAAAGTAAAGGAATAAAAGAATGGCTACTCCACAGACACAGCAGTCCCCAGGGCTGCTGGTTGCCCGTTTTTATGGTTATTTCTTGATGATGTGCTAAACAAGGGGTGGGTTATTTATGCCTCCCCTTTCTAGGCCATATAGGGTAACTTCCTGGCATTGCCGTGGCATCTGTAAACTGTCATGGCGCTGGTGGGAGTGTAGCAGTGAGGACATCCAGAGGTCACTTTCATCATCATCTTGGTTTTGGTGGGTTTGGACCACCTTTTTTACTGTAACCTGTTCTATCAGCAGGGTCTTTATGACCCTGTATCTTGTGCTGACCTCCTATCTCATCCTGTGACTTAGAATGCCTTAACCATCTGGGAATGCAGCAGTTGGTTTCAGCCTTATTTCACCCAGCTCCTATTTAAGATGGAGTTGCTCTTGTTCAAACGCCTCTGACAAAACCACTGTGCTTTGGAGAGAACAACATGGCGGTGGATGGTTGTGGTATTATGCAATAACAACACAAAATGGACGAAGACACATCGTTAGACCCAGCTGGGTAACATACCTGAACTCCAGAATAGGGAGAAAAATCTAGGAGCTGACAACCAACCAAGTCATTAGCCAGCAAGAAAATGGAGACCACAGTCCTAGAACTACAGGGGACTAACTTCTGCTAACAACCTGAGTGAGCTTGGAAAAGGATCCCATGCATCAGATGAGATAGCAACTCCTTCTGACACCTTGACTTCAGCCATGTAAGACACTGACAAATTAGCTAGGCCAACCTTGGACTTCTAACCTACAGAAACTGTGAAATAATAAATTTGTGTGGTATATGTATGTTTTAATTGTGGTAAGCTATATACACCAAACATTTGTCATTTTAACCATTAAAAGTATACAATTCAGTGGCACTGATTACATTAACAATACTGTGCAACCGTTATCTCTATTTCCAAACTTTTTCATAACCACAAACAGAAACTCTATTACTATTAAGCAATAGCTCCTCATACGCCACCCACTAAGCCCAGCATCTAGTAACCTCTTTACTTATTTTTTTTTTTTTTGAGATGGATTCTCGCTTGTTGCCGAGTCTTGAGTGCAATGGCATGATCTCGGCTCACTGCAACCTCTGCCTCCCGGATTCAAGCAATTCTTCTGTCTCAGCCTCCCAAATAGTTGGGACTACAAGCACCCACCACCATGCCCAGCTAATTTTTGTATTTTTAGTAGAGATGGGGTTTCGCCATGTTGGCCAGGCTGGTCTTGAACTCCTGACCTCTGGTGATCCACCCGCTTCAGCCTCCCAAAGTGTCGGGATTACATGCATGAGCCACCATGCCCAGCCAGTAACCTCTTTTCTATGAATTTGCCTATTCTAGATATTTTGTATAAGTGGAGTCATGCAATATTTACCCTTTCGTGTCTGGCTTATTTTACTTGGCACAGTGTTTCCAAGGTTCATCCGTATGGTAGCATATGTCAGAACTTCATTCCTTTTTATGACTGAATAATATTTTATTGTGTGCATGTACCACATTTTGTCAATCTATTCATCTGTTGATGGACACTTGGATTGTTTCCACCTTTTTGGCTATTGTGAATAATGCTACAAGAACATTGCTGTACAAGTACCTGTTTGAGTCCCCGTTTTCAATTTGAGAAGTGGAATTGTTTGATCATAGGGTAATTTTATGGTTAGCTTTTTAAGGAGCCACCAAACTTTTCCACAATGGCTGCACCACTTTATAGTCCCACCAGCAGTGTACAAGGGTTCTAATTTTTCTATATCCTCACCAACACTTATTTTCCTTTTTTTCAATAATAGCCATCCTAGTAGGTTTGAAGTGATATCTCTTTGTGGTTTGGATTTGCATTTCCCTAATGGCTAATGATGTTGAGCATCTATTTATGTGCTTATTGGACATTTGTATATTTTCTTTGGAGAAACACAAGTCTTTTGCCTACTTTTTAATTGGGTTGTTTGTCCTGTTGTTGAGTTGTAGTAGCTCTTTATGTTTTTTGGAAATTTTTTATTGTTTCAAGCCACTATTTGTGGTAACTTGTTATGCAGCAGTACTAATACATTTACCCTATTATTAACTGGGAAATCAAGTTTTTTGTAAACTTATAGGAAGCCATCTATTTCTTCTATATTGTGGAATTGTCAGAATAGCAAAAATCATTGGTTCCTTGGAGGTTAGATAGAACTTTCTTGAGAACCTGGCTTGACCTGATTTTTTTTTTTTTGGAGGTAGATCTTTGACAACCTTTTTTCAAATTTAGATTTTCTGTGTCTTCTTGAAGTAATATTAGTACATCTTGTTTACTTACAGAATTAAACATAATAATGCTTATGCAGTGCCTTAACACAGTAGTTGGTATGTGGAAAGCACTCAAAAAAAGTATTAGCTGTGCTGTTGTTATAAGATTTTTCTCCTTGTCCTGGAGTTCAGGTATGTTACCCAGCTGGGTCCAAGGATGTGTCTTAGTCCATTTTGTGTTGCTATAACAGAATACCACAGACTGAGTAATTTATAAAGAAAAGAAATTTATTTCTCACAGCTCTGGTGGCTGGGAAGTCCAATATCAAGGTGCCAGCGTCTGACAAGGGCCTTCTTGCCGCATCCCGTGGTGGAAGGCAGAAGGGAAATGGCATGGGGAAAGTTGAAGTGGGGACAAAGTTATCCTTTATCAGAAACCCACTCTCATGATAACTAACACACTCCACTACTGACCAGTGGAACTTTCTGTGATGATGGAGTTGTTCAGTATCTGCACTGACCAATACAGTTTAAGAACTTGAAATGTCACTAGTGTGACTGAGGAAATGAATTTTTAATTTAATTTTCATAAACTTTATTTTTTTTTCTTTTTGTTACAACAGAGCCTCGCTCTGTTGCCCAGGCCAGAGTGCAGTGGTGCGATCTCGGCTCACTGCAACCTCTGCCTCCCAGGCTCAAGTGGTCCTCCTACCTCAGCCTTCCAAGTAACTGGGACTACAAGCACACGCCACCGTGCCAGGCTTATTTTTGTATTTTTTGTTGTAGATATGGGGTTTTACCATGTTGTCTAGACTGGTCTTGAACTCCTGGACTCAAGTGATCCACCCACCTATGCCTCCCAAAGCACAGGCGTGAGCCATCGTGCGTGGCCTGAAATTTAATTTTTTTTTTTTTTTTGAGACAGAGTTTCGCTCCTGTTGCCCAGGCTGGAGTACAATGGCACAATCTCAGCTCACTGTAACCTCCACCTCCCTGGTTCAAGTGATTCTCCTGCCTCAGCCTCCCAAATAGCCGGGATTACAGGAGCATGCCACCACACCTAGCTAATTTTTTTTTTTTTTTTTGTATTTTTAGTAGAGACGAGGTTTCACCATGTTGGCCAGGCTGGTCTGGTCTCAGACTTCTGACCTCAGGTGATCCACCCACCTCGGCCACCCAAAGTGCTGGGATTACAGGTGTGGGACCCCGGGCCCAGCCCCTGAACTTTAATTTTAATGGCTACATGTGGACATGAACCTCGCAGTCACTGTGTTGGGCAGCACAGCTCTATCATATTCTATCACGTTCTATAGTATGAATATGTTACCACTTACTTGTTTGTCCCCTGATGATGGGCCTTTAGGTTGTTTTGGGTTTTTGCTTTTGCAAATAAAATCTCAAGGAATATGCTTAAATATGTGTTAGTAGCTGTTTACTGTGTTACTATACAGCTTTTTATTAGTAGTTGTATACTGTTCAAAATTGTTGTCATTCTGTTCCTTTTGACCCTTCACCAAGGTGGAAAGATCACTTCCTCCAACACTGTCAGTTTCAAGGCTGCCCCTCTAATTTTCAGGTGTGCATGTAACTCTTGGCTTGGGTTAGATCTCAGGGAGTTCTGGCTTTCTCACTAAATGAACCTTTAGTATCATAGAAGTCTGAAATGGCACACCTAGCCACAGGAAGGACCTAAGCTCAAGCTCCAGTGGGATTAAACAAGTGCTTCATGTGAAATAACATTTATGACAGGCATGTAGAAAACAAAACAATAAGCTTAAGATAATCACTAACTCCAAGAAAAGCGAACAATTAAATGAGAAAGGACATATGACACTGTGCGTCATGGCTCTAACTAATTGTCCTAACGTAGACAGGCTTTTGGTGTCTATGCCCTTTGCTCCCTGCTGTTATGCCTGTGAGTGCTTTATGTTACATGAAAAAGAGATTTTGCAGATATGATTATTGTTATGGACCCTAAAATGGAAAGATTATCCTGGATTATCTGGTGGGCTCAATGTAATCTTTTGAGCCCTTAAAAGCAGAGAAATATCTCCGTCTGGGATTATTCAGAGAGTTGCTGTGGAGGAAGTCAGAGAGGGTAGTGAGATTCAAAGTGTGTTAAGGGTATCTAGCTGGCTTTAAAGATGGAGGGGGCAAGGTGGCTCCTAGAAGGTGAAATTGACCAGCAGCCTGCAGGGAACAGGGACCTCAGTCCTTCAACTACCTGGAACTGGATTCTGTCAACACTCTGAATGGGCCTGAAAGTGGATTTTCCCCCGGAACCTCCAGATAAGAGCCCAGGTCAGCCAACCCCTTGATTTCGGCTTGTGAAACCAGAAGCAGAGAAACCCACTGAGCTTGCCAGGCCTCTGACTTACAGAACTGTGAGATAATAGATTTGTGTTGTTTTAAGCTGCTAAATTTATGGTAATTTGTTATAGCTGTGATAGAAAACTGATACCTAATATCAATTCATCCAAAAACGTATACAGGTGATTCTGTTTCGTAGGAGGAGAGTACTAAAATAAAACTAAATTCTTATTTTGCATGACAGGAAGTCAAAAGATTATATTTAAACCTTATATAAACCTAAAAATAGCAACATAAGCATCTGTAGAAATATGGCAGTAAATATTAAAAGAAACAGCTAGAAGTGTTATAAGTGATTGCTTTTAGAGAGCAGGAATTGGGAATGATGGGGCTGGGAGTGGGCTGATAATTTTTAAATTTTAACCTTGGAGAGAACCATATGGTGTTTAAATGCATGTTCCTGTGTTACTGCAATGAAAATGAAGAGGTCCCATCACTACCAATGTAAGATGTGCCCATCTCTCTAAGGGCCTGAGCAAGTGGGGTAGGGCCTGCCCCTGCCTGCCAGGGCATGTAGCATCCCCTCCTCTCTAATCACCAGGGTGGAGGAGAGCAACAGCAAGCTCCTGGAGTCAGAGAGGAAGCTGCAGGAGGAGCGACACCGCACCGTGGTGCTGGAGCAACATCTGGAGAAGATACGCCTGGAGCCAGGGAAGGCATCAGCCTCCCAGAGAGCAGCTCCCAGGACCAAAACAGGTAGGGGCCAGGGCAGTAGTCTCAGTGCAGGGGGTGGAGGCAGTGTTGCTGCTAACAGAGGAGCCAGGCAGCTGCACTGTTCAGCCCATCAGTGAGCATGTGGGAAGCAGAGCTTCCATCAGGGTGGAGCTCTGCCTGCCTCCACTGTGGGGTGTTCTTTTCCCCAGGCCTCTCAGTCAGAAGCAGGAGCCCCAGAGCTCCATTGCCTCGTGTGGCCCTGGCCTGGCCACCTGTAAGCCCTCAGCATGAGGTGGCAGTGCTGAATGCCCCCAGCCACCCTAGCCCTCAACCCTCTATCCTAAGCTGACTTCATTCAAAGTGGTCATGGGGCACAGCTGGTCTGCTGGGGAAGCCCAAGCAACAGTGGCTGAAGCAGGGGAGGAGTCCCTTTGTGCCTCCTGCAATGGTCAAGTTGATATAAGCAGGAAGTAGCCTCACCAGAGGTTTGGGGACCCAAGCTCCCTCTGTTTTGTGGCTCCACTGTTCTCAACATGCAGCTTCCATCTTCTGGTCTACAATGACTGCCTGAGCTTTCCCATCAGCAGCAGGAAGGGGAGAAGGGAAGGAGACAAACTTCTCCTTACCTTTTACGGTTGCATATGTCACTTCTGCTCTCATCCCATCAGCCAGACAGTTGGGCATAGCCAGGTGCAGAGGGAAGCTGGGAAATGCTATCCTTAACTGAAAAGTCTATCGCTCGAACACAGTGGTTCTCAAGGTGCAGTATTCAGATGAGCAGCATCAGCATCCTGTGGGGCTGGGGCGAGCTGGAGGATGCCAGAGCCAGAAGCCATTTCTGGGATGGCTGACTCCCAGGGAGGAAGGGTCTCCAATGTGGAGGGGCTGGGCCTGCCTCTGTCTGACCTCCCATCCCACCCATCCCAGCCCCCTCCAGGCTGGAATGCTGGAGGTGCTGCTGCCCCCACTGCACCCTCTTTCAACACCCCAGTAGCCCCCCAACCCCTCCCCAGCCAAGGATGGTCAGACCCTTGGTCTCAGTCCTCAGCCCAGATGAGGTCAGAACGTTTCAGAAGGGTGTGCCAGAAGTAGGGCATAAAGAGGGTGTTGGGGCCACTTGCTTTCTCTTCTCCCACCAGCAGGGCCAGGAGCTTCTGAGAATCCAGGCCGGGAAGGAAGGGTCTCTGGGGCTTAGCCTTGCTGACCCTCTTGGACTCTCAGGAATATGTTCCCTAGGAGTGTGGCTTCTCCAGGCTGGGGCTTACCTCCTGTAGGGCAGCAGGACTTCCAACCAGGGAGAGCTAAGCCACAGCAGGCAAGTCACTTTGTTCCCTGCTGGACAGTGAGGGCAGCTGCCTGAGGGAAAGTGTCCAGGTGGCCTCTGCTGCCTACTGGCTTTTAACATGGGCAAAATCCTGCCCCTCTGGTGAGCAGAGCACCACTTACCCGCCTCCCCCTGGCCCATCCGTAAAATGAGGAGGCTAGATTTATAATTCAGTCCCCCATGGCAGTCTCACTCCAGTAGGGGAGCTAGACATCTGAGCAGAGATGGAGGAACTGGGAGGGGATGTGGCCTGCCGATCCCTGAGGGAAAGACAAGTGTCGGTGCTTGGAAGCTTAGCTGGATGCTTGGAGGAACAGGGAGGAGGCAGGGAGGCTGGAGTGGTCCAATCACACAGGGCCTTGAGAGCCAAATAGAATTCACTGAGGCTGCCAAAGCTCTAGAGGCATAAACTATTATCCTTTTTTTCAGCTAAGGAAACCAGCTCAGAGAGGCTGATAGTTTGCCTGAGGCCTCTCAGCAGAGGGCGAAAGCCAGGTCTTCTGATACCAAGTAATTTACTGTGGGTCACACCACCTCTGAGGGCCTTTTCAGTCCCGAGGTTTTCTGATGCTGTGATTTTGCCCAAGTTCGCCACCACCAGTTGAGCTTTGTCTTTTTTTTTTTTTTTTTTTTGGAGACAGAGTCTCACTCTGTCCCTCAGGCTGGAATGCAGCGGTGCGATCTCAGCTCACTGCAACCTCCACCTCCCTGGTTCAAGCAATTCCCCTGCCTCAGCCTCCCAAGTAGCTAGGATTACAGGGGTTCGCCACCACACCCTGCTAATTTATGTATTTTTAGTAATGATGGTGTTTTACCATGTTGGCCGGGCTGGTCTTGAACTCCTGACCTCAAATTATCCACCCCCCTAGACCTCCCAAAGTGCTGGGATTATAGGCATGAGCCACCGCACCCGGCTGAGGCTCTTTTTGATTCCCTGTGTCACAGGGCTTAGAAAATTCCATCAGGCTGAACAAGCAGTTTCCCATCCAGGGCAGCTCTAGTTGGGGATGTGGAGGTGCTCAATGCGTGGAATAAGCCAAGGGCAGCTTAGCAGTGTCCCCTGGAGCCAGGAAAGGCCCTGAAGAACACTCAGTCCAGCCCCTGTAGAGGGCAGAGCCACTCTGCTGCCTCCCCAGCAATGAGACAGGTTTACACAAGACTAGTCTTGAGGTGCATGCCTCCATGCCTGGCTAATTTTTATGTATTTTTAGTAGAGACAGGGTTTCACCGTGTTGGCCAGACTGGTCTTGAACTCCTGACCTCAAGCAATCTGCCCCCACTTGGCCTCCCAAAGTTCTGGGACCACCCCACCGTGGGCCACTTTGTCTCCTTTTTGTGAACATTCTGTACCCTTCAACTCCAGGACCCTGGATCCCCTGCTTCCTAGTATGAAGCTGATGGCCTGGATGGGGACCACTGGTATGAGGGCATCAGGTACAGTGACAGTCTAGACTCGGGCTCAGCCTGCAGGCCAGACCTCAGGCTCAGCTGGTTTCTCTTTTTGAAAACAAATTACCAGGCTGGGCATGGTGGTTTACGCCTGTAATCCTGGCACTTTGGGAGGCCTAGCCAACATGATAAAACCCTGTCTCTGCAAAAAATACAATAATTAGCTGGGCATGGTGACAGGCACCTGTTGTCCCAGCTACTCGGGAGGCACAAGAATCGCTTGAACCCTGGAGGCGCAGATTGCTGTGAGCTGAGATCACGCTACTGCACTCCAGTCTGGGTGACAGAGCAAGACTCTGTCTCAAAAAAAAAAAAAAGAAAAAAAAAAGAAAACAAATTACCAGAAACTTGTAAAGTATAAAGATGGAGACAGGGTGGTGAGGAACCACCCTGGTACAAAGCGAGCAGAGTCAGGGCTGTAGCAGAGGCCAAAGCCAGGGGCAGAGGCATGCAGAGGAGGCATCAGGGAGGGCTTCGGAGGGAGGCAGAGCTCAGAGTTGCCCTGCACCCCGAAGGCGGTGTAGCGTTTCACCATGTGGAAGAGCAGGCAGTGGGCAATGGCGGGAGGAGAAGCAGGGTGCTAGCACAGGGCTGTGGCCTCCTCACAGAAAGTGGTTGCTGCTGCCCCACAGGTCTGCCCACCTCTAACAACAGGCACAACCCAACCGGGAGCGAGAAGAAGGACCCATCCTTTGCCCAGCTCTCCGATGTGCCCGTGGAATCCCAAATGGAAGAGCTGACAACCAGGTGCTCCCCTGCCCCGCCTTCCTGAAAGGGTAGGGTTGTCTGAGCAGAGGTGCCTCCATGGGCAGAGGGACTGTGTCCCTCCCCTTGCACTTTTGACTCATTTGCCCAGAAGGCTTGTCCTGTTTGGTCCTGGGTTCTAGGCCTGCAATTCAGGGACTGGCCTTCAGAGGACAGAGGGCCCGGCCCAAACCCCAATGACCCATAGTCCAAGAGAAATTTTATCAAGCATGGATCACTGAACCAGTTTCTCACTACGTTAAACCTTTTAAGACCCCACGCAGCCATGGGAAGGGAAAGACGGGAACCTCTACAAATTGGAACTCAATTTGTAAGGGGCCTTGAGGTAGCTTACATTGCAGGGAGCCAGGCCCATAGAGAGGAATCCATGGTACCCACAAGAGTCAGTGAGAGGAGGGGATGGGTCAGAGGGAAGCCTGAGCCTGAAGAGCAGCCATGCTGGCAACCACATTCCCAGGGCCCTCTGTCACCCACGCACACCTGTGTGCAGCTCCAGCCACACTGAGCACTGTCTCCTGTGGTCCAGGCTGGCCATCCAGGTGGAGGAGAATGAAATGCTAAAGGCTGCCCTGGGCAGTGCCCTGCGGGGAAAGGAGGAGGACTTCCGGATGTACCATGAGATCCTGGGCCAGGTGAAAAGTGTCTTCCTGCAGGCCCTGCGGCAGCAGAAGACAGGCAAGCAATAGGATGACAGCCCAGTGTCGGCCTGGCCGGGTGGGCAGCCTCAGGTCTTGAGAGGATAAGACTCTGTCTGAGGACTCCATCTGCTCCGGGAAGCCAGCCCAGGGCAGCCAGCTCAACCACTTCTACCAGAAGAGGCTCCTTAAGGATGACCAAAACCAATGTCTCAGGCCAGGAAGGCAGAAGAGAAGCCCTGGTGGGACACTGCAGGAGACCCTGGGCTGGCTGGGTTACAGCAGCAGGGAGGCCCAGCAGCCCACTGGCAGAGGCGAGAGCTCTGGGATGGCAAGGCGGCTGTGAATGGACAGATGCAGTCCCTCGGGCAGGTGTTCATCGCCCTCATCCTAGGTACTAGCCCTGGATGTCCCCATGGCTTCACACACAGAAGAGCCCTTGGTTACCCTAAGTGGGCATATCCCCCATGCCACTCAGCCCTGCCCTATCCCCTCACCCCCATCCCGGCTCCATCTGTAGCCGTCCACACCCTACACAGACTTGGGGCACTATGCTCTCAACCAGTTTGTCAGCCCACTCCTCAGGACACTTCCTCAGGTGCAGACCCTTGGACTTGTAATAATAATAAGTATTTTCATAATCACTGCAGCTCCCAGTGAGTGAGCATCTACTGTGGCAACCTGACCCCATTCAGTCCTCTAATGACCCAGGGGTTTGTTGTCTTATTTGACAGATGAAGAAACTGAGGTTCACAGAAAGAAGCTGAGCTAATATTTAACTGCAGTCTGCCTGACCCCAAAACCAGGGTCTTGCCGTTCAGAGATTACCCAGGGTAGGCGCACCCACCCACCACTGAACAACCCCACCCCTAGGCAGCAGCTCCAAGAGGCATCTTTGTTTGCTCACCAAGACTGCTGATGGATGCTGGTGGCAGAGGGCCGAGGTGGGGCTCAGCTGGAGCTTCAGGCAGAAGGGTTTTGAGGTAGTGGCTCCAGTCAAAGGTACAGTGCACCTCCCTCGCCATGGTGAACTTGGAGGGATGCTGCAGGGGCACCCTAAGATCCGCAGGCCTCTATGACTGTCAGTGTTGCCCTTTCTCAGCTGTAACTATGCACTTATAGCTACAGGAAGGAGTGGCCCCAAGGAGGGTCACTCATAGCCACACACCCCAACTCCGACACCCTGGCCACACAGGTGCACCCACAGCCCCACACAAAGATGCAGATGCACACACATACCTCAATTCAGGAGCATGCAACTGTACGTGCACACAGGCACCTCCATGTGTGCACACTCATGGACACACAGGTGCAGATGAGCACACACATGTGGATGTGGACACACATTCCCACACGTGAAGACATAGCCACTTGTGTGTTGCTTGTGCAGTGATGCACAAATGCAGGTGCACATACTGTGAAAACACCCCCTTCCCCAGGAAAAGCCACTGGGGCTCCTGCGAGCATCTTGTCAGCTCCTTCCTTGGAAAAGCCACTGCGGCTCCTGGGACCCTGTCTTCTCAGCCCCTTCCTTGGGGATGGGGCTATGGAGGGACCCTAGCTGGCCCCCACTCCTCAGGGAGCCCCTGACCCTGCATGGGGTCACACGGATCTAGAGATCCCACAGCAAGTTAGAGCAAAGGCCACCGGGATGAACTGATGATTCTGGTGGGGTCCTAAGGGTCTCTGGGAAGGAAGAGTTTTTCTCTGGTTCCTTGTGAAGGAAAACGGCCAGGCAGAGAGCCAGGAGAGAGAGGGTCTGTGCTTGGAGGGGACAGTGTGTGACAGCGAGGGGTGGGCTGGATGTAGAGTCTGAACACAGAGGAGTCAGCACCTTCTCCTGCAGGCCCTGAGGAGCTCCAGAGGGTGATCTGAGTATGAGGGGTACAGGCTCTGGCCTCAGTGCAGTCCCAGGGAGTGAGAAGCAGGCATAGGATCAGCCATCCTTCCTCAAGATCACCTCAGGGAAGTGCAGAGATGGTGTGACCCACACTCCAGCCACTTCAGGGTGGTTCTGCTGCCCTTCCTGGGCTATGCCTGAGAAAGGAAGGAGCATTAGGTCATGGAGTCTGGACAGGTGGGGCTGCCTGGGGCATACTTCTCTCCCCACTTACCAGCTGTGTGGCCTTGGGCAAGTTATTTAACCTCTCTGATCCTCCACATTCTCATCTATAAAATGCAGACAATAATAGAATCCTCCCTCAGGGGGCTGTTATTAATATGTATGTCAAAGAATAACCCAAAGACGTTTCACTAATTATTAGCTCTCTGTTTATTTCTGTACAAGGAACATGTATCTATAGACTGATTTCAACAAGAGTTATATAAGAGAGAGGGGAAAGAAAAACTGCAGACAGGCAGGCACAGGAAATCTTGTTTGCACATTTTTGGGTAAACTGATTTGCTGGTGTCTTGCTTTGGCCAACTCTGTATATAAAGATGAGTGTTTCAGCTTTCAGATTCCACGGGCAACCTTGACAGCATTGCTGTGGTGCCATGTGCGGGAGTGCCTGTCATGTCTGCTGGCACCTACCACCGGGCACCTCCCCACCCCTAGCTTGGTTAGATCAGGTCTGCTCCATTCCCTCATTGGAACCCTCTGCAGGGTTCACTGAGATAAAGTGTCCATTGCTTACAGCAGCTGCTCGCACACAGTAAGCGCTTAATAATTATTCGCTCTTAGTGTTCCCTCCATTTGTTCAACCAGAACTTGTTGAGCAGTTCCTCTGCCCCAGGCACAGAGGTGCCGAGGTGAGGCAAACACAGTCCCTGGCCTCCAGGAACTCTCAGATCAGCTGAGGAGAGAGACAGACTGGTCACAGGTCACCATTCCATCCAGCCAGTCGGCCACCAGGCAGTCAGTGAGTGCCAACAGCATGCCAGCCTCTCCAGGCCTGGGAGGGACCTAGAGGTGAATCTGACTTGCTTCCTCCTTTCAGGGAGTTTCCAGTCCAATCAGAGGTGTGGGAAACGCCATGATGGAGCTGGGTGGGGAAGGATGCAGGACCGGGCTGCAGCACCACAGGGCTTCCCCCACCATCCCCACCCCATCCCTGTGGCAGTTCCCAAGTTCCCAACCTCCTTGATCAGATCTGGGTAGAGAGGGGGCTTCACATCTCCCTGAGGCAAAGGAGCAAGGAGGAGTAAAGGGAAGGTGGGGAGAGCCTGGGAGAAGGATTTTCAAGGGAAGGAGGTCATCAAAGGGGTCAAAGATAGGGACCCTGAGAAACCTAACTTAGGTGGGCCAGGTGCACAGCCAGGCAGCTGGTCTGTCCAGGTTAGTACCAGTGCCTCTCCTGGGTAGCACCATCTGTCCTGGGCACCCTGAGGATGACCTCCCTGTCCCTCAGGCAGGTGGGCAACAGGTGTGCTGGATAAGACACCAAGGGCCCTGGCCAGATCCACGAGGAGGTAGTTGGAGGGGAGGGTGCAGGTGCCCTGGCGGGTTGAGGGGCAGGGGCAAGTAAAGAGTTAAGTGGTGAAGTTGCCTCAAGTGAGGGCTCTCCCTGCCACACCCCAGGCAGGTGCTGCAGGTCTTGGTGCTCAGGTTCCAGCACTGACAGGTGAGACCTGGCTGAGCTGTGGACGTAGTTTGGCCACTGTCCCCACAGGGGCCTCTGGGGCACCACAGCTGAGCTGGGCAAGGTTGCAGCCTGGCTCAGGCTTAAACACACTACATTGTCACTGGGCCCCTCCCCTGCTCCCAGGAGCCCAGGGCAGGGTGACCTCCAGTGGGTGTGCTCCTCTGCACCCCCACACCCAGGGGCCAGAACAAGCTTCTCCTCCCCACCCCCAGCCAGCCCACAGCCAGCCCTGAGCACAAAGAAGTCGGCCTGCCCACCTTCTCCCCACAGGTGTGCCTTTACGTACACTGACTCTCCTATATCTGTGAGCCTTGCACACACACAACACACATATACACACGTATGTACGATACATGTGCACACACAATACACAGGATACACATACACAGCAAACACATGCCATGAACAACCTACAACACAAAACGTACACACAGACCCACACACAACTGATACAAAACACAGTTGCACACGTACATGCAAACACACAGGATACTTTCCTCGCATTTTTACTTTGAGCAACAACCAAACAAAAAAAGTCTGAAAATTGAAAAGGGACTCAGATTTGAGAGAATTGTCCCCACTCCCCACCATATCTTTCCTAGTGGCCCTTGTGGCATTTGGGAAGCTGGCCCCAGGGCCAAGTGCTGGTCTTAGCTCAGTCAGCTTCCTGTCCCTCACGTGGGCTGGCCTTGCCAGGTGCCCTCCCCTGCCACCCCCCTCAGACACAGTGGAGCTGGCCTCAGGCTGTCCAACCACAGATCCATGGGACTTCCCTAGCCCTCCACCCCTCTTGCCATTTCCGCACACCACACTCCCTGCAGACCCTGCTGTGTGTGGGTCACCCAGGGAAGGCCTCACTTCTGAGTGTGAATCCAGCCTTTCTGGGCCTCTGGGGGTCAGGGTGTCTGTGGCTCTCTAATAGCCTCTGTTTATGAGCAAGGCTCTTGTCATGGAGTGAATCACCGGATGCCCCCTGCCACCCCAGTGAGGGCCAGGGCCAGCGGTATGCCCATTTTACAACTGAGGATCTGAGGCCCTAAGAAGTGGGTCACACCAGCTCAGGGTCAAGTAAATTGGCTGAACCTGTGTTCTTAACTCTGGGGTCAAACCACCCTGTCTGCTCCCTTGAGCCATTTTCTTGGAGCCTCGTGAGGGCCCCAGTGTGGGTGCACGGGGTTGTCGCCCCTGCAGGGCAGTCAGTGCCAGGAGCTTACAGGGCTGATCCAACTACTTGGCTTCCTCATGTGCCAGGTCCTTCTTCTCCCAACTGCGTACAGTGGCAACATCTTCCCTATGGGCTGTGGTGACATTAAAAAGTTAATCCATGTACATCCTGGCTACTATGATTAACTTACTCCTAACAACCTTTGACTACCCCTCCCTGAGGAAGCCCTCCTTAACCCTGAAGTCTGGCTCAGGTATCCTTCCCTTCCTGATGCTGGCCTCTCTAGTGCCCATTACCCACCACAGCTCTAACCCAGCACCCACACTGTGCAGTAGTCACCATTCATGCTTCTCAGGGTCGGGGACCACAGACACGGGCCTCTGTGTCCTGTGTGGAGTGTGTAGGTTGGGCGTCTCCTTGCTGTTCTCCAGGCCAGCGTGTCTATGTGCTCGGGAGGCAGCTCCCTGCCTAAGTGCAGTCTCTCCCCTTCCTGGGCCCTGATGGGTGGGGAGCAGCACCTCCCTCCTGCCTCCTCAACTGAGCCTGAAGCTGGGGTCATAGGATCAGCAGGGGCTCCAGGAGCTGTCCTGTGACTGATCACAGCCACAAAGCTCCTTCTACCCCCGAGAGCCTCCCCACAAGCACACAGGTGAACAGGTCCCCCTAGATAGCACAGACACATACAGCTGCCCGAGACTTGGCCTCAACCGAAGGGGCACTGTCAGAGGTTCTTAATCTCAGGGGCACCTTCAGGATGCCCCTCCCCTCAGGTATCCAGGGCTGAGGCCTTGGATGCTCCCTTCCAGAATGAGGGCCCTGTCCTACCAGGACTCCCAGTTGGTTAGGAACACACCTGTCTTCCTGTCTGCCTCCACTCTGCCACCGAGAGGATACCAGCCATTCCAAGTACCCACAAGCCTTGCCAAGTGACCCTGCTAGCACCCCTCCATCCAGGACACTCCCTATGGGACAGGGCTGACTTATGGGGATCCCTCTCAGCCACATGTCCCATGCCAGTTCCAGTCCCATCAGGCAAGTCAGCCCTCCCTCAGGCACTGATGCATGGCCAGCCAGGACTCACGGCATAATGAAAAGGACCAGGTCATGGGGCGAGACAAGTCTGCCCTGGGATAGCCCTTAGGAGGTCATATGTAAAGGTAGGAGCTGGAGTCCCTGGAGCCCAAGCATGAAAGTGTTTGCATGTTGTGACTGTGTGTGTCTGTGGTGGGGGCAGGGCTTACAAGCCTGGAGAGGCTGGTGGGACCACCAGGAGTCTTCCTGGAAGAGGGAAGTCCTGGGTAGCAGTGAGAGAGAGGCACAGGCTCTCTAGGAGCCAGGGGAGGCAGGCTGAAGAGAGGCCCAGGTGTCCCTGTCTGAGCCTATGCTACTGGACACCCTCCCCCCACCCAGCACCCGCCCCCCTTCAAGGATCCTCCCTGCGGCTCCCTGTGGCCAGCAGCTCTGCAGCACTCGGCTCTGCTCCACTCTGCTCAGCTCCGCTCCAGGAAGGCCACCTCCTCCTCCCCCTCCTCCTCCCGCTGTCACCACTCACCGCTCATAACCTCAAGGGGGTGGGGACCCCAGGGCTGGACACACCCCACCGTGGCCCCAGAGCTCAGCCGGTCGCACGGACGGACAGTTGGAAGCCGGACCCCAGAGCCTGAGGTGGGCAGTGTGCCAGGGTCCCTTGCGGCCTCCTCAAGGTCAGTGCCAGCTGGGGATGCAGCTACTCTGGGGCTCTTGAGACTTGTGGGGCACACCCCAGGCCCTCATCCCAAATCACAGGCCCCAAAAGGGGCTTTACCCCCGGGGCATCTGGGGCAGGCAGGACCAGGGGAAAGGGTATGCCCCCGTGTCCACAGGCCAGCCCTGGTCTGGGGGTCTATCAGGAGAGGCCCCAGGCTGGGGGCCAGCTCCTTGCAGAGGCCTCACTGGGGACACCCCGCACCGGCCATGGGGAGCTAAAATTGGAAAGTGGCGAGTGGGAGGCAGCTGACAAAGCTATTTCACGGGCTCTTCACCATGCTCCGGTTTCAAGCTCCTGCTCCATTAACCTGATCCCCAGGGCCTCTCCACCCCCACCCAACTGATGAGGAGGTGCCTCCACCCTCAGGCCGACAGCACAGCCATCAGGCTGGCAGCCTCTGCTGTGGGCAGGGGCAGTGGTGGTCTTCTCTTACCCCAGATTCCAGAGGGGGGTCACTGAGAAACCCAATCCTGAAGGGAGGCAGGCAGAAGTCTGTCCCAGGTCTGCCATGTGACCTTGACAGGTCCCTGCCCCTATCTGGCCCATGACCCCTCCATCTGTACGAGGAGACCGTCGGCTGCTGGGGGGCCCAGGGGAGATGGCTACAGGGCTGGGGATGAAGATTTAGGGGAGGATCAAGGGTGGGCAAAAGGGCCACATCAGCCACCTCTTGGCCCCGTCAGCCCAAGAGTTGCCTGGACATGTTCCCTGCTTCCTCCCTTTAATTTGGGTCCTATGTCTGTATCCATGGAGTCCTTGGGAAGCCCCTGAGCCAGGCTGAAGCGGGATAGGAAGGGTAAAGGTGCTAGCTGAGCCGTAGTACGGCCCAGCAGTTCTCCAGGGGACAAGCTAGGCCCCCGCTGGAGGGAGTGGTGAGACTCAGCCGGGGCCTGATTCTGGTCAGCACCTTGGACAGCAGCCAGTGCCCTCCCTGGCCCCGCCTGGCCCCGCCTGGCCCCACATCCGCTACTCCTGGGCACCTCCTCAAATAGCACAGCCTCCAGCTGGTGCCCAGGGCCTGAATACACAGAGCGCTGAGAGAGTGGGGCAGTGTGGTCACGGACACAGGCAGGGACTGGGATGTGACAGGCTGGAGCTCAGGGACTTGTTGGGGGAATGGGGGTCAGTGACAGGCTGGAGGCTTAATGCGAGGATGGAGGCTTGGCTCTAGGGGCAGCACCTGGGGTGGTCATGGGATCTCAGGGAGGGGAGTGGGAGTCAGAGAAAGGGTCTTAGAGAAGCTGGGGCTTTGTGAGGAGCTAAGGGAGACTCACTGATCGAGGTGGGGACCCTGCAGGCAGAAACCTGACTGTAGTGATAGAGGTGGGGTTTCTCCGCACGCAGGTCATGGGGGCCTTGGCAGGAGCGGTTTTGGCAGAGGGTGGGGCCGGTGCCTCTGGAAGGTATGAAGATGTAAATGAAGGTGAGGGAGGCAGGCTGCGAGTGAGGGCTCTGCGGGCAAGAGCCTTGATGGGTGGGGTGGGGGCAAGAGCAGCAGCTGGGATGGGGCACTGGTGTTCGGTGGCCTGTGAACTGTGGGGGGCACAGGGGCAGGCAGAGTGATGGTACAAGGTCCCCAAGGGGCTGGAGGGGCAATCTCTCTTCAGAGTGGGTCCCCACTGGGGTGGTGGGACCATGAGGTGGGGCTAGGCTTGGCTGGAGACTGTAATTCCCTCACCCAACCTGTCTCCCCAGCCCTGTCCAGGCTATGGGCATCAAGACAGCATTGCCGGCGGCTGAGCTGGGCCTCTACTCTCTGGTGCTGAGTGGGGCCCTGGCCTATGCTGGCCGGGGCCTCCTTGAGGCTTCACAAGGTAATGGCTGTGCCCCGGGGCAGGTGGACAGGACCCTTCTTCCCCTGGAGGCCTCAGGGTTCCAACCAGCAAAGCCAGAAAGTTACAGGCTCCAGACCTAGGGTACTCCTTCTAGAACACGGCTGGATCTCCCTTTTCAGCCCGGGGTTCCCATCTCAGATAGTCACTGGAGGCTGGGTGGAGCCAGGTTCAGTCACAGGAACACAGAGATGCAGAGACACTGACAGAGAGATGGACACAGAGTCACACACATAGACACACACACACACACACACAGAGGCCTGGACCCAGACACACACACACAGAGACCTAGACCCAGACATACACACACACACATCCCGACACACACACACACACACAGAGACCTAGACCCAGACACACACACAAACACACAGACATATACACACACCCCCCAACACACACACACACACATACACACACAGAGACCTGGACCCAGACACACACACACAGAGAGAGACCTGGATGCAGACACACACACAAACACACAGACATATACACACACACCCCAACACACACACACACACACACACACACAGAGTCCTGGACCCAGACACACACACACAGAGACCTAGACCCAGACATACACACACACACATCCCGACACACACACACACACACAGAGACCTGGACCCCGACACACACACAAACACACAGACATATACACACACACCCCAACACACACACACACACACAGAGTCCTGGACCCAGACACACAGCGAGACCCAGAAAGAAGCAGATGCAGCACCAAAGAGACTCAGACCCGTGCCCCGTTCCTGATGCCCTCGCTCCCCAGGGTGGGGCAGCCTTGTCCACGGGGGAAGGTGGGGCAGGGGATGTGAAGGCCCCTCTCCCTGAGGCCACACTCTGTTCTCAGATGGGGCCCACAGGAAGGCCTTCCGGGAGTCTGTGCGACCTGGCTGGGAGTACATTGGCCGGAAGATGGTAGGTCCCCCACATCCCAGGGTCCCTCCCATCCCGAACCCTTCTCTGCTCTCTGCTGTTCCAGATGTTGGCAAGTAACAGAGAGCTTCTCACAGCTCTGGGGCCTCTGGCTTGAGCTTCAGTGCCTTCAGCTTCTTTACTGGCCCCTCCTGTATCCTCCTGGGACATCAAGTTTGCCCGGGCCCTGCTCACTTGGGAAATAGGTCGCATTAGTGGAGTGTGCTTCAGTGGAGCCTCCAGCACCTCCTTCCCAGAAACAAAGCAGTAAAGGGGGAATGGCAGGCAACGTGCGGAGGAGAGGGGGAGCTTCAAGCGACCCGGCAGCCCCCATGGTGCCCTTCACTCCTCTCTACCCTCCTGCCTCGGTACTTCCTTCACAGAGGAGTGTGGAGACCTGCAGGCACTGCTCTTGTGTTTGCATAAAGAGGACACGTTGGGTTTGGCTAGTGGTAAAAAATAATTATTATTATTAAATTTAAAAATGATAATAATAAAAGAAGAACATGAAGGCTGGGAAAGGTGCTGGGGCTCTGACCAGCCCAGGTTCCAGCTCGTCCTGTCCCCTCTCCCACCCTCACCTGCCCCACCTCCTTCTGCCCCGGACTGCCCCAGGATGTGGCTGACTTCGAGTGGGTGATGTGGTTCACCTCCTTTCGCAACGTCATCATCTTTGCCCTCTCCGGACATGTGCTGTTTGCTAAACTCTGCACGATGGTTGCCCCAAAGGTGAGCTGGACCTGGGCCACCCAGCCTCTCCCTGCCAGCTCCTCTTTCACCACAAGGGTTGTGGGAACCCCCTCCTGGGGTCACGCCCCCATTTATATGGCGAAACTGAAGCCTTCTCCCTGCCCACAGCTCCGCTCCTGGATGTATGCTGTGTACGGGGCCTTGGCTGTGATGGGCACAATGGGCCCTTGGTACCTGCTGCTGCTGCTTGGTCACTGTGTGGGCCTCTATGTGGCCTCGCTTTTGGGCCAGCCCTGGCTCTGTCTTGGCCTTGGCTTGGCCAGCCTGGCCTCCTTCAAGATGGACCCCCTAATCTCTTGGCAGGTGTGAACTGGTGCAGGGGTAGAGGGTGTAGGGATAAGATCCCAAACCTCTCACTTCATCCAAAGTCCTTGCACCCCAAGTATCCCCAAGTATTCCCTTCACTTTCCACCTGTCTTCAAGCCTTTGGGTATGTCCTGGCCACAAGGTGAGCACCTGCATCACAGGAGGAACTATCCAGATCATCCCCTGCTCCTCGCATTGCTGGGATAGAGCAGTGGCCAAAGTTAACTGGCTCTGGAAGAGAGGAAGGGACAGGACCAGGCTGGGCCCCTGTGGGAAGCTAGGGAGTGGGGAATAGGTTTTCCAGAGACAGGAGGCACCCTAGTGAGCTGGTGGCCTGTTCTTTCCCCCTCCAGAGCGGGTTTGTAACAGGCACTTTTGATCTTCAAGAGGTGCTGTTTCATGGGGGCAGCAGCTTCACAGTGCTGCGTTGCACCAGCTTTGCACTGGAGAGCTGTGCCCACCCTGACCGCCACTACTCCTTAGCTGACCTGCTCAAGTACAACTTCTACCTGCCCTTCTTCTTCTTCGGGCCCATCATGACCTTTGATCGCTTCCATGCTCAGGTGAGGGGACACCCTGTGGGCTTCTAGAACAGGGCTGAATCTCCCTTTTCAGATTGGGGTTTCCATCTCAGATAGAATTCCCCAAGCAGGCTGTATCCCCATCCTCAGGCATGATTCCAGGATGAAGCCGTGTCTCCCCTCCCTCCTCAGACCCCAGGATGGGGCCACCTTTCCCCTCCAGCAGGGACCCCAGGGTGGAGACATGTCTCTTTTCTCAGACAGGACTCCCAGGCCACGAATGTTCCCTTCCCACTCAAATGGGGCTCCCAGGACAGAACTGGGTCTCCCATGGCTGGCTGTGAATCCTCCTCAGACTCCAGGGTGACCTCTGTCTCCACCCTCAGGCAGGACTCCTGGATAAAGCCATGGCTCCTCCTGCCCCAAGTAGTTGGTGAGCCCCCCTCAGACAGGGCTCCCCAGGCAGGGCTTGCCTCTTCCCTCAGACCCTTCGCATCCCCCCAGGTGAGCCAGGTGGAGCCAGTGAGACGCGAGGGTGAGCTGTGGCACATCCGAGCCCAGGCAGGCCTAAGCGTGGTGGCCATCATGGCCGTCGACATCTTCTTTCACTTCTTCTACATCCTCACTATCCCCAGCGACCTCAAGTTCGCCAACCGCCTCCCAGACAGTGCCCTCGGTGGGTCCACAGAAGAGAAATGGGGGCAGGGCTGCCGCCCCAGGAAAACAGACCCTCTGCACCCCCACGGTGCCACAGTCAGGGGAGCTGAGGCAC
This sequence comes from Homo sapiens, assembly GCF_000001405.40. Taxonomy (NCBI): domain Eukaryota; kingdom Metazoa; phylum Chordata; class Mammalia; order Primates; family Hominidae; genus Homo; species Homo sapiens. The sequence continues at coordinate 42,697,411 of NC_000003.12, read as the reverse complement.
GCAGGGCACAGCACCTGAGGGCGTGGGAGCAGGGGCTTATTCTTTCTAATGCATGGGTCTTGGCATTAGCTTCATCCTGTGGGGCCAGAGCAGCATCCCACGGACCCCACCCACTTCACCAGGCATGACTGATTTCCACAATATGGGGGGGTCTCCGTGGGGCGGGCAGAGCCTGGTGTCTCCCCAAGGAAGTGGTGGGACAGGGTCTTCATGGGGGCAGGCCCCAGGCGATTGGACCCCAGGCAGTGACAGTGCCCTGCCCCCAGCTGGCCTAGCCTATTCAAACCTGGTGTATGACTGGGTGAAGGCGGCCGTCCTCTTTGGTGTTGTCAACACTGTGGCATGCCTCGACCACCTGGACCCACCCCAGCCTCCCAAGTGCATCACCGCACTCTACGTCTTTGCGGAAACGTGAGTGCTGGCCAGGACGGGGGAGGCTCACCCCCTGGGACCACACCTTCCCCTAGCCTCTTCCCCCATGCCTGGGGAGCTCTGCGCCTGATGGCAACATGCCCATCTGCTTTCCTCTTACAGGCACTTTGACCGTGGCATCAACGACTGGCTTTGCAAGTGAGTAGGAGTGGGGTGGGGGTGGTCACAGCCATCCTGCCAGGTGTCTGAGCAGGGCAGTGCCAAGATGGGTCCACATTTTAAAAGATCACCCCTGGGCCAGGGGAAGCAAAGAGGGCAGTGAGGAGGTATTGGCAGAGGTCTGGGTGAAAGATATAGAAGTTAGGATTTAAGTGAGGGCCCTCGAGGTGGAGAGAGGTGGTGGGAGGAGGGTCACACAGTCAGCAGCCTGAACAGGACGTGGCCATGAACTGTGGGTGTTGGGAAGGAGAAGGAGATGACGCTCAAATTGCTGTCTGCAGCCTGGGAGGATGGAGGGCAGTTTCCAGAGAGGGCTTCAGTTTAAGAAATGTATAGTCGCAATCTAGGAGACATCCCTGTGGAGGTTCAGGGAGGTGGTTGGGTCTGAGGGTCTGGGTTTCTGAGGGTCCAGAGGACTGATGGAACTCAGAGCGTCCTGAGTGTGGGCAGGTGGTTTTTAGGCTTTGGGAGTGGGTAAGTCCTCAGGAGAGGGAGTGGTGTGAGAAGAGGAGAGACGGGGATGGCCGAGATTCAGCCTGCAAGAGCTCTGCTTGGAAGGAAAAGGAGCCAGCAGAAAGGACTGGAAAGAGTAGTTGGAGGGGCAGGAGAAGAATCAAGGTCATGTGCCACCCTGGAAGCCAAGGGAAGACCATCCAGGCATGGTGGGGACAGCTTGGTCAGATGCCACTGAGCCTCAAGGAAGCTGGAGACCGAGGATTAGTGCTGGTGACATGGAGGTTTTCAGCCTTTCATGGGCAAGGCAGGAGCAGGTAAGGAGGGAAAGTCAACTGAGGAGTAGAGAAGTGTGTGATGACTCCTGGAAGAAGCCTGGGACTGCAGGGGGAAGACAGGAGTGGCTGAGGGAGAAGAGGGATGTGTTAAAGATAGGAGAGAATGGGACATGCTAAGAAGAATTATTCAACAGAGAAGCTGGGGATGCAGGATACAGGGGTGATTGATGGAGTGAGGTCCCTGAAGAGGAAGGAGGTGAGGGTGTCTAGTTCCAGGCGGAGGCCTGGCTTCAGTGGGAGGAGGAGGAAGAGAAGCCAGTGTGGATGCAGAGGAAAGCAGGTTAATGTAGACAAGTAAGGGATTCCACCTGAAGGCTTCAGCCTTGTCCATGAAGCAGGAGGCACGGCCATCAGCTGAGAAAGCCAGGACAGGGACGTGGAGAGAGGCAACATATATGCTTACCCCCACAACCCAGCCTGGATCCCCCCACTCATACTATCTCTCCACTCATACTTGTGGGGAGATAAGAATACAGTGGCCCTTGCAGAGCAAGGGAGAAGCAGCTGACTAGAGAAATCTTGGCACTGAGTACCCAGGTGGTATTGGAGGTGGTGGGCTTATGAACTCCAGCATGTGAAGATGTGAGATTTCCCCCATGGGGCTTAGCTGCCTGGGTGTAGCTGAGGAGAAAGTAAGTGATTGGGCTCTCCCAGATGGATGACAAGGAAGAAGTCAGGAATAAGGGTTTTTAGATTATTTATAGTCATGACTCATTGGATATAAGCCTGCTAAGGACGGTGGTGAAGGTGGGAGGGTCACAAGATCAATGGGATTGAAGAACTGAAGCTGGGGGGCCAGGAGGTCAAGAGGAGTTGGGCAAAGAATGGGAATTAGAAAGGAGTGAACTTTCAAGTGGTGACAAAGTTGGGGCATGGCCATGGGTGTGGGTGGCTGAGGTGGAGTGGAGAAAAAGCCATTGGAAATGAGGAGGTCGAGGAATGGAGAGGCTGGTTATTCCTGGGTCTTCCACAGAACTTATTTAACAAATATTTATTGAGCACCTATGTGCCAGGCATTGTTCTAGGCACTGGGGATACAGCAGTGAACATGGCAAAGACCCTGAACTCATGGAGCTTACAGTCTAGTGGGGAGAAACAGACCATAAACAGGTAAACAAACATAAATAAGATAATTTTAGAGAGTGGTAAGTGTTATGAAGAAAATAAAATTGCAATGGGATAGAAGTTGACAACAGGGTAGAAGCTTCTTTAGTCGGGGTCTAGGCAGGCTTCTCTGAGGAGATGATATTTGAATTGAGATTTGAGTGATAAGGAGATGTGGAGCAGAGAATACCAGGTAGAGGGAACAACAAGGGCAAAGGCCTTGAGACACAAACCAACTGTGTGGGTGTAAAGGTAAGAAAGGCCAGTGAGGCCAGCATGATGAACTGGGGGAGCATGGTGGCTGATTTGGTCAGGAAGGGAACAGAAACCAGACCACTTGGGATCTTCTAGCCAGAGTAAAGAGACTGAGTTTATTCCTATTGTAATGGGGAGCTATTCAGAGAGGTTAATCATGGAAGTGATGTGACCTGAGCTACACTCTTAAAAGATGCCTCTGGCTGCTGTGTGGAGAATGAACCATGGGGGCAAAAGCAGAAACAAGAAGACCACTTAAGAGGCTCTTGCAATAATTTATGTGAGAAGAGTGATCATCTTGACTAGGGTGGTGGTGGTAGAGGAGGTGAGTGGTGGTCAGGACTGAGAGGAGCCAACAGAATTTGCTGGCTTGCTTGGATGTGGGTGATGAGGCAAACTGAGAATCCAAGATGGCACCAAGGCTTATACCCTGAGCAACTGAATGGATGGTGGTGCCATTCACTGAGATGAGGACGGAGCTGGGTTTGAGCAGGGATAGGGGAATCTGTCAATCAAGTGACATGGCTAGTAGCAATTGCATATACAAATCAGGAGAGACTGGGCTAAAGACACAGATTTAGGGGTCATCGTCATAGAGCTAGTACTTGAAATCTTGGGTCTGGATGAGATCATTTGGGAAGTAAACGAACAGAGATAGAGAAGCTATAATGTCCCAGGCTGAGCCTGCCACAATTTGAAGTTGGTTGGAGGAGGAGCTGCTACGTGAGGTCAGGAATGTTGAATGCACCCAGGGTGACAGTGTTGAGGAGGACGCCCTGTTGTGTGTCCTCTCCCATCTCATCCCTGCCCTTTCCCACACTCCCAGTGGCCCTTCTCCCATCTTTCCTGCAGATATGTGTATAACCACATTGGTGGGGAGCATTCCGCTGTGATCCCAGAGCTGGCAGCCACAGTGGCCACATTTGCCATCACCACACTGTGGCTTGGGCCTTGTGACATTGTCTACCTGTGGTCATTCCTTAACTGCTTTGGCCTCAACTTTGAGCTCTGGATGCAAAAACTGGCAGAGTGGGGGCCCCTAGCACGAATTGAGGTGAGCAGGGAAGACCTGGGGCTGGGACTGGCTGGGTCATAGAGGGCGGGGGGGCACTGCTGCTTTCTGGAGTTGTCCAAACACCTGGCCCCTAATCCAGAACTTTCTCACCACCACCCTCTTAGTTGTCAGAGCAATGGCTCACTCTGTAGGAATCTGCCCCTCCCTCCCTTCTATGAGGAATGGAGCACCTGGGCCTTGCCATGTTGGTCAGGCCTTGTCCTCTCTCTGGACCTGTTTCCCCATGTTTAACAAGGAGGGAGAGCTGACCTGGGGCTCTCCGAGACCCAGACATAGCCCCAAGACCTGACTGGCCAGGTGGGTAAGGCTGCTGACCCACCATGTCCTCTTTCCTTTGGCCTCTTGTCCCGCTGCCCATGCTTTCCTGGACCGGATAGGCCTCTCTGTCAGTGCAGATGTCCCGTAGGGTCCGGGCCCTGTTTGGAGCCATGAACTTCTGGGCCATCATCATGTACAACCTTGTGAGCCTGAACAGCCTCAAATTCACAGAGCTGGTTGCCCGGCGCCTGCTACTCACAGGTGAGGGACAGGGGTGTGGGGATACAGAAGGTGCCAGGCATCAGCCTCAAGGACCGTGACCTTCCAAAATGCCTCCTATCTCCCTCATCACCCCTGGGACTCAGAAGGGAGGGCCCATCAAGCGGGGAGAGGGGTGGGAAGACAAAAGTCGCTGAGGATGCAGTGCTGCTCCTGAGCATCTATGACTCCCTCCCCACACAGGGTTCCCCCAGACCACGCTGTCCATCCTGTTTGTCACCTACTGTGGCGTCCAGCTGGTAAAGGAGCGTGAGCGAACCTTGGCACTGGAGGAGGAGCAGAAGCAGGACAAAGAGAAGCCGGAGTAGGAGGGAGCGGGTAGAGGGATGGGCTCTGCTCAGCTATTCTTGGGCCAGATGGGGCCTGACCGATAGAATAAAAGACTTTTCTACAACAGCTTGGCTGTTCCCTGACCCTTCTTCCCACAGTCCCCTGGCTCCACGTCCATAGTGGCTGAGGAGCTGGAGGCTCTAGGCCTCAGGCAGGGGAGGGTTCCCACCCATAGGGTGGAGGGGACACCAGATGGAGAGCAGAGACCATCGACCTTGGCAGCCCAACAGCAGAACACTGAAGCCCCAAGTCTTCAACACACCTGCTCACTGACTCTTGGAGCACTGATGCAGACCCTGAGCTGCTTGCTCAGAAGGCACTTTATTCTTCCTAAAGAAGGAGACATATCTGCACTGTACACTGCACTTGATGGGGATGCTCCCATCGGACAGACGAGAAGGCTGAGTCCTGTGGGGAACTTTGCCAGCACACTCAGCTAGGCTGGGGCAGGGCCAGCACACGGCCTGGGATACCGCCCTGTGGTTCTGGTTCATGGATCAAGACAACCTAGGGGGATATGGCAACACTGGAGAAGCCTCTAGTTTCTCACCCTTGCCCAAAAGTCCAGGACTAAGCAGCACTTCCCTTTCCTTGGCTGACGCAGCCCCTGAGGCACCATAACTGGATCCAGGTAGACTCTGGCCTCTCCTAGCCTCTTTTCTGGAGCCCCCACAAGGCCAGGCCAGTGAGGGTCGCAGGATGGGAGGGGTGCTTAGTTCAGTCTGCCTGAGCTGGTCACATCTTAGTCAGGCACAGCACATTGAGCCGCACTGGTAGGAAGGTGGCACCTGCTGCATAGGCGATCTCCCGCAGGACACCCTCCCATTTCTTCTCCTCCTCGTTATACCTGGGGATGAGAGAGAGTGGGGACAAGGATGGAGAGCTTGGTCAGCTGAGTCCAGAGTGGAACGCAGCAGAGAGGGGTGGCTGAGGGCACTTGGCCCATCTCTAGGGAGATCTGCTCCTGAAAATCCCCAGGCTCTGGGAAAGGAGACCCCCCACAAGACCCACCCCAAGGAACACCCACCCCACACTCCAGGAAGGGTCTTTCTCCCCAGGAAAGATCACCTCTCAAGGGGTGTTCCCATATTCCTCAAAGTTCCCCTCCAGGAAGGTCTACACTGCCCACACCACCCCATCAATGTCCTCTCCTTGAGAATTTCCATGCTCCATTTCTACTAAGTCTCACGTCTCAGCCTCCGGCAGCACTGCTCCCCAGGGGCTGCCTGCAGCAGTGCAGATGGCTGCAGGTTCAGGAAGGAGATGCCCCAGAGGCTAAAGTTTCCTTCTCCCACCCCCACAAAGGACCAGCCATAGAGAGCAATGGTTCTGAAAGGCCAGGGCTCCAACTGTTTCCCAGCCCTAGTGGCAGCCCTCCCTCCAGACCAAGCACCCGGAAGGCAGGAGAGAAGAAAATCCGGCTGCTATTTGGGCCCTGTTTCTGTGAGTCTATGACCTAAGCTTGGGTCTGCTCCCATCTGCAACACTGTTGCTGCTCCACAGTGGGGCATGGTGTCATCTGTGCAAGCCCAGACTTTCCCAACAAACTGGTGAGAAACGGCCAAGCAGGGTATGTTGGCTATTCCTCCCTACAGGACTCCCTAGAAGAGGGATCCGCTTTGCCCCCAGAGGAGCTTGCCCAGTGCCTTGGTACCCCACCATGGTGCTATGGGGTGTCAGCCTTGCTCATGATGCCCCCTTGCCTCCCCAGGGTGGGACTCACCTCCAGATGTCATTGAGCTCTGTGGGAACCAGCTCTCCAGACTCCGTCTCCAGTGTGGCAAAGCCACCAATGGCATAGAGGGTACCCACCAGGCTGACCAGGCTGAGTGAGCTACGCTCCTGTGGGAAGGCCTCGAAGGGTGCCCACCTGGGGGTGTGTGAGAAGGTGCATCATTGGGATGCCTCGGCAAGCCCAGTGACTGTCCCTGCCACCCAGCACCCACAGCTCCAACTGCAACCCTTTGCAATCCAAGTCCCAGGCACCCATGCCCCCAACCCCATTCCCCTTCCCTGTCCCTCTGGTCTTCCCTTCCTTCCCCATTCTCTTGCTCCTCCACTTTCCTTTCCTTGTCCTCTTGCCATTCTATCCAACCTGTCCAGCAAAGTCCACCATGGATCTCCCCACTGCCCCTACTCCTCTCCTGAACTAACTCCACCCTCCAACTCACAACCCCAGCCCCTAGCAGGCCCCCAGCCTTGCCCTGGACGCAGTCCTTTTGCCCCTCAGCGGCCCCTGCAGCCCCACCCACCTTGCACACCTGCTCTATCCTTCTTCTCCCTTCACAGCCCAGTTGTTCTCAATGTATCTTCGCTACCCTGGCTCCTGCCTTGGGCCTTAGTCCCATCCTCCAAAACTGACCTTCCTGAGGTCCACAGTCACTGCACACGCACTGAGGTCCTACAGCACACAGCCCTGCTGACGTGACTTTCCTCACCCATCTCTTCGGCCTCACCTTCGTGGCCTCCTTCCTGGATAATGCAGCTGCCTCCACCATCAGGGCTTGGACCTCAGCTCCTCCCATTTACACTCTCTCTCCTGAGGGAGCTTGGCCCCTCCGTGTGCTACTGACCCCCAGATCTCTCCCTCCAGCTCAGCCCTCTCTCTCCCGGGTGGGGTCCTTTTGGACACCCCCAGGTACTTCAAGTCCACATGTCCTAACTGGACCCTCACTTTCCCTACCCAATCCCAATGATTATCCAGTAAATGGCCTCCCACCCTCACTCAGAAGCATGTACTTCTCCCCCTCTCACCCCCACATCCAATCAATAGCTAAGCCCTGTTTCTCCCACCTCCTAGACTCTTGCTACTCAAAGTGTGGTTCATGGCCCAGCAGCGTCAGCATCTCCTGGGGGTGCGTTAGAAATGCAGACTTACAGGCTTTCAGCCCTCCGCATACCGAGAATCAGAATCTGCACTTTAAGGCGATCCCCAGGAGATTTGCATGCCCATCACAGTGTAAGAAGCCCTGGCCTGTCTTTGTCCGGTGCATCCCCTCAACCCCATCTCCGCTGTGCCCCCAGCTCCAGGCCTTTATCACCCCTGACCTTCCTGACCCCTGGGAAATCCCTAATCTGCTCTCTATATCAGTTGCCATGAAGTACTTTAGTAGAACACAGATGAGATACAGTCCCTCTCCTGCTGGCCCCCGCTCCAGCCCCAGCACCGCCATCCCAACTCCATCACCCACCCACCTCCACCCAGCTGGAGCAACACCTTCCCTCCTATAGGCCTTGAGTTTTTTCTCCAAACTGCCTCAGCACCACCTTTCCTTAGTCTGGGGCAACCTCCTCCCACCACCCTCACCCCTTTTGCGAGCTGAGTCCAACTGTCTCTCAGTTCAGTTTTCTCTTTTCTGATGTCCCAGGCAGGGCAGCTTCTGTCTTGTTCACTGCTATATCCCTTGCACCAGGCCATTGCCTGGTATGAGTCCCTGAATGAGGAACCTGGCATCCCCTCCCCCAGCCCTGGGAGCCCCCTCCTGCAGACCAGGCTGGCCATAACCCTTGCCCCGCCTCCCCACCTCACTGCTGATCAGGAGAGAAAGCCTATTTCTATACTGATGTCCAAAGTCAACACTGGAGACCCAAGACAGGGACTGCAGCTCCTGCTGGGGCTGACAGAAGCCCAAAGCCATGCAGTTGTCCTTGGCGGAAGGGACAAGCTTTCATACTTGTTGTCTGTGATGCTGTACACTTCGGCAGAACTGGTCAGCCCTGTGTCGGTGACCCCAGCTGCCACGATAATGCGGCCATCATGGACAGTGGCCCCAAAGAGTGAGCGGGCGGTCTGCATGGGTGCCAGCTCCTTCCACTCAAACTTCTTGGGGTCATAGACGCACATCTTGTTCAGGCACTTCCTGTGGGGTGGAGGGTGGGGATGGGTGGAGAGAAGCAGGAGCCCAGCCACGCCTCCCTGCAATCACCTGCCGGGGCAGCCAGGACAAACCCCTGACAGCCTCTGGGAGATTCTACCTCTGCTCCACAGACTCACTCCAGGCCCAGCCTCACCTGTCACTGCCTTTGCCGCCAATTACGTAGACAAGGTCCATGTGGGAGAGCACTGTGTGGCCATACACCACGTAAGGCAGCGGGTCCGATTCACCCCATTTGAATGACCTGGAGGAGACGGGAGTGGGGGTGGGGGAGGGCACCCATCCAGGCTCGGCTCAGTCCCTGTCTCTGCACCCATCCGCCCATCCACCTAACACATATTCGAGATGCGTCAGATCCATTGCTGGAACTTCCGAGGCCTCTCAGTTCTTTGATCCCACCCTGCCCCCCAACCTCCCCGCCCTTACCCAAGCCCACCTTCACTCTAAGCACAAGGCTCTAGCTCCAAATCCCACCCCAGGCCCTAGACCAGCTGCGGCCTCCATGCCCCACTCACCCCCACGGAGCTCAGCCCCACCCCAGCCATGCTCACAGCCTGTCGTAGCACATGACCGAGTCCAGGCAGCGCTCGCCGTCCTTGATCTCTCTGCCACCGACCACGTAGATGGAGTTGAGAGCTTCTCCCAGGCCAAAGAGGCAGCGGGGCGAGGGCAGCGGTGGCATCCCCAGCCACTCTGAGTCCAGATGGTCAAACTGCAGGCCAGGTGTCCAGTCAGCTACCGCCCCCCACTCCCCCAGCCTCAGCCCAGCCCCACTCAGTCCCACTGCCCCAGATCACGGAGGAGGTCGGGAACCCAGGTAGGGCCAATACAGCCTGGAGGTGCCCTGAGAAACAGTGCCCCTCCTACCATCAGGCTGAGAGCAGATGAGCGTCCCCCACACCCAGGCAGGCTCCTGGCAACCACCATTATAGCAGGCGGTAGGGCACCACAGCACAGAAATGAGGGGGAGCTCTGTGAGGGAGGTCCAGCTATGGCCTTGCTTTCCCAGGCTGAACAACTCCCAACTGAGGCCTGCCTGCCCCCTCCTCTCCACCCCATCCCACTGTTCAGGAAACTTCCAAATACGGCCCTGCCTTTTCGCCCTGTAAAATCTACAGTCCACAGCCTTGTCCACCTCCACAGCTTTATAATTAAGATATTAATACTAGGGGTTCATCTTTTTGGAAAGTTTTCTGAGGGCTGAGCACCTTGCTGATGAGCACTTTATAAGCATCATTTAACCTTCCAACAACCTTATCATGCAGGAAGGAGAATATCCCCAGTTACAAACAGAGGCCCAGAGAGAATAAACAATGTGCCCACACTGCTGAGCTAGTAGCTGGTGAAGCTGCCCTCATCCCCCAGTGCAACCGTAAGGCCTGTGAGCTTAACCCTGGCACCAAGCGCCTGTCACCCCTCTTGCTGATCAGGCCTCCCTGAGCACACCACTCACCAGGCTCAGCCCCAGTTCTATCCCTTGCTTACCGTTCCTTGGCCGGAAACACTGCCATCTTCCCCTTCACATCTCCAAATCCCACCCCACTGGCAAGGCTCAAACTTATATGGCCAGTCTCCAGGAAACTGTCTCTGCCCTTTGAGATCTCACAGTCACACCCCAACTCAGACCTGGCACTCCACTCTGCTGATACCTCCTGGGCCTCAGTTTCCTCATCTGTACAATGGGAGGACCATACAGGATTGTTCCTTTGTCTGGGACACTGCTGTGAGCTCCGGGCCTGGCCTTCACGCAGAGGCCCTGCCCAGGATCCTCACACCGACCTTGCTGCTCCTTACTGTGCCCCACCCCAACCCCTGTGCAGGGCCAGGGCCTCCAACATATGCCAACTTGGGGCTACCACACCCCTGAAATTAAGATACCAAAGTTATGCTGCTTTTTGGCAGCTGCCTATTGACTGTCTTCAACCTTCAAGTAGGTGGCTATCAGTCAACCTCCCCAGTCTACATCTCACCCTAGACCCAGTGGCATTCACTTGTGTAGACACAAGCCCCTTCTGGGCCCCAAGACTGTCCACAGTGCCTAGAGCCCAGCATTAGCTGGCGGCTCCCAAGGCTGGTCAGGCACCTGCAGGAAGTATGCGCTCATGGGGTCCTCTTTGTTGTCTTCGTTGTAGAAGAGGCCTCCAGCCACGAAGACCTGGTTCTCCTTGGTAACCAGGCTGACGTGGTTCTTGGGGACCTGGTTGGAGAGGGAAGCACAGTAGCACTCGTTGGCTGCTGGATCGTAGGCCACAGCGCCCTCCTCACTGATCATGAAGATGAGATCCTGCAGGAACATGCCGAAGCGCAGGGTGTCATTGAGGATCCCAGGAAGGATACGTTCGGCCTCCTCATCCTCCTCTGCTTTGGCTTTGCTTGTGCCCTTATCAGCCTCCTTGGCCCCGGCTCCATCCTTCCCCTTCTTTTTCTTCCGCAGCGTGGTGATGCGGCCCTCGTGTGCATCCTTCACCATCTGCACCTTGCGCAGCAACTCGGGCTGGGCACGCACGAGAGGGTGGCGCTCCACGCGGCTTTCCAGAAAGGCGCGCGGCAGCAAGCGGCAGCGCACGCTCTCGAAGACGGTGGGCAGCGCGCGCTGGCGCTCAGCCTGCGCCTCGGCGTCGCCGCTACCCGCCCACCGCATCACCGCCTCGAACACTGCCTCCTCCTTCTCCACGTTAAGGCCGTCGCTGGAGATGATGGCGATGAGCTCGTCGGCCGAGAGTCCGAGGAAGTCAGCGTCGCGCGCCACCAGCGTGAAGTGAGCGCAGATGAAGTCGCGGGCAGCCACGGCGAGACGCGCGCAGTCGAGCAGGAGGCCGAGACGGAAGACGGCCAAGCAGTTGGAGAGGCACAGGCGCTTCTGCAGGAAGGACACGCAGATGGTGAAGATGGAAGGGATCTGGAAGCGGTGTGCCGCGGCGAACAAATCCTGCACGCTCGCCTCATCCAGCGCGATCTCTGATGTGTACAGGTAGTGCAGCACCTGGGCCACCACGTCCGGGGACACCTCCTCCAGGTGCAGCTCGCCCGCGCGCTCCGGCTCGGCTAGAAAGCGCGCCCGGAAGTAGGGGCTGCAGGCGGCCAGCACCAGGCGATGGCACGGGAACTCGCGCTCGCCCGCCCGCACCACACAGTCGAGGAACTTGCCATGGTCCAGCATGTCTTTGAGCCCGTCTTGCAGGAGCGTCTGCTGGTACAACCGCTGCTCCTCCGCCTGCTCCAAGCCCAGCGCCATGGTGGGTGGCCTAGGGTGCGGTGGCGGTGCCAAGGGGGCTCCTCTCTGTACCCCTGCTTTCCTGCTGGGGTTTGCTTAGACTGAGCAGCTGTCTTCGAGGGGCTATATATAGAGGTGGCCGGGTCCCTGTAAGGCGAGCCGCCTGGCCTCCTGCACATGACGCACAGGGGACAGCTGGGCAGAGGCCCCCTCCCAGAGAAAGACTTGACTCAGCCCCGGGGGCTTATGGGACGGGGGTGGGGTGTCTGGGCCCTTCTGAAAGATGAGGGCCTGGCTGCCTCATTTCTAAATGGAGCACGGAGAGGTCTTGACTCTGGATTCTTTGGTCAGGAGATGCCCCTAGGGGAGAAGGTGGCCTAAGCTCTGACCCTCAGTCCAGAGACGGGAAAGCACTGGAGCCTCTCTTCCAGGGTCTCCCTTCCTTCATGCTTTCTGGGAACTTCTGTCCTGGTGCCTCCATCTTCCCCCCCGGAATATGTCTCACTCCAGCTACCCCTGGATACAGGGTGCTTGGGTTTTCTGGTCAGAAGTTGGACATGGTGTTCACTTTTTGGCGGCCCTGTTGCCCTGCCTTTATTTTAAGAGGCAGGGTCTCACTATGTTGTCCAGCCTGGACTTGAACTCCTGGGATCAAGCCATTCTTCTGCCTCAGCCTCCCTCGTAGCTGAGATTACAGACATAAGACACCACCCCCGTTGCCTCACCTTTAAAATGGGAAGAGCTTTTCCTCTTTCTGTCCCTCCTCCTTGCAAGAAAGCAAGAAGGTACCTTAGGTAAACAAGGTTGCCACTTTCCTATGAGGCCTGGGGCAGGGCATGTCGCTCTGTTAAGCCACAGTTTCCCTTCCTACACAATGAGGAGGTGGCAAAGTTAGATGCTAAGGACCTCAGTTCAACTCTGCTGGAAGTTTAGAAGCACCAAGGTACTGTGTCCTGGGAGTACACTATTAGTTTTAACACTTCTAAGGTGTCAGATGTGCTAGCAAATTAATTTCTTAGGATTCTACTATTCTAGGTTTTTAAACCCCCGGGGTTTTAACATTCTAGGGAGTGACATTCTGAATTCTAGTGTTCAAAAAGTAACACTACAAGTTTAATATTTCAGGACTTTAGCTATCTATACTCACTATTCTTGGTGCATATTAGGCCAGACCTGAGACTGCCTGGCCATGGGGCCCCTGCACCTTGTCTATGGTCTGAGGGACCAGGGTTGAAGCCCAGGACAGCCAGTCTTGATGCCTACCTTGTTCTAGACTACTGACACCCCTCCCCACACCCTCCCCACCCCGCCCCACCACCAGACACACACACACACACACACACACACACATCAGCCTCAGTCACCAAGATTAACTTGTTCCCAAAGTGCCAGAGGCTGCAGCTGTGTGTTAAATTTAGCCCCCAGGACATTGGAATGAACTATTATGAGACACACCCCCATCATTCCTCTGAGTCACTTGTTTATAACGTCAGGCGGGGGAGTGGGGGAGGGGGTGGGTATAGGAGAGATGACAGCAGGCTGGGCTAGGACTGAGTCACCTCCCTTTTGTGATCTCAGCAATATCACTCTCTGTCCCTTTTGTTTTTAGACGGAGTTTCGCTCTTGTTGCTCAGGCTGGAGTGCAATGGCGCAATCTCAGCTCACTGCAACCTCCGCCTCCAGGGTTCAAGCAATTCTCCTGCCTAAGCCTTCCTAGTAGCTAGGATTACAGGCGCTGACCACCACTCCCGGCTAATTTTTTTTTTTTTTTTTTTTTTTTGGATTTTTAGTAGAGACGAGGTTTCACCATGTTGGCCAGGCTGGTCTTAAACTTCCGACCTCAGGTGATCCGCCCGCCTCGGCCTCCCAAAGTGCTGGGATTACAGGCGTGAGCCACCGCGCCTGGCCTCTGTCCCTTTTAAATGGTGCATCTGATCATCACTTGCTCACCCCACCAGCAGGTCCCAGAGGGACACAGCACCTGAGCAAGCTCTGGAGGTGGTCCTGTCCCTCTTGCTGAAAAGGCAAGGGCTCACTCAGGGAGGGCAGGTGGTGAGCTTCCAGCCCAGCCCTGGACTGCAGGGCATTGCTAGCAAGCACAGCCAGTGAGGAGACGAGGCTTGAGAGGCTAGGCACCTTGGCCAAGTCACACAGCGGACATGGGCTGCGCCAGGATTTGAAGCAGATCTGCCCTCTTACAAAGACTGTGGGAACCCTTCCCTACCTTGCTGCCTCTCGTGAATTAACAAAAACGTTCATCAATCGTAGTCTCATTTTCAAAGACCAGGCCAGAAGATACTGACTGAACAATTTACTTAGATTTATCAAATGACTTAATGAAATATTTTTAGATTATGATGGATCCCATAGTGCTCACTGCCTACCAGGCATTCAAGTAGAACATGTGTATGTGGCTCATTCATTCATCAAGAACCTGTGCACTGCTTTAAATGCTGAAGAGTCAGCAGTGAGCAAATCAGGCAGGAATTCCGGTCTTCATGGAGCTTACATTCGTCAGGAGGTCGGGGCAAGGTTGGTAGGGGAGACAGAAATAAATAAATAGTTATACGGGGCATCAGATGATGGTTATGGCTGTGGAGACAAGTGAAACGGAAGGCGCATGGGAAGTGGGAGGAGGAGGTGGTAACGATTTTAAATGGAGTAGTCAGGATGGACTCACCGAGAGGATCACATTTGAGAGGGGTCAAACCGTGGAGGATTCCCAGTGGGGGAACAGCTGGAGCAAAGGTCCTGAGGCAAGAGAGTGCCTGGCACGTTCCCAAAACAGCACGGAGGCCAATAGGGCTGGAGCAGTGAACGAGGAGGTGAGTAGGAGGAGGTAAGGGGAGAGGTTAGGGTAGGGGATCATGCTGACCCCCGTGGGCCAGCATCAGGACTTGGGTTTTCCTCTGAGTTGAAACCGGGAAACACTGTGTTTTATTTTTTATTTTTATTTTTTTGAGGCAGGGTCTCGCTCTGTTGCCCAGCCTGGAGTGCAGTGGTGTGATCACAATTCACTGCAGCCTGGATCTCCTGGGCTCAAATGATCCTTCTACCTCAGTCTCCTGAGTGGCTGGGACTACAGGCACCTACCACCACACCCAGCTAATTTTTAAAATTTTTGTGGAGATGGAATCTCACTATTTTGCCCAGCCTGGTCTCAAACTCCGGGCCTTAAATGATCCTCCCACCTTGGCCTCCCAAAGTGTTGGGATTACAAGTGTGAGCCACCATGCCCAGCCTCACTGTTTATTTTTAAATTATTATTGTGGAAAATACAAATACATACAAAAGTAGAGAGGATCATATTCTGACCTCTCATGTACCCATCTCCCCACTTCAGTAACTGTCAAGTCTTCAAGTCACGGCCAACCCTGTTTCATCTCTATCTCCACCCACTCTAATCAACCCAGAGGTTGCATGTGGGTGTAGAAAAAGAGGGGAGAAAGGGTGACTCCAAGACTTTTAGTGGAATCCAAGGGAAGATGTCATCTCATTTCATCCTTTTAATTTTTACTCATTTAATCTTCACACCAAAATTATAAGGTAGGTATTATTTTTCCCATTTTACAGAAATTGAAATTTAGATGGCCAGCAAATAGGAAGCAGTCTAATATTTTGAAAATAACTTTAATGAGGCATAAGTGGCATGTGATAAACTGCACATATTTAAAGTGTACAATTGGATAAGTTTTGACATATGTATACACATCCGTGAAACCACCACCACCACAATCAAGACAGGGAGCACATCTGTCACCCACGAACTATTCCTCATCCCCTTTTAAAATCTCTCCTCCATCTCTTCCCACACACCCCAGCCCAATCACTGATCTGCTTTCTGTCACTATAATTCATTTGCATTTCCTAAAGTTTTATGTAAGAGGAATCATACAGTATGTACTTTTTTTGTCTGACATCGTTCACTTAGTATAATTATTTTAAGCTTCATCCAGGTTGTCTACTCATATTTTTAACTGATAGCTTCTGCCTTCATTAGGAATCTTAGTATATCACAGGGTCATTTAAGAGAAACACAAAATGGGGCCGGGCGCAGTGGCTCACGCCTGTAATCCTAACACTTTGGGAGGCCAGGGCAGTGGGTGGATCACCTGAGGTCAGGAGTTCGAGACCAGCCTGATCAATATGGTGAAACCCCGTGCCTACTAAAATACAAAAATTAGCTGGGTATGGTGGCGTGTGCCTATAGTCCCAGCTACTCGGGAGGCTGAGACAGGAGAATTGCTTGAACTCAGGATATTTGGGTGGCAGATATTTGTCACACTTGGTGGCCTTCCTGCATCTCCTAAATAGTCTTCCTATGTTTTGGACAGTTCCCACATAAGTAGTCCTTCTTCCCTGTGGTAGAAACCAGAATTTATTTTCCCAGCTTCCCCAGGAACACAGACATGCCACTGAGCTCAACCCATTGTATGCGCCCATCCCAAAACTTCAGTTTGGAACAGGAAGCAGGAACCTGCAGCATCCATATTTTGGCGAAGGGCTGATGGACAGCAGTGTTGGAACTTCTGGAGTCTACTTTCCACTGTCCACCATACAAGCTGAGGGATCTGTCCCTACTGGCTGTGGTTTGGCCATTGTCTGGGCTATGTATCCTGCAATCCTGACTCGAGCATTCCTGAAGTTTCTGTAATCTGTCTGATACCACACTAGCCAGTGAAGATTCTGTGATCTACTGCTAAGAGGGCTGTGTGATGTTGAAAATCATTTCAGGAGTATACCAGCAACAGGTGCTCAAGGGTGAGCTTGAGAAGTCGAGAGAATTTCTAATGGCCTGCTTGCTTCTTCACTGACTTCTGGGTTAAAGGTGGCCTATGATGCAAGAAGTTGAGATGCTGGAAATGCTCTTACATTACATAAAAGGATCCAAAAACAGGCAGCCCAGAATGTTGGAGTGGATTTATTAGGTATGTCATCCATCCCCACCTGTGTTTGCTGAGAGGGCTTAGAGGACACTTTTGCCCATCACTGAGGAACTTGTTGGTGAGAAATGCTGGCAACTTTGGCCTGTCAAGGGTGTGGGTGGGAGCCTTTGCCTATGAAGTGGCCTTCCTGCTTTCAGGGAGGATAATGGGATCTTAGGGTTGACAATGGCCAAGGAATGGCTCATAAGCACCAAAGGCAAAATGGGCATGGTTACTGTAATAAGCAGCAGGGCTGGAGTGGGTGGTAATCAGATGGTTTGACCTACAGAGATCCTTGGGAGTGACTAATGGATTGTGGGTTTCCTAAGAATTGAAATTGGTCATTCTACTAAAGTTTTACTGATATGTATTCTGAATCTGGATTTGCCTTCTCTGCCTGCCACATTTCTGCTAATCCCTCTATCCATAGACTTCACGCCTTACTCATTTTCATGGAACCAAATTCAAGCCTGCTTCTGATCGAAGATCTCATTTTGTAGCAGGAGAAGTGAGGCAAGCCTTCCAGTTAATGGTGGCAGATAAAATACACATTTTAATTTTGCTTCCTTTTGAAAGCTCACTACAATTAAAGTAGATGGTAAAGAGAAAAAAATATATAGCATAAACTCTCAGGAACATAGTATACAACATACTCTACAGGGACATAACAATACCACCACGGATTCTGGAAAGCAGGTGATGTGTGATGAGCAGCGTAGCAGTCCTGACTCTAAGTCAGCAGTGGGAAGCCCAGATGCAACTCTTCTATACCTCAGAATCCACAGAGAAGGTCCAGAATTGGCAACACCAGGTACCTTTAAACATACAGGAGAATCAACCACCACCTGGTAGAAGCCAGGTGTTTCATTTCCAAAGAAGGTAAACCAGAGGGCTCTTGACTAAGACACTCAGCAGAGGTGAAGGCAGTGGTGCAGTGTGAACACTGGGTAATTAAAAGAAACTCCATGTTCTAAATGGAAAACCCTATTCCCACTCAGCTCCCAGAAAGCTGGCAGGTCAGCTATGACCTCCAAATAGAGAATTGAAATTGAGGGATCTGACAGCCCAAGAGGAAACAAAAAGATATCAGTAAGCCTGGTCAAATCATCCTACAGTGAAGCCCTCTAATTAACAAGGCCCTTCACACATGCTGAGTTTCCAATGAGCTCTTTGGCGATTGATATGGTTTGGCCATGTCCCCACCCAAATTTCATCTTGAATTGTGGCTCCCACGATTCCCACGTGTCGTGGGAGGGAATTGAATCATGGGGGCGGGTCTTTCCCTTGCTGTTCTCATAATGAATAAGTCTCACAAGAGCTGATGGTTTTATAAAGAGGAGTTGCCCTGCACAAGTTCTCTCTCTGCCTGCTGCCATCCATGTAAGACAGGACTTGGCTCCTCCTTGCCTTCTGCCATGATTGTGAGCCCTCCCCAACCATGTGGAACTGTGAGTCAATTAAACCTCTTTCCTTTCTAAATTACCCAGTCTCAGGTATGTTTTTGTCAGCAGTGTGAAAACGGACTAATACAGTGATCTACTTTTTTAAATGTTTGAAAAGACGACTTCTGGCCTGGACAAAATGGTGTAAACTTGTTTCCCCCTGCTCCTTCCTGTCAAGTACAACTATGAACTGTGAAAACAATGCAAGAGGCAATCAGAAGATAACACTGAAAGCTGGCAAGGGAATTATGCATTAGTTTGGGACCCTAAGAATAAAGGAACAACTCAGTGGCAGGATATCTTATGTGCCCCCACTCAGTGGAAGAAGATGACCCAGGCCTGGTGTTTCCAGACACCCAGCCTATCAACAGAAGGCAGCCAAAACAGGCTCAGCCCTCTTACAATTTGAAGAGGAGTCCCTCTGACAACTCCACATGAGCCCAGCACCACCAGAGGGGAGATTACTCAGGTGCCCCACTAACAATTAGCAACCAGGGGAAGCACTCTCCTTTCACACTGGGCCCGAAACTCACCTCCCCTGCCAAGAGAGCTGGGCAGCCTGACCTGGGAACACCCCTTCTGCCCTCTCAGGCAGCACCAGCAGGAACCAGCAGGAGCTCCAGCAGCACCAAAGAAACCAAGCATATGAAAAGAACACCACAAAGCATCTGAAAATTAAATTGTCATTGGAACCTCAGCCCACTGGAACCTCAGTCCTCAGACCGAGATATGCATGATAAATGTAAACAAGGTGACTGATGTTGCAACCAATGAACTAAGTAGGACCCAGAGTCTCCTAACATGATGGCCAAAATATCTAAGACACAACTGAAACTCACCTGTCATACCAAGAATGAGGAATATCACAACCTGAATGTGAAAAGAATCAACTGGCACCAACACTGAGATTAACCAGTTGTTAGGATTATCTGGCAAGGATTTTAAAGTGGCCATCATAATAATGCTTCAACAATTGATTCAAATTTTATTGGAATGAATAAAAAAATTTAAAATCTCACCAAAAAAGAAGTTATATAGAAGAACCAAATGGAAATTATAGAACTGAAAAATACAACCACAGAAATAAAAGCCTACTAGATGGCCTCAATAGGGGAGAGATGACAGAAGATAAAATCAGTGCTTGATTGAGGACAGATCAATAGAATTTACCCAGTCTAAACAACAAAGACATAATATTGTGGGAAGAAATGATATATATATATGTGTGTGTGTGTATGTGTGTGTGTGTGTGTGTATACATATATATATACACATAGAGAGAGAGAGTCAGTCTCAGGGGCCCATAGGACAATAACAAAAAAATCAGTGTTTGTATCACTGCATATCATTGCAGTCTCAGAAGGAGAGGAGAAAGAATGAGGCTGAGAGAATAACTAAAGTAATAATGCCTGAAGACTTCCAAAATTTGGTTAAGACACAAACCAGCACATCCAAGAAGCTGAGAAAACCCCAAACAGAATAAACCCAAATAAATCCATGCCAAGACACATCATAATTAAACTTTTGAAAACTAAAGACAAAGAAAAAAATATCAAAAGCAGACAGAGAGAAACAATACATCACCTGTAGTTAAACACCAATTCAAATGACAGTGGATTTATCATCCAAAACTATGGAGGCCATTTGGGAGGCCTACGCGAGCAGATCACTTGAGATCAGGAGTTCAAGACCAGCCTGGCCGACATGGTGAAAACCCATCTCTACTAAAAATACAAAAATTAGCTGGGTGTGGTGGCACACGCTGGTAGTCCCAGCTACTCGGGAGACCAAGGCAGGAGAATTGTTTAACTCAGGAAGCAGAGGTTGCAGTGAGCTAAGATCATGCCACTGCACTCCAGCCTGGACTCTAACACTCGCTGGACACAGTGAGACTCCATCTCTAAAAAAAAGCAAAACTATGGAGGCCAGAAGGAAGTGGTACAACATATTTCAAGTGCTGGGGGAGCTATCAGCTGTGAATTTTATATCCAATGAAAGTATCTTTCAGGAATGAAGGGGAAGTAATCCCAGAAAATCCCCATAAAATGCTTACAGGAACTAATCAATGAGTTCAGCAAAGTTGGAGGATATAAGATTAACACACAAACATTAATTGCATTTCTATTTACTAACAATGAACATGAAGAAAATGAAATTTAAAACTTAATACCATGTACAGTCACTCAAAAGAAAATGAAATATTTAGGCAAAACACATAGAGGATATGTATGCCAAAAACTACAAAATGCTGATTAAAGAAATAATGGAAGAGCTAAACAAATGGAGAGACAGAGTGTGTTCATGTGTTGGGAGACAACATAGTAAAGATGTCAATTCTCCTCAAACTGAATTATAAGTTTCATTCAATGCCTATCAAAATTCCAGCAAAGTTTTTAATAGATTTAGACAAGCATATTCTAAAATTTATATGGAAAGTTAAAGACCCTCGAATAGTTAGAATAATCTTGACAAAGAAGAATAAAGTGGGAGGAATCACTCTACCTGATATAGCTACAGTAGGCAAGATCATATGGTATTGGCAAAGGGATAAACATATAGATCAATAGACCCGAACAGAGGACCCAGAAATAGATCCAAATAGGCTCAACCGATTTTTGACAAAGATGCAAAAGCAATTCAAAACTTTTCAACAAATAGTGCTGGAGCAATTAGACATCCATAGCGGAAATAATAACCTCAACCTAAATCTCACAACTTACACAAAAATTAACTTGAAATGGATCGTGGACTTAAGATGTAAAACATCTAAAATGACTTTGAGCCAGGTGTGGTGGCTCGTGCCTATAGTCCCAGCTCCTCGGGAGGGTGAGACAGGAGGAGGATTGCTTGAGCCCAGGAGTTCTGGGCTGTAGTGCACAGTGCTGATTGGGTGTCCACAGTAAGTTCAGCATCAATATGGTGACCCCCTGGAAGTGGGAGACCACCAAGTTGCCTAAGGAGAAGTGAACTAACACAGGTTGCAGATGGAGCAGGCCAAAACTCCCATGCTGATCAGTAGTGGGATTGCACCTGTAAATAACCACTATACTCCAGCCTGGGCAACACAGCAAGACTATTGTCTCAAAAAAAAAAACTTGAAAAAGAAGAAAGTTAATGGTCTCCCACGTCCTGATTTCAAAACTTACTACAAAGCGACAATAATCAAAACAGTGTGGCACTGGCATAAAGGCAGATAATAGATGGTGATAGTTAATTTTAGGTGTCAGTTTGACTGGACTAAGGGATGTCCAGATACCTGATATAACATTATTTCCAGTGTGTCTATGAGGGTGTCTCTGGAATAGATGAGCATTTCAATCAGTTGTGCATTGTTGATGGGAATGTAAAACAGTATAGGTGCTGTGGAAAACAGTATGGCAGTTCCTTAAAAAATTAAAAATCGGCCAGGCACAGTGGCTCATGCCTGTAATCCCAGCACTTTGGGAGGCCAAGGCAGCTGGATCACGAGGTCAGGAGATCGAAACCATCCTGGCTAACATGGTGAAATCCCATCTCTACTAAAAACACAAAAAACTAGCCAGGCATGGTGGCGGGCACCTGTAATTCCAGCTACGGGAGACTGAGGCAGGAGAATGGCATGAACCCGGGAGGCGGAGCCTGCAGTGAGCCGAGATCACGCCACTGCACTCCAGCCTGGGCGACAGAGCGAGACTCTGTCTCAAAAAAAAAAAAAAATTAAAAATCAAATTACCATGTGATCTAGCAATTCCACATTTGAGTATATACCCAAAAGAACTGAAAGCAGGGCCTTGAAGAGATATTTATATACCCATGTTCATAGCAGCATTATTTGCAATGCCCAAAAGGTGGAAGCAACCCAAGTGTCCACTGATGAATTAATTAATAAGCTAAATGTGGTATATATATTATTCAGCCTTAAAGAGGACGGAAATTCTGACACACGCTACAACATGGATGAAGTGTGAAGACATTATGCTAAATGAAATAAACCAGTCAAAAAAGACAAATATTGTATTATTCCGCTTATGTGTTAAATGCATAGAGATAGAAAGTAGAATGGTGGTTGCTAAGGGCTGTGGGCAAGAGGGAGGAGGGAGCTACTGTTCAATATGTACAGAGTTTCAGTTTGGAACGATCAGAAGAGCTCTGTGGATGGATGGTGGTGATGGCTGCACAACAGTGAGAATGTACTTAATCCCATTGAACTGTACACTTAAAAATGGTTAAGAAAGTAAATTTTATGTTATATGTATTTTACCATAATTTTTTAAAAAAGAACACAGAGACCCTTGGCAATCCCTGTACTGGACATGACTCAGAGAATAAGTAACTGAGCATCTTCTAAACAATATTTAAAACCAAAGTATAAAACTTCTAGGAAAAAAACACAGGAGAATATTTCAGCATTTAGGGCTATGGAATAAGTTTTTACACTTAACACCAAAAGCATGACATATAAAAGGAAAATGTGATCATCTAGATCTTACCAAAATAAAAATCTTTTGCTCAGCAAAAGATCATGTGAAGAGAATAAAAAGACAAGCTACAGATTGAGAAAAATATTTGCAATATCTAGACATACAAAGATCTCCCAAATTCTAAAACATACAAACAATCCAATGAGAAAATAGGCAAAAGGCATGAACCAATATTCCACCAAAAGGGATATACAGATGGGAAATAATTTAATGAAAGGATGTTCAGTATCATTAGTCATCAGGGAAATACAAATTAAAACCAAAATGAGATATCACTACATACCTCTCAGAGTTGCTAAGATTTAAAAAATAATGACAACACCAAAATACTTGTGAGAATACGAAGAAATCAGATCACTCACATTGCTACTGGGAAGGTAAAATAGTACAGCCACGGTAGAAGACACTTTGGCAGCTTCTTAAAAGACTAAATATGCAACTATACCATATGACCTAGCAATTGCCCTCCTTGGCATGTATCCCAGAAAAATGAAAACTTCTGTTCACATAAAACCCATACATGTATATAACTGCTCATAGCAGTTATATTTGTAATACTAAGAAAGTAGAAACATCCCTTCTCACCTTTCATGGGCGAATGGTTAAAAAAAAGAGTACATACCAGCCATGGAATACTACTCAGCAATTAAAAAAAAAAGAATGAACTCTTGGTACACACAATGACTTGGATCAATCTTCAGGGAATTAGACTGAGTGAAAAATGTCAGCCCCAAAAAGTTACATACTATATGATTCCATTAATAAAACATTTTTGTCATGACAAAAATTTTAATGGAGAATGGATTGGTGGTTGTCAGTGGCTAGGGATGGAATGGGTGGTGGCAGAAGGGATTGTGGTGTGTAGTTAGTTATAAGATGGTAACAGGTATCTTTGTGGGGTGGAATTGTTCTGTGTCTTGATTATGGTTGTGAATATATGAACCTGCACCTGTGATAATATTGTATTGAACTACATACACGCACACACATACACACACACACACACACACACACACACACACACAAATGAATACAAGTAAAATTTGGGGAAAGATAAGTGGATTGTGTCAATGGCAATGTCCTGGTTGTGATCTGCACTAGAATTTTGCAAGTTGTTACTGCTATGGTTTGAATGTGTCCCCTCCAAAATTCAGATGTTGCCTGTGTGATAGTATTAGGAGGTAGGGCCTGTAAGAGCTGACTAGGTCATGGGGGATTCTCCCCTTATGAGTAGGGATGAAGGCCCTTACAAAAGAGGCTTTACACAGTGTTCAGCTCTCTTGCCCTTTGGCCTTCTGCCATGTGAGGGCAAAGGAAGAAGATCCTCACCAGATCCCACAGCTCCACTGGCCAGTGCCCTAGTGGGGGCTCTCTGTGGTGGCTCTGAGGCTCTTTGGGGCATCCTTTGAAATCCAGGTGGAGGAAACCATGCCTCCAGAGCCTGTGTACTGTGCTTCCTGGTGGAGATGGCACCTCACAGATGCTACCAAGGTTTACCACCTGTGACCTCTGGAGAGACAGCCACTATGGCATACATCACACCTGGGCCCACTGGAGCTTCATCTTGGACAGCTGAGGAGTGCTATACCAGCCTCAGGGAGCAGAGGTCTGGGTTGGCACAGGGCAGTGAGGGATGAGGTCCCTTAGGCACCCAAGGCCCCTCTTCTGACACAGTTCTGCCCTCCAGGCCTTGGCACTCTAGGCCTGTTATAAGAAGAAAGGCAGCCCTGATGATCTCCAAAATGCCTTCAGGGTCATTCCTCCATTGTCCCCTTGACAAATAGGCTTCCACTAATCCATGTTACTCTCCTTATCAAACTGTTGCTTGGGCACACCCTTGGTGTTCTTTCTCAGACCCACTGTTTCATTCTTTACAACATGGCCAGGCTGATAATTTTCTAAATCTAAGTTCTGCTTCACTTTTGATTATAAAATCTATCTTTAATTCATTTCTCTCTTCTTGTATTTTGCTGTAAGCAGTCAAGAGAAGCCATGCCACATGCTCAACACTTTGTTTAGAGATTTCTTCTGCTAAATATCTTATGTCATCACTCATAAGTTCCTCCTTCCACAAAACACTAGGAAACAAACACGATTCAGCCAAGTTCTTTGCCACTTTATGACAAGGATAGCCTTTCCTCCAGTTTCTAATAACATGTTCCTCATTTCCATCTGAGACCTCATCAGAATGGCCTTTACCATACACATGTCTGTGAACATTCTGATTATGACTACTTAGGTAATCTCTGAGAAAACTGAGGCTTTCTTTACAGTTCTCTTCTGAGCCCTCACCAGAATAGCCTTCATGGTCCATTCATGACAATATAGGGTTTTTTCCTAACCTGTTCCTCCAAACTCAACTCTTCCCAGCTCCAAAGCTGCTTTCACATTTTAAACTATTCGTTATAGCAACATCCCCACTAAGTACCAATTTCTGTCTTAGTCTGCTCAGGCTGCTATAACAAAATACCTTTAACTGGGTAGTTTATAAACAATAGAAATTTATTGTTCACAGTTCTGAAAGCTGAGAGTCCAAGATCAAGGCACCAGGAGATTCAGTATCTGGTGAGAGTTTTGTCTTCTTCATAGATGGCACCTTCTATTGTCCGCATATGGCAGAAGGAGCCAATTCAGTGTCTTTGCAAGGTGAAAGGACAGGTAGCTCCCTTCAACCTCTTCTATAAGGGCCAGTAATCCCACTCATGAGGCAGAGCTTCCTGACTTAATCACTCCCCCAAAAACCTCACCTCTTTATACTGTGGCATCGTGTTTTAGGTTCCAACAGGTGAATTTGGGGTTTGGTGGGGGGACACCAGCATTCAGACAATAGCACCATCTTGACCTCATGACCTGTGGCTAAGTAGGATGGAACATCTTCCTGTTTTGTCTTCCTTGATGTGTATATTAATAAGTCAGGGCTCTGCAGAGAAACAGAATCAATAGAATAAAGAGATATAAGAGGGGGTGTATTATGGGCATTGGCTCATGTGATTATGGAGGCCGAAAAGTTCCACAATCTGTCCTCTGCAGGTTGGAGACCCAGGAAAGCTGGTGATGTAATTCAGTTTGAATCTGAAGGCCTGAGATCAAGAGGAGGTGATGATGTAACTCCCAGTCCAAGGCGAAACGCAGGGGAACCTGGAGTTCTGATGTCTGAGGGCAGGAGATGATGGATGTCCTGGCTCCAGAAGAGAGAGTGAATTCACTTTTCTTCTGCCTTTTTGTTCCATCCAGGCCCTCAATAGACTGGATGGTGTCCACTTATATTGGATGAGGGGGGATCATCTTTACTCAGTCTACTGATTCAAATGGTGATCTCTTCCCAAAACACCCTCACAGACACACCCAAAAATCATGCCCTTACCAGCTATCTCGGTGTCCCTTCATTCAGTTAAGAGTACACCTAAAACTAACCATCACACTGGAAAAGATGTATGTATATATATTAATTTTTTCCCCTCATAGTCTCCTTCTGTTTTATAAAGAGCCTGGTTGCTGATGGTTCCATTTAACAATACAGTCCCCACATTTCAGAACACCAAATGGGATCACAGGAAAGGAGCGGCAATTACCAGCAGATCCTGGATTTGGAGCCAGATGCAGTCAGTGATGAGAAATTACAGTGTCCCCTTTTGGGAAGAGGATGAATACGTTTTTATTTATTATGAGGAAGGTTGTTAATCAATAGCATTTTGTTGTTCCTGTTGTATGGAAGAGGGTGTATGCTGTTGTTGGGCTGTGAAGGGCTAGATTGTGGGGCATGTTTGTTATACTTTGTGGCCACCCAGCATGTTTGCAAAGCCTTTTTCTGATTGGGAATGAAGTACATAGGGCATTCCACCTACCCAACATAGAAAACACAACTTGCTTCCCCAGCCTCCCTTGCAGCTAGTGAAGTAGGAGGTTGGACTCAACTCTGGAGGCGGGGCTTGGACACCAGACCTAATGAGGACTAGCTGAAACAGGGATGGAGTGGAAGCAGCAGCTTTGCATAAGACATGCCCACAAGTGTGCCATGTCAGTTTACCATTGCCATGGCAACACCTGAAAGTTACTGCCCCTTTCTATGGAAGATACCAACCTTTTCCTAGAAATTTCTGCATAATCCCCCCTTAATTTGCATGTAAGTCAAAGTGGGTATAAGTATGACTGCAGTCCTGCCTCGGAGCTGCTATTCTGGGAACACTGCCTATAGGGTAGCGCTGTTCCACAGTACCAGTACCTCTGCTGCTGCTTCACTAAAAGTCGCTAACACCTCCGGCTCACCCTTGAATTCTTTCCTAGGTGAAGCCAAGAACTCTCCCAGGCTAAGCCCCAATTTTGAGACTCGCCTGTCCTGCATCACTAGGGCATAAACGTGACAGATCTGACACTTAGACACACCCACATAAGACTGATTCAGGTAAGAGGAAAGCAATGAAATATACTGCAGACTTGTGTTCTCTGAGGGTGGGGCAGAGAGGGGTTTAGTTTTGGTGGGAGGGGCAGTCGAGACAGAGCTTCTTATGAGTAGCCTTCAGCATTGTTAGTTCCAAGCTGGGATGACAGTCACGCCTCCCCTAGGGCAAGTGGTGCAGGGTGGTTTGGGTTTGTTTTTGGCTGCATAACCCCAAAGGCTGAGTCTCTGGTTCTCCTAGAGATTTAATTGGTTCTTCTGTTTGCAACCAATAGCCCTGGTTCACCACCCACTGCCATGCTCTCCTGAATGCCACTGTGTACCAAGTACTGTGCTGAATGAAGGGGACGTGGCATTGTTCAGAGCTTAGAGAACGTGGCTTTGGGATCGGACAGACTTGGGTTCGCATCTGGCTCCACCACTTTCTGGCTGTGTGCAAGTGGCTTTACCTCTCTGAGCTCCTTTGCTTAGGTTATCAGCAGTCTCAGAAGGTTATGGTGAAGAGTGACCACAAAGTGTCCCCAACACATGAGAGTTATAGTCTTAGGCCACAGCTTCCCAGGTACACAGGCATAGTTTTGGCCACAGGGGTTTCCAGAAGCCCTATCTCTAGCTGGAGAGAGGCGGGAGTGATGGGGAAGTTCAAGGTGGGGTCCTTTGGAGCTGCTTTTCCTTCCCTGTGTGGGATCCCATTCTCTTCTCCATTCTCCACAGGTCCCAAGGCTGTCATCTGTGGTGGCAGGAGGTTCATCCCATCTGCAGCCAGTGGAACCTTAGGAGGCAGTGCTCCTCTATTTTATTGCTGACCCTCCAGAGACTTTAGAAAGCAGCTCTACAGGCTGGATACCTCTCAACCTGACCTCTGGAGACTGCAAGGCCCAAGTGTAGGAAAGGATATGGCTACTCACCTATCTTTTTTTTTTCTTTGAGACAGAATCTTGCTCTGTCACCTAGGCTGGAGTGCAGTGGCGTGATCTCGGCTCACTGCAACCTCCGCCTCCCAGGTTCTAATGATCGTAATGATCCTTTTGCCTCAGCCTCCTGAGTAGCTGGGATTACAGATGCATGCCACCATGCCTGGCTAATTTTTTTTTTTCATTAGAGATGGGGTTTCACCATGTTGGCCAGGAAGGTCTTGAACTCCTGACTTTGAGTGATCTGCTCGCCTCAGCCTCCCAAAGTGCTGGGATTACAGGCGTGAGCCACCGTGCCTGGCAGCTACTCAACGATCTTTCCAGCTCTCCTCTCCTTCCGGCCACACAGGAGGGTTGCGTGTCCACACCCCCCTGAAGTAAGGCATGATGCCAGAACTTGCTTTGGATGATGACACAGAAACAGCAGTGATACACCACTTCTGGATGGCAGCACTGAAGAGCCAAGGTGTGATTCTCCAACCTGTCTTTTCCCTGGCTCTGTTCAGTCTAGAGGCCCATGTTGATATGGAGGTGCCCCAAGGTCAAAGCCTGGAATTCTGGGCCACCAAATAGAGAATGACTGCCCTGGAACATCCCCTCAGAGCCACAGATGTTGAGTCACTGAGGTTAGGAGGTGGTTTGTTACTGCAGCAGAACTCAGCCTAACCTGACTTATTCACCAGTCCTGGTTCTAGAAAGCTACATAATCAGGGGGTAGGTAGGCCCAAAAGCACCACTAAGCCAGGGTGCCTCACCTCCCCTCATTGATCCTTTAGAAAGAAGGAAAGTCCGGCCTTCCCCAGCAAGGCAGTGCTGCTCTGACCTATGCATGCTTCAGGACATGAGATGTTAGTGAGCTGCTTGGTCCCAAAGAGCAAGATCAGGGAAAGTGAGTGCTCCAGAGACACCAATCGTGGTGCCCACCATCCCACAGCCACCCAGAGGCCTCTGCCCCAGAGCCTAGGATGACAGTGTCCAAGACTCTGGAGTGTGAAGGTGGAAATGCTGTGAGAATGAGGGAGGTGGGGGGAGGGCTGGAGGAAAAAGAGGTGTCATGCAACCTGATATAGGAGGAGGTCAACAGAGTGGAAACACAGAGATGAGTGGAATCTGCACAAGAGTTGGGGGAGCAGCCAGGCCCCCAGGCCTGTCAGCCAGCCTTGTTTCAGGGTCTCTTGAGCAAGCCTGTGTTTCTTCCATTCATAGCAGGACTGTGCAGAAAGGCAGTGCCAACATCCTAGGAACCTGCACCTCCTTTCTGGCCAGTCAACAAATCCACCCATGAGACTTCTCTCCCAGTCCCTCCCAGTCCTGTCTGACCCTTTTCTACATATACAGAGTTAAGTGCCACAAGGAGGCTCATTCTGCACGTGTCCCCGGGGCCTAGAATTCCATTTGGCATGGAGTGAGTGCTCTCTGTATATACTACTTGTGCCATGAAACAATTCTGAGTTCCCCAGGGAGAGCCATCTGCTCCTCTGGAGGCTACCACCTGTCTTCCATCTGAGCTTTTGTCTTCCCGGGTGCCTGAGTCAGCATCTCTGTTATCTGGCCCCTTCTGACCTCCCCTGCCTGCCGAGGGAGGAATGAGTCCATACTGCTCATCACAGCATCCCCAGGGCTCAGCACATAAGTGGGAGCACCGGTCCCTGCTGTCCCAGAGCTACTGTGGCTCCATGCCTGGTGCTCATGGGAAACCACACCTGCACAGGCCCTGGCCTCTTGTGGCCATTGCCTTCAGGACTTCTCCTCTTTCATGCCCCTCTGCATCTGACCCAAGACCCACCTATTTGCCCATCCCCCATCCCCCACCGCTGCCCTTGCCTCATCTCCTGACTCTGGGTGGTCCCCAAAGCCCAGCCCCTTGCTCTGGTCCAAGAGTCAAGGCAGGCCAAGTGCAAAGAAGAGGCTGGGCCAAGGGACACGAGTTGTACTGACTTTATTCCCCTTCATCCTCTCACTCGCATGCCTGCTGTGCCCCATGCTCTGGGGCTGTGGGGTGCCTGTACACGAGCAGTTGTCAATGGTCTCAACACACACCTGGGCATGGCCATTCTGCCACTACCAAGCCCTCTGTGAAGGGCACCGTGGAGACTATGGCAGCATGAGCCAGGGTTGAAGGCTCCCAGAACTGTGGCCACAGGGCTTGAGTTCATCACTCTAGCCACCCATCGCCAGCTGGCCTGAGACCAGAGAGCCCCAAGGAGCCGGGGAGGGGGCAGACCCAGACTCCAGGCCTGAGTTCTAGCCAAACAGGCTGAGAAGTCCAGATGGACGGTGGGACCCCCACAGATCTCCTTGGGAGGGGATGATCCTGCGTCCCCCTTCCCCCAGCCCTGGAAAGTGAGTATGGTGCCCTAGTCGCCTCATTCTGACATCTGGGGGCACATTGTTTTTTTGTGTTGTTTTGTTTTAAATAAAAAGATGTAAAAGCTAGTAAAACAGGAACCCCTATCCATACTGGAACTGCTGAGGTGCCATTATTGCTTCTGGCCTTGTGGTCTGGCCGGAAAGGAGCCCCCACCAACAATGGCCCAAGTGAAGAGAGTGCTTAGCACCAGGGACACAGGCTCCTATCCCCAGTGGGGCAGGGGCCTCCCAGGAGAGGGGTTGGTTGTGCCCACCTAGAGCTCCCGTGACCGTCTTGACCAGCTGTCAAGCTGTCTGGTCAGCTGTCTGGACCCCTCACCTGATCCCAGAGGGGAAGTGTACAAGAACATGAAACCCATGTCCCAGGACAGGGTTTCATTGCCAGCTCCCCACCAGTGTCTCTGACCTCTGCTTGTCAGTATGGCCTGACAGGTCTCAGCCTGGCCACGGCCACTCAGGCCTACTCAGGCTGTAGTGGGGCCAGCAGGTGATGACACCACCAGTGCCTGTGGGAGATCCTGGTGCCAGTGATGGGGGTTGGAAACCCATGGAGGACCCTGCCTACAGCCCACTGGGAGAGATCAACTTTTTTTGGGAAAATGTGAGCCAGCTCCAAAGAGCTGCCAGGCACTGGGACTAGAGATTAAAAATAGCAACAGGGAGGGGGGGACCCTGAGGACATCACGGAAGCCCAAAGATCAAGGAGTGCAAGGAAGAAAAAGAGCTACAGTAAAGCAGGAGCCTGGAGTCCCCAGCCTTGGGGTGGGGGTCCTGACCAGAAGCCTTCTTCCTCGGGGAGGGGCGAACCTTCTCTCCCCCAGGACAGCAGGAGCGCCTGAGCGTACGTCTACAGCTCCAACATCAATTGGGCAAGGAAGCTGCTGGCACTGTACCCTCCAAGCCCAGAGAACAACCAGGGTGGTGTGGCTTGGATTATAAATCCTCAGATCACTCGGGCACCTTGGGCCTGCCCAAATCTGTACAGAATAAAGTGCTTCGTTTATTGATGATTAAAATGTCCCCAGCTCCCTGCCCCAGTGCCATGGGCCTCATAAGGTCAGAGGGGTTCAGTCCCCCTAACCATTCCCCCGGGGCCCAAGCCTCTTCCCACTCCAGCCATGCTGGGAAGGCAATAGTGTCGGGGAGTGGTGGGGGTTTAAGGTGCAAAGAGTATAACAAACAAAACTGTATAAACACAATAGGAAAGAGCTTAACTAGGAAACATGTAGCTTATGGAACCTTCCTCCCCATATTAAAGGCAGGAATAAAGACATTAAATGACAACAAAAAAGGGTTTCCTATTAGTGCTAGCCTCATGGGGGCAAGCAATTGGGTCTAGGCTGCGCCTCCCCAGTCCCCCCAATCCCCCGAGGGGCCTGAACATGCAGGCTCCTTTACCGGCAGTGCTATGGGCGCCCCACCCACCGGTGCACAGGCCCAGGAGGGACGAGGACGCTGGAGCCAGCCAGGGACAGGTTGTGGCAGGACCTAGAGGGAGGATAAGGCCTAGAGCGGGCCTTTGGGGGAGCAGAGATGGACACAGCCACACTTGTTCCTTCTGGTGTGGGATATATGGCCAGAGTAGCTGGTGAGGAACTGGGGTGCTCTGTGAGCAGCCGCCCTGCCCCTGCCCCACTAATAGCACCTTGAAACCCTACCAGCACTGCCCAAGCCTCATCCTAGGACTCTGCCCCCAAAGCTGGTGCTGCCAGTCAGCCTGTCTGCCCAAGGAGGGTCTGGCTCACAGCGCTGTGAGGCACAGCAGCTTCTGGGGACATCTCCAGGACTCAGGACCCTTGGTGCCACCTGGTGCAGGTCAGGGATCCCTGGGCCTGCTGGCAGCAGAGTGGGTGGGGAAGGCAAGTCCCTGGGGTCCAGCCCCTGCCTGCCCCACTCCACACAGTGAAGCACTGGTCTGCAGTCTCCGCACCTCGCCACCCTCCACCCCCCACGCTCACCCAGGTCCAGTCTCAGGCCCTGCCTCAGTGCTTGCGGCTCTCAGACTGGGTCTACACCTCCTCAGGGGTTGTGGGGGTGGCACGCCAACTTCTCCCCAAACCCTCCAAGATGAGGAAGCAAATTAGGGGCATAGAGGACATGGGGATAGGCTGCTGAGGCTGACCCAGGCTCCAACTGGCCAACCCCTCTGGCACAGGCCTTGGCAGAGGGACTGGCCACACCTGCTGCCCAGGCCCCTTTCTTTCTGCTGCAGACCCCCAGCACCCCCCTCACCTGGAGGGGAGTGCTGTAAATAGTTTCTTTTTCCTTCACTTCCAAAAAAAAAAAAAAGTAAAGGCTTCAAGGAGTCACAGAAAGGGGGGGCACTTGGGAGTGAGATGCCCTCCACCAGCTCTGGGGCCTGCCAGCCTGCATACCCCTCCTCGTCGGGGCCTCAGGCAGGGTACATCCAGCCACTTCTGGAGGTGGAGCAGGGCCCAGGCCCGCACTACTGTGCTCCCCGGGAAGGCAGTGGGTCCCTCCTGGAGTGGGCCCTGACTCCAGGCCCCAGCGGGTGCACGGGTGCAGCTCGGCAGCTAGTTGTTGGCGTTCATCCTCCCGCCGGGGCTGGCAGTGGTGGGGAAGAGCGGAGGCGGGGGCGGCAGGTGGGGCGGGGGCGGCAGGGTCTGGGGCAGCCCCGGGAGCAGGGGCAGTGCGTGCGCCTGGGGCTGGGTTGGGGGCAGGCCTGGGGCAGCGGGGACGCCGTCGCCGGCCAGGGTGTGGCTGACGCGGAAGCACTTCTCCTTGTGGGCCTTGAGCATGTTGGAGAAGCGGAAGCGCTGGCCACACACGTCGCACGGGTACGGCTTCTCGCCCGTGTGCGTGCGCCGGTGCCGCTTCATGTTGGGCCGGCTGGTGAAGCTCTTGCCACAGATCTCGCAGATGTACGGCTTCTCTCCTGGGGGTTGGGGGTGGGCAGCAGGGCGTCAGTGAGGGGTCGCCACACCCCAGTCTGGGGCCAGCCTCCGTCTCCCATGGAGCCATAGTGGGGCCCAGCCCCGGCGCTCTCAGATCCTCCCCGACCCTGGGGCATTTTGTGCCAGCCTCACCCAACCCTGGGAGGCAGGAAGCATGGGTAAACGGAGGCCCAGACTTGAGAAGGGGTGTGGCCAAGATTATTCCAGGTGTCCTGAGCGGGGCTGAGAAGGGGTCCCAGGCCCGGCACCGAGCTCCGTCCCCAGGGGCAGCCGCACCTGTGTGGGTCTTCATGTGCTCATCGAAGTACTGCTTCATGTTGAAGTCCTTGCCGCACCATTGGCACATGAACTGCTTGTGGCCAATGTGGATGCTCATGTGTGACCGCAGCTGGTACTTGTACTGGAAGCGCTCATTGCAGTTCTGGGGGTGGGGTTTGGGGGTGAGGCCCAGGCACAGAGCAGAAGAGCAGCCTTTGTGGAGGGAACAGCTCCCCTGTGGCCACAGGGCCAAGGAGGGACACACTCAGGGGCTCCTGGGCAAGGAGATGGGGACATGAGGGCAAGCCGAGGTGCATCTGGGTGGGCAGTACATGGGCACAAGAGGAGAGGCCACAAGCACCCAAGGCTTAGGTGGGGAATGGGGGTCGGAAGTGGGAAAAAGCCAGAGAGTAGAGGGAGCCCCATGCTTAAGGCACGAGGTCCCTCATCCTTCCTCCTGATCAGACGCCCAGCCCCTGCCCCCACCTCCCCACCTGCAGCTCTGTTGTCTCATCTGAGCTCCAGGCCTGGGATGCTCCTGAATCTGCCTCCCCAGAAAGCCTGCTCCTAGGGCTGTAGCCCACACACACTTCCCACCCTGAGTGTGTGGGGCTGGGTTGGGGAAGGAAGGGCAGGATGGGAGTGGGCCAGAGAAGAGTAGGGGCTGGGTGGGAGTGGGAGGCAGGGGCTGCAGACCTCAGAGGGCAGGGCTCTCTCTTTCTGGACACTACATTCCACCCCCTAGCCCTTTGTTTTTCAGCAGCTGCGCTCCCTGATTCCTGCCCCTCCCAGGTGACCCCTCGGGCAGGCCAGGCAGGAGATGGAAGCTCACCTCACATCTGAACGGCTTCTCCCCTGAGTGCTGCAGTGAGTGCACCTTGAGGGACATGCTGCGCTTGAAGGACTTTCCGCAGGTCTCGCAGGTGAAGGGCATGTCCTTGGTGTGGGCTACGAGGTGGGCACCAGGGCCATCATGTTTTACGGGCCTGCCCAAGCACCCCGACGTTGGGCCCAGACCCTGCCTCCTGGGGCAGCCCTGTGCCACCACCCTTCTCTGGGGCTGGCCTTATACTCTGTCCCAGGACCTGTGCTGATTCCCAGGAGAGGCCCCCTGCCTCCATGGCTGGGTCTCCTATCTGCTCTGAAGGTCTGCCTCAGACATGCTGGGGCTCTGTGGTTCTTTAGCCTCTGGTCAAGGGAAGTGGCCAAGGCTGCCTTGCCCCCAAAGCTTCAGGGAAGGATGGAAGGACCCTGGGTGGACCTGGCTTCAGCTCAAATCCCGGCCCGACCACTGGCTTCCCACTCAGTCTCTCTGGACCTCCGCTTCCTCTCCTATAAAAAGGGACTCATAGTGGTCCTGAGCTTCAGGGGTGGTGGGCTTTAGAGGGGACATATGCAGAAAGGCCCTGGTCTCAGGCCCTAGCCAGCAGTCTGGAGGAAGTTAGCTGCACTCCTCCCAGCACCCACGGATGGGTGAGGACTAACAAACTCTTCAAGGATCTGGTAGGTGGCCACTGGAGACAGAAGGCTCACCTTCAAGCTCACAGACACCAGTCCTGGTTTACCCAGCATGCTCCTGGCTGAGACCTAGGCCGCAGGGTCCCAGCTTCCAGTCAGTTCATGCTGGAGGGCCCCCAGCACTGTCTCATGGAGAAAGGGATTAGGACCTGGCCAGGGGCTCACTGTCTGCCTTGGCTACCCCTCCCCCTCAAGGCCCAGACTTGGAGCGGGCAAGGAAGGCAGGGCTGTAGGGACATGAGGCTCTGCCAGGCCCACATACAGCAGGTGGGCAGCCTTGCCTGGGGCAGTGGCGTGGCCAAAACACACAATTGGGGGACCTCCTTACTGTGTCCAGGCATGAACCCTGAGGGGAGGCTGCATTCAGAGAGGCCTGAAGCCCTATGAGGACCAGAAGGTAAGAAAGAATCAGAGGCACAGCTGTCATCAAACTGACACAGGGCCTGTACCAGCCCATACAGCACTTTGTATAATTAGGAAAAGGTATTCTTTTCCCTGGGTGGACACGAGCCCGTGCCAGGATGCACAGCCTGGTTAGCAGTGTGCCAGCTTGATTCCGGTTCCCACCTGCCATCTTGTCCAGGCACCCTTGTGCAATGTGCAGCCTGCCCAACTGTACATGCCAGCCCTGGCCCCAGAGCCTGTCCAGGCTACACCTGCCACTGGAACCAACCTCCCCAGGCCTCCTAGCTGAGAGGGGCCTCCTCACCCCTTCACATTGCCCTTGGATGTGAAGTCTTTCCCATCCACCAGCCAGAAGCTGGTCCATCTCTATCCTCTGGCTCCATCCCCCAGTGGCCCAGACTTACCAACCATGTGCTTACGCACGTGGGCCATGGTGTAGAACTTCTTCTCACAGATCTCGCATGAGAACTTCTTCTCTGCGTAGCCGTGCACAATCTTGTTATGCTCATGGAGGGACCAAAGCTTCTTGAAAGCTTTGCCACATGTCACACACTGCAGAATAAGAGGACTTGAGGCCCTGGGTCCTGAGTCCCCAGGGTCTTGGACTTGGGCAAGCTACTGCCCCCGTCTGGCCTCAGTTTTCCCACTTGAAATATGCTGGAGAGCCCTTGATGCCAACAGCCAGCCAGCTCTGATGTTTCTAAGGTTGGGGATGAAAACTCCTTAAACACCCCCAAACACACAGCCTGGTGTCCTCCTTCATCCTTGAGTTAACTAGGGTCAGGGGTCACCTCTTCCAGGAAATTCCCCACTCTGGGCTCATTTCAACAAGGGCTTCCAAAGGCATCACCCTTTGTCTGTCTATAGAGGTAAGGCAGACAACTAGCTGAAGGGCGCCCTCTGGTATGGAGGCTACACGCAGAGATAACAGGTCCCACAGAGTGAGCCATTATCACTGCTGCCTCCTCCTGCTGGGACCTGTGCCATGACACCATGAATATCGCCAAGAGGATGAGTCCCAGAGGCGTTGGCTGAGGAGGACAGCAGGAGGCTCAAGGTCCCATCAGGCACAGAGAGTGGTGGGGGATCTTGGGGACCATATCCCCCCATTTGTTCTCCTGGACCCTTGTCCTGCCCATCTATGCAGGACACCCCACAGGGATGGAGGCTAGGCCAAGGCTTGGGCAGAAATTGGTCAGGGTACTCAGGTTGGATGGGGCAGAAGCTTCTTTTTCCTTCAGGAGGGAGACTCAGGTGCGCAGCAGTTAGAGCATCAAAGGGCAGCCCAGCAGGCGGGCAAGTGGGCACAGGTACACAAGGGTGGGGCAGGATAGCAGGTGACCCCCGGGTAACACTTTCTCCACAGGGCACTGCAATTAGCAATTAGCGCAGGCAATTAGCACCCACCTACCTGCTACCTTTCCCCCTTCTCCTGGGCCAGAAGAGGTGAAAACCACCCGTGGGAGCCTGGCTGGCCCTGTGCCACCCCACCCTGAGAAGTGAGGCTGGCACAAACAGACTCAGGCTGGCTCAAGGCCCAGCAGCCAGCTCAGCTCCCCTGCTTACCCCAGCAGCCTCTGCTCTTCCCAAATTTCTCACCCAATCCCTTTTTCCCAGGCCCATGGGAGCTGGCATCCCCAAAGAGCTGAAAGTGGGGGCTGCCTCCTGCTGGGCTGCCCCCTCCTCCATACAGCACTTTTGTGGGAAGTGGAGGATGGCATCCCTCTGGGCAAACCCCTCCTCCCATCGTGTGCTCACTTGCTGCAGTGCACAACCTGTGAAACTATACACAGTGGCCCTGCTGGCCTTCCTACAGCCCCCGTGTTTGTTAAAACCCCGTCTGACTCATCCCACCCAGAGTGGCCTGTCTTCTGGCCTTGTCTGCTCAGACAACTCTCCACTCTCATCCTCCCAAGTCCATGTGTCCCCTTTGTCCCTCTGGCCAAGGGTACTGTTTGTTCCAATCCTCTGCACATCTCTTCATGCGCCCAACTCTATCCACCTCTCCCAGGAAGCTCGGCTTGATGTTACCCCTGAGCTCTAACCACCCTGAGAACTGGGCCTGGGCCAGCCTGTCTGGGGGCTAAGTCTGGTCTCCGCAGACCACCTAGGTAATGCAGTCAGCAAGACACTAGGTGCCCAGAGCCCAGTTATGGCCTAGCCCCACCTGGACAGCCTCTGCCCTGCCCCCAGCCACGTGAGGCCCACCTGGATGTTGCGCTCGCAGTCTGTCTGCCTGTGCAGCAGCAGCTCGCTCTCCAGCAGGAAGCGCTTGCCGCACTGGTCGCAGATCTGCATGCGGCTGTGGGTCACATTCATGTGTTTCTCCAGGTACCAGCGGTTGTTGAAAACTCGTGGGCACTTCTGGCATGGATGGTGCTGCTTCTCCTCCAGCTTCACCTTGGCCCCCAGCCCATCAGTGGCTGGCGGCCCTCGGGCCGATGCAGAGGCCACTCCAGGGGGTGGCTTTGGCCTCTTCCCACCCCGCCGCCCAGCTTCTTCAGGTTCAGGGGTACCCCGGCGCCGGGCGTTCTCCCGGGACCGTGTGGCCATGTGACTGTGGGGAGGGGGGTCTGCCCGGCTGCTTCGGCTTCCCCGTGGCCCCTGCTTGCCCCCAGCCTCCCCCTCCTCCCCCTCCTCCTCCTCAGAGCTCTCTTGATCCTGCTCACTAGGCCCTTCCTCCTCTTCCTCCTCCTCTTCCTCTTCCTGCTCACTGTGCCCGTCCTCCTCCTCTTCTTCCTCTTCTCCCTGACTGCCACCCTCTTCCTCCTCCTCCTCCTCCCGTCCACTGCCACCACCTTCCTCTTCCTCTTCTTCCTCCTCCTCCTCCTCGTCGTCCTCCTCCTCCTCGTCCGAGTGTCTCTGCAGCCCGTCCTCCCGGCCCAGAACCACGGTGGCTGGGCTTGGCCCGGCACCTGGCTTCCCCTCTGGCCCCGTGGACACGTGCAGTGTCTGGTTGTTGAGGTTCACCTCCACGATGATCTGGGATTGCTCCCTGCGGCTGTAGGTGCCAGAACCCCCAAGCTCTTCCTCCAACTCTTCTCCACCCTCCAGCTTGCACAAGCTGGCTGGGGGCCCACCGGCCTCCTCGACACCACCCTCCTTCTCCTCCTTAAAGAAGGGCTGGGCTGGCCCAATGGTGGCAGGCACTGTGCCACCAGCAGTCCCTGCCCCGTCCTCAACACGCACCGAGTAAGGGTCAGGGCCCTCGCGGGCATAGATCTTGGGCAGGCCTGGGGTGTCGGCCTCCTGCTTGATGTCACAGTAGTAGGGCGGCGCAGCTGGAGTGCAGCTGGCAGCCGGCTGGGCCAGGGCCACAGTGCCCGGACCTGGTGGGCCTAGAGAGCGGGCGTCCAGCAGCTCTTGGCAGGACGCAGCGATGTCAGCCATCTGCAGCAATGAGGCGGCGCTGAGCACCTCGTGGACGTTGGCCGCGTTGACCAGCAGCTTGGACGTATAGATGAAGTTGAGGATCTGCTGCAGGCCACCAGGTGCCAGTGCCTCCAGGGACAGCTCCACACGCTGCAGCTGCTTGTTCTGGGTGAAGAGTGAGTGGAAGAACTGGCTGTAGGCGGCTAGCACACCCTTGTGTGCCGGAAAGACGCTGCGCTGGGGCACCAGCACCAAGTCCACGTCGCAGAGGTCAGGCTGGAAGAGGCGCTGCTCGTTCAGGCGGCCCATCAAGCAGGCAAAGTGCAGCGCCACGTCCTCCACCAGCGAGAACTCAGCCGCCGGGGAGTCAGTTGTCTTCTCAACCAGCAACTGCGGGGACAGAGGGCACAGGAGTGGGTCAAGGCCAGTGGGCCCCTGCCCGCCCTTCCCCCAGCACCACTCCCAGCATTGCCAGCCATCCAGGAGGCAGCCCATCACTCGTGGCTCCACTTTACAGCAACAGAGCCGAAACTAGCAAGGAAGGGATTCAAGCCTGAGTGAGCTGCCTCAGAGCTCAGGCTCCACTCGTGACCCTCTGAGGCTGAAGATCAGGTCCTGTCACTTTCTGGGCCTCTGGGTCATCTCCTGGGAAATGGGAAAAGTCATCCCAGGAAGGGAAAGGGAAGGAAAGGGGATGAAAGAGAGACCACAGTGACCAACCATCCAGGTTTGCCAGGGACCTGGGCATTTTCTGGGGTGCAGGGCTTTCAGTGCTAGAACCAGGACCATCGCAGGCACACCGGGACCAGGTGGTCACCCCAGGAGGGCCACAGGCATTCCTTCAGCATTTCCTCAGCCCCGTGGATTCTCTCCACATATTCACTCACACATACCAATAAAAGCAAGCTTGCCCAGCCCCAAACACCTCAAGAACAGAAGCCGGGCTCACTGCTCACTGCCCAGTCTCTGGCTACAGAATCCAAGGGGTAGCACCTGAGGGAACCCCTCATCGCAACAGCCATGTGGCTGCTGCAGAAGTTGAAACCTGTGAAGAAATCCAGGCTCAGGGCCTATACCTTCTCCCCACTCTGGTCCTGCTGCACTGCCTGGTGAGGTCTCCTCATCACAGCCAGGGCTTGGGCCAGGCTGCCCCCAACCCCTGCCTGCAGCCTCAGGCCTAGCCCCCAGCAGCTCTCTCTCACTCAGGGGCTCTGCAGGGGTGGAAG
Organism: Homo sapiens; assembly: GCF_000001405.40. Lineage (NCBI taxonomy): Eukaryota > Metazoa > Chordata > Mammalia > Primates > Hominidae > Homo > Homo sapiens. Next base: position 42,657,438 of record NC_000003.12, on the reverse strand, counting down.
GACACAGCTGTGGAACCTGCCTACCATGCTTGCAGGCAGGAGGCCCCCAAGGCCTGCCCCAGATCCTTTTCCCGGTAGACCCCCAGACCCCAGGTCAGGTACGGTCCATGTCCACAGGCTCTGGGAAAGCCCTGCCTTAGAGGCCACACCATCTGGGGCTTCCAGAGCCCTAGCGGAGGCCCTCAATGTCTGATGGGTCAGACTATCAGGCCTGTGGGCCACATCCAGCACCTGTGAATTGCCTGGAATAGAAGCCAACTCAGTCACCCCGGCTCTACCACAGCAGCCTCCCCAAAAGGTGGGCAGCACAGACAGGCAGCCTGCCCAGTCCCTGCACGAGAACCATCACACAGTGATGTGCAGATGTTGTTAATATCCACCAACCACCAGCCCAGCTGGACCAGCACCACTGGTTCCAAGTTCTGGCTCTCCTCAGGGCCTGCCCAACCAGGTCTGAGCCTCCTGCATTCGGGAGGTACCTTGCCACAATATTTTGATGGCCACAAAACCATCAGCTCCATAGCTGTCAGTGCCTCCCTGGGGACCCTGGGATGAATCCTGGCCCCATCCATCCACAGCCTACCGCCCCCCTTCCCCATGCCAGGCCTTCCATCGCCAGGAGAGCAGTGGGTAGGCTGGGATTGGGCAGGGGTGGTGGTGGTTGAGCTCCACTTCTCAGTCACCTGAATGAGAAACCTACCGTGGGCCTCAGCAGGAGCCTCCCTGAGCCACCAGGGGCCACCTGTCTCCAGGCCTGCCCTGGACCCTGCCCCCTACACCCAGCAGCCAGGGCAGCAGCCATCCTGTGTTCCCTCACATCCCAGTCTGGCCAGGCCCCTGGCCAAGGCTACCATCTTCCTTGAGTTCTCCACTACACCCCTTACCCCAGCCAAGAAGCCATCCATCTCCCTCTGTCCCAGGCTGTCCAGGCCTGGCCAATCTAACTGGGACGTGGCACCAAGCCCCTCCCATCTCCCTCCTCTGACTCATTCTGATTCATCTTCTGGGACCAACCCCTACTACACAGATGGAGAAACCGAGGCTCAGAATGAGAGGGTTCCACAGTCCAGAGCCCCTGGACTCCCAGCTCCGCTAAGACCACCCCTTCCTTGCTAGACCCCACATGGCTGGATTTCTGAGCCTTTAATGACTTAAAAAGCGAGAACATCCCGCCACCTGGAGACCAGCCGTGCTTCCCCACACTCACCACTATCCCCTCTACCTGCTCCCTCCTCCCTAGAGCCACTGCACCTGCAGGTCAGTGAAGGATCAGGGTACAACTTGGGTTGCAACAGGGGCTCCTTAGGGCCTCCAGGGGCCAAAGACTGGCAGGAGAAGTGGCTTGGATAAGGGTTTGCTGAAGCCAGGCCTGTTGGGGGAAGTCCACCCCAGGCAACAGAGCCCCAGATCTCTCTGCTCTCCCTTTATGGAATGCCCTCCACTGCCCACCTGTGCCCACCTGCCACAGGGAAAGGGCAACCTTCCCATGTGCACTTTGGCCTCTAGGCCAAATGAGGCCTGACTTTGGCCCTCTGGCCTCTCAGCAGGAAAGGAGGGGAGTGCTTTCTCAAACACTCCATTGCTAAGGTAGTACTCTCAGCCAAGGCAGCACCATCCTTGGCCCTTGGGGGGCCCTAAACCTCATGACCTGATTGGACTCTCTTGACTGGGCACAGAGATGCTGCCCGAGTCCACAATTGGCAGCCCCTCAGCAGGGTTCAGCCACCCCCATGTCTGGCCCCTCCCACACAATGCCCACCAGCTGTGCTGGCCTCCACAGCCAGATGTGCTGGTTCCCGGAAGCAATGCGTGCCCCTCCCCATCCGGCTGTGCCAGCTGCAGTCCAGGTCACTCCAGCCTAGCTAAGATGCAGGACCAGGGAGGTGGTCAGGCACTCTGGTTGCCAGGGGGTTTCATGCCCTCAAACCCTTGCCCCAAGTCAGGCTGGGGATTGGCCAGGTGCCAGACATCTCTCCAGGCTGCTCACCCAAGTCAGAGCCTTCTACACCTGAGGGGTACCTTGCCTCACTGATGAGAAGCCTCATCTCTCTACCCTGCCTCAGAGCCTCCCTGGAAGGCCCCATGATGAAACCTGGGGAGTCCATCTGCGCCCCCCTCCCATGTCAATTCTTTCTATGCTGGGCAGCAGTGGGGGGGCCCAGACTGAGCAAGGGGGCACAGGCTCATGACCTCTAGGCTCCTCCTTTTGGTGAGGGAGTGTCCATGCCAGCCTCCTCTGTGCACTTACCTCCCCTCTTTCCCTTGGAAATAGACCCAGAGAGGGCGGGGGATCTGCCCAAGGTCACACAGGAGTTGGTACGGGAGCTCTGGGTGTCCTCCCACACCCCCTTGGCCCGGGTCATCCCGAATCCCCAGGCAGGGCGGCTCCAGCGCCCACGTGGCCCAAGGCCCAGGCGGGAATCCGACTCCCTCTTCCCCCCATTACCCAGCCCGAGGGCGGCGCCGTCCGGGCGCAGGGGAGCGCCCCCCTTCGCCGGTGCCTAGCAAGACCTCAGCCTCGCGCGCCGGCGCCCCCACCACAGGAATTTAACCCCCTCCCCACCGAGAGCAGCGCCACAGCGCCGCATTCCCGGCCCGCGGGACCCAGCAGATGGAGCCGGGAGACCGGGGGAGGGGGGAAGATCCCTCCAGCCCCTCCACCCGGGCCCGCGGGCCGTGTGCCTGGGAGGTCAGAGCTGGCAGGTGGGCGGATAAGCGGGGGGACAGGCAGGGCCCTGCGTACCATGGTGCCGTGGCGCTGGGGGCTCACAGGGCCCCGCGGGATCGCGCTGCCCCCGGCGGCCAGGCCAGGGCCGCTCCATGAAGCGCCGCGCTGGGGGCCGCCCCCGCGCAGGGCCCCGCGACCATGGCCCCCGGGGGCGCGGCCAGGCAGGCGGAGGCGCAGGGCCGCGGCGAGTCCAGCGCCAAGCAGCTGCGGCCCCAGAGCCTCGGGCGCGGCGGGCGGGGGGCGCGGGGCGCCGATTGGAGCCCGCGCGTCAGCTGGGGCCGCCGTCTGGACGCTTAAAGGGCCAGGCCGCCTGCGTGCCGGCGGGGGGCGCGGACACGCGTGGTGTGCGCGGTCCCCGTGCAGCCCGCCCTGCCGCAGGCTGCCCTCCACCCCCAGCCCCAGCTCCAGCCCCCAGCCCGTCCCCACTGCTCATATCCGAGCAGATAGACCCCGGCCCCACCCTCCCGTGCTGAGCCTCCTTTCTGCCGGGAAGTTCGTCCGGGAGTCAAACATCGCTGCCCTCCGGTTGCGCCACGGAGGGGGAGCCAGGATAGGAAGCTGCCGTGAAATCAGGAAGCTGAGCGCGCCGGGCCCCGGATCCGAACAGAAAAGGCTTCCACCCGCTCCCCTGAGGGATCCCACGCTGAGGGACTGAACCCCGCACCCCAGCCGCGCTCACCACCCCCACCCTCTCGCCTGGGCTGCTCTGACCTGGGGGTGAGTCTGGGGTCCCCAACTGGTCCAGTCCCCCATCCCTATCCCAGGGCGGCGCAGGGCTCATTTTGCTCTGTGCCTCCAGGACTTGGCTCCAGTGGACCCATACCTACCTGGCGGCCTCATGCTGCATAGGGCCACCCAGGGCAGGAGATTTAAATCCCAGGACTACAACCGCAGCGATCAAATCATCTAAGGTGACTGGCCCAGGGCCAGGAGACAGAGGGACCAGAGGAGTAGGGACCAGAGGCCCAGGCCCCACTGTGCCCCTCTAGCCGTGTGACCTGACCACTGCTGAGTGGCCCCCTTGCTCAGCCTCTGCTGGGGAGATGCAGCCAGGCTTGCGGAATGCTGCTCTGGCATGGACACCCGTGGGGGCAGGGGGCTGGCTCTGTTGGCAGGAGGCTGTAAAGGAAGGCTGCCAGGCTGAGCAGGCAGCAGGGTGGGGACCACGGGGCACTAGACCTGGCAAGGTCTGGATGGTGACTGGGCCACCATTGTAGAGGAGAGGCCTCTGTGGACATCCCCTCCTCCTACCCCAAGCTCACTACTGCCCATCCTGGGTCACTCTCATGTTGCCCCCATCCTGATATTCCACACCCCTCCCCACATATGTGCGCTTGTGTTTACATACAAGTCCATGTCCAGCTGCAGCAGTATCTCCTGGGTATGTTGTCCTACTCACGAGTGGGCAGGAACTCTGGCGCTGGCTCAGGGTGACTTGGTTCTAGGTGCCAGAGGAGAAATGGAGGAGAGACCAGGGTATTAGGCAGGTGCTGTGAAACAGCCTGATGGTCTGTCCTGTAAGATTGCAAGGGCCTCCTCCCCCACCCCCACTCTCTGCCAGAATACGTAGGGCCTCAGGATAAGGCTATCCCAGAGCTAGGGAGAAAATGTCTCAGGGGCCAAACCTGGGGCATCTGGAAGCCCCTGGCAGCTGCTGCAGACATCCTGTACCTGCATGGGTGCACAGACAGCTGGCCCAGCTCCCAGAGGCCCCAGGTTAAGGCCAGGCCAGAGCAGCTTACATGCTTCTGACCAGCTAGCCCGCTGAGGGCTGCCTTCTGCCTCTTCCTCCCCAGCCCACTTCCTCATCTGACTCACAGTGGATCCTAGCACCGGCCCAGGAGTTAGTTAGGGAGGGGCTGTGTGCCCATTGGTTGGATAAGGACTCTGAGGCTCAGAGCGGGACAAATCACTTAGGCATCAGCATCAGGAGCCAGGGGAAGGGGAGGTGGGGAGAAGGGACCCCTCCACGGGCTGGAAGAAGCCTGGCAGAGAGAGCTGCATGGGACATTGCTAGGCCCACTGCCAAGCCAAAGCTTGACAGAGGGTGTGGCCAGCGTGACTGAGGTAGTGATGCTGGCCCTATGGGGCCTTGCTGGGGCCTTAGCTCCAGCAGTCAAGCTGCAGAAAGGGCTGGAGGTTGGGTGAGAAGGGAGGGGACAGGTGGTGGGGAGGCACTCAGTCTCCCTGAAGGCCTCGGCTGTTCCCCTCTTGCTTCTCTGGCCTGCAGCTCATCAGCTGGGGAGTCCCAGGGCAGAGCCTGAGCTCTGTGAGCAGCTGTGGGCACCTGGCAACACTGGACCTGGCAGGAAGGAGTGGTTTGAAGAGCTGTCTGGTGGGCCCACAGGGCTGCTCAGAGCTGAGGCTTGAACTTGAACATTAACTAGAGCAATGAGGGAGTGAAAGGGCTTTCCAGACAGAAAGCCTGCAAAGGCCAGGAGGTGGAGACAATTTAGCATCTGCAGGGAACTAGAGGGGATTTGGTGTAGTGGAGTCAAGATTCCTATCGATCAGGAGTTGTCTGGTTGGTGGGAGTGAACAGGTGGAGCTAGGCAGAGGCAGAATTTCTCTCTTGGTCCTGATGAGGGGCATGCAGTAGGAGCTTCACTTCAGGGAGGTCAAGGCAGGCTTTCTGGAGGGAGGGACTGAGTTATTGGGGAGTTGACTCCTGGGCCAGAAATGCATGCCCCAGGGGTGAGTCAGGAGTCTGGAGACGCTCACCCAGCAAGGGCAGAGCTTAGTGATCCTTCACATATTTGGGATTGGGTCCTGACAAGGTCAGCAAAGCTATGCCCCTGCCTCTAGAAGACAGCTCATGGGTTTTCTCTCAATTTCCCTAAGTATCTACCCTCAGTGCTGGAGTGTCCCCAGGCTTAGTTGGGGAAACCAGATTCAACCCCACTGAAGTTAGAAAGAACAGCCCAGGTTGTGGGTATGCGTATGTGTGTGGGAACAATGCAGGACTGAGTCAGCCCGGAGGGCATGGAGCTGTGTGTAGCTGAGCCTGGGGAAGAGGGAGAGCAGAGTGGGCAATGCCAGAAAAATACAGGCAATGCAACTCAACTCGCACAGCATGTGGCCAGTGGGCTGGCAGGGAAGTTCAAAGCTACCCACTAGGCGCTGATCCGAAGCCCAAAGTTCTAGTAGGGCGGGAAAACATGAATCCCCAGGGTGTGGGGTGGGTTAAGGGTGGAGTTTACACCTGAATTCTGCCTCCACTGAACCCAGCACTAATAGGCTACAGCTGCCCTGGGTTGGGGGCCTCATGCAAACCGGTAGGTTGCCTGGTTCCCTCACAGCATAAACATCATGGCTTTGGCATTTCACGTCTCTCTTGCAGCTTCTAGGATCCTCTCCTGCCCTGTTGGTTCTGGGGGCCTTGGGCCTCTCCCTAGTGAGTGAACCTGGCTCCACACATGAACCCTCTGGGACTCCTTCACTTCTCCTAGAGTCACCACCTCAGGGGCCACCACCTCTGAACCACTGATGTATGCTTGGTTTTCTAAACGTTTAATACACCACAGTTCTAGGAGGAGGAATCCCTAGCATCCATTTTTCAGATGAGCTGAATTATAGAGGTCAAGCAAATTGTCCTCCTTCCAGTTACCCAACTGGGAAGTGGCAGAGTTGAACTTGAACCCAAGCAGCCTGGTTCTGGCCCAGAGACCTTAACGATTGTACCATAGCATAGTTGCTCATAGAAGTCCCCCTGCTTCTTCAAAATAAAACCAAATTAGGCTGGAGGCATTGAGGTCAGTGGGGACTCTTCTTAGGCTTTCTCTGGGAACCTGGCCTGATGGGAGATTTTAGTTGCTAGAGGTCCTAGGTGACCAGAGGCTGGTGAAGTGCCAGCCTATACACCCAACCCCTGTGGGCCAGGTCCACTGGGAGGCAGACTCGTCTGCAGGCTGGGAAGGGATGAGCACCCCTGGTTGTCTCTCATGTCTGAGTGTGCCAGTCATGTATACCCTCTTTCAGGGGTTTATGAGCCATAGGAGGCCCAGGATCAGGGCTCAAGATGCAGAATGCAGGTGTTTGTCCTGAGACCTCAGGTCACTCCATTTGTTGTTTCTCAGACAGGGTCTTGCTTTGTTGCCCAAGCTGGGCAGAGATGCAATCATGGCTCACTGTAGTCTCCACCTCCTAGGCTCAAGTGATCCTCCCACCTCAGCCCTCTGAGTAGCTGGGACTACAGGTGTGCATCAGCATGCCCAGCTGCTTTTTGTTCTGTTCTTGTCTTAATAGTCTTGCTATGTTGTCCAGACTGGTCTTGAACTCTTGGCCTCAAGCAATCCTCCTGCCTAGGCCTCCTAAAGCACTAGAAATATAGGTGGCCACTCCTTTTACCCTGATGTCCTCAAGGCTCTGGGCTGAAGAGATGCAACCCTCTCCAAGCTAGCCTGGGTTCTGCAGGCTGTGAAGCTCAGCTCAGTCTAGGGAGCTGGAGTTTGATGGGCTATAGTAAGTGGTGGGTCTGGGGTCTCCAAGAGGCAGCAGGCCTACCTGGGGCCTTCTGATTCACAGTGAGGAGTGGAGGCAGCAGCAAGGGAGCACTATCTCTACCTTGTACTGAAACTTTGAAAGAAAACAGACCACTAAAGCCTCCTAGCCCTGTGTGTATGTGGCCAGGGCAGGCTCTCCTTGCCTTGCACTTACCAGGCCCCGACAAGCTTCCCAGTCTGTCCTGAGATGAACAGGTGTTCTTTCAGGGTACCCAGCGTCCTCCCCTGACACCTCTGGACTCCTGAGGGGCCTTTACTGCATCAAAGAACTTCTCCCTGCTGTCTTCCCAGCTCATTCTACCACAAGGCCCTCATGGGCCTGCAGGCTCTTGCCTCACTGTGGGGAACAGCAGACTTGATTCTCTGTTCCAAAAACCAGAGTTCTCCGGAAATCTGAACCCAGTCCGTTTCACCTTGTGAGGCATGGCTTCCACATCCTTTCACCTGACCACATTAGTTTGCAACACTCCTTCAAGGCTCAGCATTTGCCTTGAAAAACTGAGTAGAGCCTCTTTTTTTTTTTCCAGTGGAGACGGGATTTCACCATGTTGGCCAGGCTGGTCTCAAACTCCTGACCTCAAGTGATCCACCCGCCTTGGCCTCCCAAAGTGCTGGGATTACAGGCGTGAGCCACCATGCCTGGCCACCTCCCGTCTCTTCTAAACAGTGATGCCCAGTTAGTGTCCATAATCTCTTGCAAGAGGGGCATTTTCCTTGAATTACCTTCCCGCCTATTTAATGCCCAGCTAATTCAGAAGAGTCAAGACCAAAGTCCTTGGCACATTTTCCCCCCAATACTGCCCAACTATCAAGTTTACCACTATCAGAACTTGATCCTGCATTTTCTTTACATTTTAAAGGAATGCATCCAGATTTGACAAATTTCAGGAGTTGCCCAACTAAGGAGTCCACTGTTAACTCAGTTTAAAAACTGAGTATCTGCAGTGAGAAGTTAACTACAATAAGTTATGTTGTATTCACTAAGAAAATAGACATTCCTTTCAGTTCTGAGGAGACAAAAGTTAATTGTACTTCCCCTGCAAATTCTTATGTGTATACTAAAAATATCACCATGAATGTTTTCTCTGGGAGTGAGTGACATGTGCTGCACTGCCTAGTGCGCTGCCGTTAGGGAGGGAAATGTAGAGGCTGTAGGTAAATGGACTGTCTCTAGGTAGAAACTCACACATGGGATGTGACATATTCCTCCCTCAGCAAAGACATCTTTATGCAGGTCATTTTAACTAGATGACAACAAAGTGTAGAGGAAATCTGGATTTTCCAGGGGAGGAAGACCAAACATCATTAATGCTTACCTGTGTAGGTTAAAATCTCTGCCTGACATTCTCTCTAGCTCCACCTCCTACACCCACCACTAACACTCAGCTAGGAGAAGAAAAGGAGCTGCCAAAGGAGATGAGGTGTCTTCACTGGCTGGGTCAGCAGAAAGATAAAACATGAACAGACTCAGACTTAGACTAAGTATATATTTTAATTTCTACAAGGTCCCCTTTCAAGTTTTAGGGAAATTTAACTGAAGTGTATACAAATTAGACATTGCTAATATGTACAAAAGTATTTTATACAGTTTTTGAACGATACTAGCTATTTGCAATAAACAGGATGTTACAAAAACAGTCCAATAATGCATTTCCTATTAAGAAGCACAATACACAACATAATTCAATTTTATTAAAAAATAACTTCAAAATGTAGAACAATCCCCTTTAGGAAGAAAAGCTATTTCTGTAGTTCACTCTGTCAGTAAACACACAAGTTGAACGCTGCAGCAGAGGGCTGTCCTTTTCCATGGAGAAAAGAAATGAGGCTTCTAGGGCCTATCTTTTCTGGGTAAAAATTCCACCTACAGCTGAGATGGGCAGTTATTGCCTGTGGTAGGCAGAATTTGAAAATGCCCCTCCCACTTTCAATGAGCTAATCTCCAGAACCCGTGAATATGATGAGATGAGACAGTACTCCTGCAATTATGTTCTATCGCACAATCAACCTTAAAATATATCTGTGGGCTTGAGCTAATCATATGCCCCTAAAACAGGAGGACGGGAGAGAGATATGAAGCATGAGAAAGAGCAGGAAGGCTGGTTTGAAGCTGGAGGGGACCACATAAGAAGGAATGCAGGCAGCCTTGAGGTGAGAGAGGGGCCTCCAGCTGAGAGCCAGCAAAGAACTGAATTCCGCCAACAACCTGAATGAACTTAGAAGCAGATTCTTCCCCAGAGCCTCCATGAAGGAATGTTGTCCTGCCAACCCTTATTTCAGCCTTTAAGACCCTGAGCAGAGAATCCAGCCACACTGTGCCAGACTCATGAGCTACAGAACTGCTATGGGTATTGTTTTTTAAACTGCTAAATTTGGGGTAATTTGTCACACAGCAATAGAAAACTAATACACTGCCCAAGGGTAACTTTTCTTAACCTAATTACATTTGGCAGTTTCTGCTTGGGTTCTGAATGCATTTTTTTCCTGCTGACTAGTAGTAATATTCTCCTTTGCAGGCAACCTTTGGAAACCTTTAATATAAATCATACTGTTTTGTATTCAGTATCCAGTATTGTTTGTTTGGCCTAAGTCCTGTTTTCTAATGTACTTTCTGTCTATTGACCTGGCAAACAACTGACCACCTTACCCTGTTTTCATACCTTCTTTGGGTGATAGTTTTAATACATTCAAGGGCACCCTCCCTCCACCAAGGGTTGTCAGCTCCCTCCAACTGAGGGCTCTTTTCCACTTCCCAAATACACCAGACAAGGCCTGTGGTAGGGTGGTGCTGAGCTCTACATCAGGCAACCAATATGAATTTCTTCTGCATAACTGGATTAAACTGGCACTAAGGTGATTAAGTACACTTGGGGAACAAATTCAAAGTAAAGATTAAAAAAAAAAACCACACACACACACACACACACACACACACACACACTAGTTTTTACAGGTCCAATTATTTTTGGAGGAACCACCCAAAGCCATGAAAATATGTAATTTATGCTATACCCTCTATCCCTCTTCCCCTGTCTCTTGCACCTGGGTCAGGTCACGCAAGGCTTTGAGTCAGCTGCAGGTCACAGTGGAAATAGGAAAAACATGCTGGTTACAACAGTTCAGCTGCTGTTGTGGTAATATCCTGTACTTGAAAGACTTGAAAGGAAAGCCCTGCAAAATGTCTCCAGGATGGTGGCAGTTAGATTTTTGATGTTACTTTTGAAGTCCATTCTTCACTCTTCCAGAGGCACACACACACAGTAGACTTGAGTGGCCAATATCTCTTACTGCCAATCCTGCCTGCTCCAGGGGACCCCAACCCACATCTGTACTTGAGAGAAGCCCCCCAAATAGTCAAAGTGAAGACAGCTCAGAATAAACCATTTTTGGTGCCAGTGATTTTGTCTGAATTTCATTTTTATGGTATTTTAATATATGATATATAAGAGTAATGCTTAAAGACGCACCAAAAATTACCAAGCACCAAAGCATGAAGTAGAATTGTTTTTATAACCTAAACTTCTGATCGGTATTGATTAAAAAGAACATAAAATAGTAAGTCCTCAGAGACAGTGCAGGTATTTATAGTTAAGGCTGATTGATTCTTCCTAACCTTGCCCACAAGCCTGAAGTAATACAGACTGTGTGGGATGTATGATGACCACTTTCCTAATCCTGTGAAGTATCAAAGAAGTTAGGAATGAATTAAGAACCCCAGAGCCACTGCCTTATACTCCTGGTTACCAACAGTATCAATTCTGGGTGGTTTGTTTTTAGAGCACATATGTACAAGACTCTATGTAATCAGTATATAAATATTTGGCCGCCTTTAACAGTTCTCCTTCACAGTTCTATGCTTGGCAGCATATATGCTAAAACTGGAAAAACAGGCAAAAAGAATCTGTATTCTAAGGGATACGTAAGATAGAGTGAAATAGACTTAAAATAATATTGCAAATTATACATAGATAAATTTCACGATTTCTTGATTCAAGAAAATGAAATTCATTTCCATAGTTGGCTACTGTAAAATGTGGCATAAAAATATTTTTAGGAGACATATCTGTATTTTAAATTCTTCTCCCCACATGTAAATGAACCAGTAACAATTAAGAAGTGTCTATTTTTGAAATTCACCTCTGATATTGAAATAGAACAACAGACTGTCATTACATTTCTTAAGCTAAGTTGCCAGATATTTACAAATAAGATATAATTTGTATCCGGACGTTTTCAACTGTATCTGCTGCTCTCACTGGGGCTCCGGTGATGAGAGTAACTTCGGTCACTTTCACTGTCAGAGCCATAAGATCTACAACTCCTGTAATAACAAAACAAAATATATAAAAATCTTGTAACTGTAAAATCTTTGAATTCCTCTTATAGCTTGTTTTTTATATGAGTGGCTTGAAAACATCAATAGTGTTTTCAAGCCACTCATATAACTGATGCACTATTGATGCAGCATAACACAGAGGTAGGGTACTGACTATGGCAACACCATGGACTTTTCTTTTTCTTTTTGAGATGGAGTTTCACTCTTTTTGCCCAGGTTGGAGTGCAACGGCATGCTCTCAACTCACTGCAACCTCCACCTCCCGGGTTCAAGTGATTCTCCTGCCTCAGCCTCCCTAGTAGCTGCAATTACAGGTGCCCGCCACCACGCCCAGCTAATTTTTTTTATTTAGTAGAGACGGGGTTTCACTATGTTGGCCAGGCTGGTCTTCAACTCCTGACCTCAGACGATCCACCTGCCTCAGCCTCCCAAAGTGCTGGGATTACAGGCGTGAGCCACCGTGCCCGACTCACACTATGGACTTTTTGAAGCTGTTTTAAATGACAAGTTGTAGTAATGTCAAGATTAAGATAAAATAAAGAAACATCACATCTTAGGAAATTTGTGTGAAATTCATTCATGCAAATGCTGGGACCACAAAAACAAAAAACCAATGAGCAGAATAGTTTCCCCATATTACCCAAAATGAGTATCAATATTTGAATAGATTACCTGAGAAAAGTAATGGGGAAAAGGTGCACAAATAGTTTCACTCAAGGAATGGAAACCAAAATGGGGTCCAATGAGGGGTGGGGGTGGCCCTGGGCATGAACAGGACCACTGGGATATTGAGTCAAGAGGACCTGGTCATGGGTCCCATTCAGTTATTTTGAAAAACATTCACTGTGAGCCAGGCATTTTGCAAGATGCTGGGAACACACACACACACACACAAAGACACAAAACCAAGTATAGTTCTCTGGGGTTCAAGGACAGAATAGAATAGTCAGCAAGACAAGTAATTTAGGAGCAAGGGGAGCCACAGTAGGAGCAAAGGGCTGTCTTAGAGGCACATGGGAGGGACTGTATCCTAGGATTAGGCATCAGGGAGGGCTGCCCAGGGACAGTGGAGATCTGCAGGGTAGATGGGAACTGGCCATTTCAAGTGGCAAAAGGGGAGATGGTGAAGAGGACACGTGTGTCTCCAGGCAGAAGGAAAAGTCCCAACACTTTAAAGGAGGGAAGCCAGAAAGAGTGTGAGCTGGAGTTGGTGCTGAGGAGGCTGGACCTGATCATGAAAGCAGCAGGGAGTCCTTGAAGAGTTTCAAGCAAGGGAGTATCCAGATCAGACTGATATTTACAAGCATCATTGCAGTTGCAATGGACAGGGGAAGGCAAGACCAGAAGCCACCAGAAAAGGACAGTACAAAAGTTAACATAAAGACTTTTGCAGAAGCCAAAATATGTTAAACATAATACATATAATACATAAAAAATGTATTTTACTAAATAATTGACAACATATAAACCTCAATCCTGCTGCTGAAGCAAATTATATTATGTATTTTTTTATTTAAAAAAAATGAGAAACTGGCTACTGCTAGCAAGTGGTTCTATTTAAGCAAGTGGCCATGGTTTGGGTGGCCTTCTTTCTTTCCAAAAGAAAGGTCTGTCCAAGATATGTGAATATTTAGAAACCCATTTTAGATTCAAACATTAATAATAACCAACAAATATTACCTGGCAACTCTTAATATAAAAGCCACTTTTAGTGGCTGCTTGTGGGTTGTTCAGATTTAAAGGAAGAAGTATTTCTGTCCTTGGAAGATTATACCACTTTCTCTTCCACTAGCAGCCCATCACCCTCCCACATCAAGTGCCCACCGTGGCCTACAGTGCGATAAAGGACGATAAAGGAGAGAGACCCACCTGGACCGCCGATTATAACTTCTGCCTCGGTGGTAACTGTCACTTCTCTGGCTTCTACTTCGACTCCGACTCCTGCTATAGTAGCTATCGTAGGTGTAGGACCTGCTTTAACGGCAACAACAAACACTAAATTTTCCCACTCAGATACTCATATGTTCCTATTTCTTTTTAGGATCTCAGGAGTGTTCTAGCTTAGAACATGGGCACTAGGTGACAGCATGAGGATATATTTCCAAAACAAGTACTGGAAACATTTAACAATTGCCCCAAATGAGACTTACCATAATTAAAGAGAAAAATGTTAATTTCTTTTCTGCATTGAAAAATATCACAAAGTTAACGAGTTAGTTTGAACCTGGTGGATCTCTGTAGGCAATTATATTCAATAAACACCTGCCATTACAATTTGATATTGTCATTTTTGACACTGGAGTACAATGGGCCAACAGATAAAACTTGTCGAACAGACCTCATTTAGAAAAGGTATGGTTTCAGGAGACAAATATATGCATTTAGTTACTCAATAAAATACCACTTTGAACAAACAGTTTACAAAACAAGATCTTTCAGTTCTGCCCCACTGGTGGTTTCCCAATCCCTGTTCATACCTGGATCGACTGTGGGGATCATATGAGCTGCTCCTGGATCTGCTCCTGCTGGACGTCCTAATATTAATCACATGAAGGACCATCATCTTATAGATCAGGGCAGGACAGGCTATACCAAATATCTAGACATTTATTTGCCCATCAAGGTGAAAATACAGTGAAATCCCACAGCTACATTTGTTTTGTTTTCATATCAAAAGTATATTGGATTTTTTAAAAAGCCTATTGGATTTCATAAGATCAAGTTTTATGCAGTTCTTCTCTGAGATGCATATAGTCACTAGGGAGGCTCTAAACTGGGTGGAGTTAGGGGAAAGGTCTGTACAGGTAGGACCTTTGTAAGTAAAGTGAAGTGACAGCAGTAGAAAATACCTCAGATGCAAAAGAGGGAAAGAAGCTAGGAGAACTAGAAATCTGGGGCCACCCTTCCCACCATATATATACTTCTTCCTCTTGGTCCCCTCTCTACAATCTTCCTATCCCAATCTCTAACCCATGTCAAGAGGTGAATGCAGATGTAAAACTTAGGTTAAGGAAGATGCATGTGGGGGAGGTGGAGGTAGGGGTCAAGGCTTCTTAAATATTTCTACTGCTCCTCTTGCCTCACTCTGATAAGATCCCAACAGAGGAATAGTCAAGAATTCCACAGCTCTTACATAGAAAAAACTACATGAGAAAATAGGCCAGTAGTATATTCAGTAATGACATGATTCTTCTCAACAACTACCCCCTCTGCCTATGTAGCCTTAAAAAGTGGACATGATGGAGACCACATCACAGGGTGAGATCACAAGCTCACCTGTGACTTTTGTAACTCCGGTAGGAACTGCTCCGGCTTCTGGTTCGGCCTCTGCTGTACCATCCTCTGCTCCGACTTCTAGAGTAGCTTCTTGATCTACAATTAAAGCAATTGAAAAAATATATAATTATGTTGACTCATCATGATATTAAAATTAATTACTGGTAGGGCAGAAAGGGGAAAACACAACAAGAAGAAAGGCCTCTCACAAACTCCTCACAGTGGATATGACAGTGTCAGCTAATGAGGAACTCTCAAAACAACCATGGTTAAAATCAAACAGAAGAAAATAAAGAAAAACAAGAAAAGATTGGCACAAGTATGTTCATAGAAGCCTGATTTATAACACCAATAACACTGAGAAGAAAATAAACCAAATCTCCACTAATGGTAGAATGGGTTAAAAAAACATTAAGGTAGAGATATATAACGAAATATTCTGAAGAAAATGAACTACAGCTACATGTTTCAGCAAGGATATATCTCTAGAACACAATGTTGAATGAAGAAGGCAAATGTAGAACATCTATATATATAAAAGTATTTTACTTAATAAAAAGTGCAAACATAACATTGTATAAAGATAGAAACACTTGGGGTAAAGCTATAAAGAAAGACAACAAAATTATAACCAAAGTTTAGAATAATGGTTAACTTTGGGACATAGGCATGCACCTAGGGGTGGCACTGGTACATCAAAGCTCTATTTTTTTTTTTTTTTTGAGGAGTCTTGCTCTGTCGCCCAGGCTGGAGTGCAGTGGCGCGATCTTGGCTCACTGCAACCTCTGCTTCCCAGGTTCAAGCAATTCTCCTGCCTCAGCCTCCTGAGTAGCTGGGATTACAGACACGCACTACCACGCCCGGCTAATTTTTGTATTTTTAGTAGAGACAGGGTTTCACCATGTTGGTTAGGCTGGTGTTGAACTCCTGACCTTGTGATCTGCCCACCTCGGCCTCCCAAAGTACTGGGATTACAGGTGTGAGCCACCACACCCGGCCCAAAGATCTATTTTTTAAGCTAGATGGCAGGTACATGAGTATGTATTATATAGCTTTTTATACTTTTATCATTTTTTATGTCTAATACTTAATAAAACAAGCAAAAATGTAAGCAGTACAATTCTGCCCCTCTGCATTCACTTGGCTCCCCACCCTTCTCCCCTACTTTAGGCCTGTCATTCAGGAACAGAACAATACCTCTGTGTACAGGTGACATTATGTAATATCACCATAGGTTTTATTCAGTATGCACTATGTTTTGGAAGACATGACCTGCTTCCAGTATATCTGCAAGAAAATGAATACGTTATGTTCTAATAAGATTGTAGTCATTTATTCAACCAAAAATAATAAAGCCAGACCCTGTGAGGTGACTGAACGATGAGTAACACACAGTTCCTGACTTCAAGGAGTTCACAGCCTAATGGGGGTGTCAGGCCCAGGCAGGTAACCAAAACAGGGAGGCAGGGCAGCACCCAGGCTTATCCATCTCAGTCTACTACCTGTTAGCTGCATAGCCTAGAACAAGTCCCTTAGCCTTTCTACGCCTTGCTGTCTTCATTACAAACTGAAATACCACCCACTCCAAGGCAGAGGTGGGAAGGTAAATGAGAAGAGTGGCCAGCATCACGAATAGCTCAGAGCTGTCTCTGTGTAAATGGTTAAGGCAGATCATAAGCAGACAGGAAGCTGGAGTCGCTCAATAGGCAACTGCATCTATCAACAGGAACTCAGAGAGAAAAGGCCATGAGGAAGAAGAGAAGCCTAGAACACAGGGACGAAATGGCCTGAGTGGGAGAAAGGAGAGCTAGCAGAGGGCTCCAGAAGTGAGGCTGAAAATACGCCATGGTACTGGCCATCAGAAGTACCTGAAAGTCTTAGTCAGTAAACTAAGAGATGCGGGGAGGGGAAGGCACAGAAGGCAGCAAGCACACAGCCGAGGAGAAAATGGGAGACCGAGTATAGATGGCACGTGGCGGTTCCTTTTTTAGGAAGTCTGGGTAGGCAAGGGAAGAAAGACTGATGAATAACTAGAAAGGAAACAAACGTCAAAGATTCTTATGGTATTTTCAGTTCAAATGATGAATATCAAGCACAATAAAATAAGGGATATGAATAATTAAGAAACAGGTAAAACCATAAAATATTTACAAGAAAAAGAATGCAACACAACTGCTTACTAACTTCCTATTACCATCACAAATATTTTTAGTTTTTAATTCTCATCTCTGTTATCCATTCTATGCTGACAAGTTATGATGCAATTTATAACAATAACAAAAAACCTTTTCATGAAGGTGCAGAGTGACAAAGATGAGAAAAAGGTGTTTTAAATTCTTTTATTGCTTTTCAAACAACAACAAAAATCTAAAGATGATCATTTTTATCCCTATGCCCCATCTAAACTAAGATGCATGTCTTGGGCAGGTAACTTTGTCTCTCTGGCCCTCAACTTCCACATGTGTAAAATGGAAGGTTAGATTAATGATCTGCAAATTCTATATATTCTGTCAATTCAGGATTCCCTTCTAAGGCATCACTTGACTGGCAAGAAGCAGCCTCACACCTTTAAAGATGGAGAATTTACCACCTATCATGGGAACTCATTTCTAGTGACAGAGAGCTTTAAACTGATAGTAATAGTTTTGTAAACCCAGCCCAAATTTCTCCTCCTGAAATTCCCTCTCCCTAAGTTTTCAATCTACTCTCTGAATCACACAAAACAAGACTTCTTATTCCTTTCAGATATTTGGAAATAGTGATTCTGTCCCTAATTCTGATATTCTTCCAAGCTAAACAATAACAGACTCTCCTTGGGAGAAGAAAGGAAAGAGAATATTGCTCACCGATAAGATGATGTGGAACTTCTCGATCGACTTCTTGAGTGACTATAGGAGACAGACCTTGTTCTGTGTCTTGATTTGGTTTCAGATTTACTTCGAGATCTACTTGGACTCCTGGACTGGCTATCATCATCCCGACTAGGCGTCTGCTCATCACTTGAACTCTCCTGATTTCTTGGTCTACGGTTTAAGCGTGCTGTCTTTCTTACTTCATCAAAGAGAGACCCAGGCCGAACTTTATTTTTGCTTTTAATTTCTATTCTCAAGCCTTGTGGTTTCATTTCAGGCACAGTGGTCAACACCTTAACTTCCACAGCACTGGATGTGGCAGCATTAGGTGCTGCCAGGTTCCCCACACCTTGCAGGGGCTTCCATTTCTTATCAATGAGGTTGATCTGGCTCTTCTCAGCCACCTCCTTCTTCCCGGTACTTTCTCCAGCACTAGCCAAGCTAGCAGAGCTGCTGTCCTGTTTCCCCACTTCACCCAACACTTTACTTTCGGACATGCTGCTTTCCTGTTTTACTACCTCTGCTTGAGGATGTTCCGTTGCCATATCCTGCTTCAAAACAATGTTTATATCTGGGGTATCAAGCCGTGCATTTCCTAGAGGGGAAGTCTCCTCTACTTTTGCTGGGGAACTCCTATCAGGAGTGCAGATCTCCATGTTGTCATCTGTTTGAAGCACATCTTCCACTCCATTGGGAACACTTTCTTCAACGTGCTGAATGTTTTGTAAACAGGCCACATTTTCCTCAGTATTTAAAGCTGTGGGAGAAATACTGAGTTTACTATCATCTTTAGTAAACTGATCAAGATCTGATGAAACAGTCACTGTATCATGTTTACCTGAAAGGTCCTCTTCACTGGATTTCTCAGTTTTTAGAATATTATCTTTTATGGTTTCATTGTTTTCAGAAACTTTTTTCTCTTTTGATTCCTGAGTAACTTGCTTGTCATCAATCTCCTCCTCCTCCTCTTCACCAAATTCTAGTGGAGGCTGCCAGTGAAATGCTTGCTTTCGTTTTGGAGCCTTATGCTTTTTGTCTTTTTTCCCTTTCAATTTCTCTTTCACTTTTTTGGTGTGTTCTCTTTTAAGATTTTCCTTTGACCCATGTTTGTGCTTTTGTGGCTTTCCCCTATTGTTTTCCGAATTGGAACAGGACCCCTCAGAGTCAGAAGTTGATGTGCGCTGTTTGCTTGATTTCCAAGCACCATTATCATCAGGCAGTGAAGTATTTGTGGACGACTTGGTTGTGGGTTTGACTTTGATGTGAATTTCACTAACCTCTGATTCAGAATCGGATGTGGCCTCACCTTCTTCCTTGTCAGAGGATGGATGGGAGTCATTTTTACTGTTTTTAGTGACATCTCGTTCTGAATTTGACTCAGAGTCCCATTTACTACCAGCATAATTCTTCCTTTTGGGCTTACTGCCATTTCTAAGGTGATCAGAAAGATTCTCTTTCAAAGTTCTTTTTTTTGAATGAGGGCATTCCCGTTCAGACTTGGATTTTTCTTCACCTCTGTTTTTTTCTTGTTTATTATGTGTTCTTTCCATTTGGCCCTGCTTCTCTTTTTCCTGGGCTGACTGTGTGGCCTGAACACTTGACTGCTCACTGTCTGAAGAATAATCTAAAGATGATCTGCTCTCGCTATACTTTCTCACACATGAAGACCTGTCTCTACCTTTGACATATTTACTGTGAAGTGTCTTTTCAGAGCTGCTGCTATGCTTTTTATGTGAAACGCTATTTTTTTTCCCACTGGATCTAAGTCTCCTCTTAGCTCGCCTTCCATCATCACTGCTAATAGAAGTATATGAAGATGATCTACTACACTGTGAATGATCACTGTATTTATTTCGTGAATGAGATCTAGATGATGGAGACCTAGACCTTGAATGTGAACTAGCTAGACTACGTGATCTTGTATATGATCTGGAATAAGATCTACTCCTAGAAGATCTGCTCCTTGACCTTGGTGAGCTTTCTGAACTTCTATCACTGTATTTTGAATAAGTGCTCTGATCACTTTCCGAATTTTTTTCTCTTTTATGGTAGGATGATGAGCTACCAGTCTCTTTAATATTTGCTAAACTGTAAGTGCTTTGGATGGGTAGCAAATGGGTTGTTTTAGCTTTCATTTCCTGAATTCGCTCATAAGAGGGCTTCCAAGGTTTCTGTCCAGGCTTCCATCTTGAAGGGGGGGGACTGTCACTCAGTGGTATTACAGGAATATTTTCTGCTACAACTGGTTGTACTACTACATTTTCATTTTGTGCCATGGTTGCTCTTAAAGGTTCTGTTTTAACTGGTTTATTTTCACTTAACTGAGAAGCTGTTTTTCTTGGTGATTTTGATGCTCTCTTTCGGTGCCCAGACTTGGAACTAGATCTGGACTTTGATCTACTTCGAGAATGTGATGAGGACTTTGACGCAGTCCTTGATCTTGAGCTTCCTCTAGAATAAGACTGTGAGTGAGATTTTGATCTGTATGAGTCTCTGCTGGAATGGGTTAAAGAGCTCTGGACATCCTTATCAGATTTAGACCAGTCTCTCTTTGATGAGTGATGAGATGACAATGAGGAAGAACGAGAACTCCTTTCTCTATCACAAGAGGATTTCATTCTTCGAGTGGAAGATTTTGAGGATTCTATGTCAGACGGTATAAGAATCCTTCTCTTCTTTGTTTGTTTGTGTCTTCTGCAGTGTTTCTGCTTTTTCCCTTTCTTTTTATGCTTAACCTTTTTTTCTTTTCTGCGTTTTTTATGGTGGCCAGAGTGTCTTGCTGTACTAAGGTCTGAATAATATCCATTATAGGACCATGATCTGGATCTCTGAGACAAGCTTCTTTCATCCCATCGGCTTGAACAGGGGTCACTTAACCTATAGAAAGGACATAATATTCATGCGGTGATTTATAAGCATGTTTTCTACACCTTAAGACACAGCTTTGTTAACAACAAAGTTCTTGACCCCATTAACACTTTAAGCACACGCAGGAAGCGTGAATCAGAGTTATAGGCCTGGTCTTGTTATACTTTCAGAGACACACACTAAGAACTACTAACAAATTCACTTACAAAAGGATTTTTTTTTTAAGCTAAGCAAAGAACCTTACATTTGTTAGGAAAATGTTTTTGAAAAGCAAACCAACTAATCACAAGAACACTGCTGAACTCAAATCACAAGAGTTCCTGGCTGTTATCTGCTCACAACCCTCTGCCTCTAGGACAGTTTTTGAGGGTGAGTCAAACCAAGGTCTCAAACAATTTGTTGATTTTCTGAAGATGCAGGATAGCTGCTTGAAACTAGCATGAAGCTTGTTTTTTCTCCACCTCAGACAGGTAATCCAGATTTCCCCTAAGACTGTAAACTACTTAAAACAGAAATTGAGGAAAAAGTACACAAAAACAGATACAGGTTACAATCTGAGTGTTAATGTCAAGGCTCAGAACTGAAAGTCCTCAGCACCACTGTGTCTGAGCCGCTTCTACACAGCAGATGCATTCCTTTTCCTCCTTTTCACAATTCCAAACCACTCTGCAGGATGTCCCCAGAGAAAAAGAGAATACTACCATGGAAGATTACACAGGGTCCCATTAGTATATTTTTCACTAGCTATTCTGGGGCCTATCCCCTTCCTAAAATAAATATTCAACTGTGGGACATCACTGAAGGTAAGAGATGTGTACACTTCTAAAAAAGCAAGTCTCTGCGATCAACAGTCAACATGAACACCGAGTGCAGGTTTTCCTATTTACCAATGAACTCATCAGTGACCTGGCTGGCTAGGAAAGAATCTGCTATATAATTTCTAAGTCCTAATTATTTTTTTTTTTTTTTGAGACGGAGTCTCGCTCTGTCACCCAGGCTGGAGTGCAGTGGCACGATCTCAGCTCACTGCAAGCTCCACCTCCCGGGTTCACACCATTCTCCTGCCTCAGCCTCTCTAAGTAGCTGGGACTACAGGCACCCGCCACCACGCCCGGCTAATTTTTTGTATTTTTAGTAGAGATGGGGTTTCACTGTGGTCCCAATCTCCTGACCTCGTGATCCGCCTGCCTCGGCCTCCCAAAGTGCTGGGATGACAAGCGTGAGCCACCACGCCCGGCCTCTAAGTCCTAATTATTTCTAAAATTGACTAAGAGGTCATTAAAAGACACAGGCTTATAGTTTTTGTTAAGGAAAACAGGATTTTGATTTAAAAGCCCAACTAGTTAACAGTACTACTTTCATCAAGTAGTCCCAAATGTATTTCCTTTGGTCACAGTCTGACTGTGAATCTTTCACTGAATCTTTAATGAAAAGTCCAGAATTGTATCCAATCCCTTTAACATTTAAAATATAACAGACACAGGATTGTGCTTATACTCAAAGTTCTTACTTATCTCCTTTACTCCATTTTTCTCCACTAGGTGGTCTATATGCTCTTAATCTCTGCATTTCCTCTTTCCAGTGAGGAGGAGTTTCACTGCTGTCATCATCATCTGACTCAGAACAGGATCTTGATCTTGGAGGTGTGTGATAGCGCTTTAAAAACAAAAACAATAGTATTTTAAAAAATGCCTCTCCACGACAGTCTGCTATGTGACAGAGTTAAGTAAAAGACCCAATCTCAGATCATCCCATCAAAGGTAATGATTGAAGTTACCAAAAGGATGGTCTAAAGTTCTTTTTTTTTTTTTTTTTTTTTAGTTTTTAACTTTTATTTTAGGTTCAGGTGAAGTTATTTCAAACAAGGCATTAAAAGAGATGGGCAAGGCTGAGATTCACCTGTAATCCACATAAAATTTTCCTTTTTAAAGTCTTAATGATTTCTCAGCATACTCACTGATGGTTTCACATGTTCCTCCTTTCATACTCAATTAAACCCATTCAAACACAGCAGTATACTTTGATCTAACAGCAATACCTTCCCATAACCATGGAAAATACAATTAGTTCCTTGAACAGATTTTGTATTATATCTAAAATTAACGCTAGGACTTTGAAAATAGGTAAAAATTTTTTATTAGATACATAATATCAAAAAAAGTCTTATCACACATACAATTGTGCCCCTTCCTTTAATCTTCCGTCCAGACTTTGATACAGATGGTTTCTGATCACTTACAATGGGTGCAACATCAGGAATCTTCCTAGGAAAAGAAGATTGTGATGAAAATTAAAAATAAGCAAAGAAGCTAGAATTTTTAATAATGAAAACACATTATGTTAAGCTATTAATTCAAAGATACATGCCATTTTGCAATAGCTTTTTAAAACAAGACAATATCAGGCTTTAAAAAATATTTAATGAACTAAATGATAACTTTATGCAGAGAGCTAATTATAAATAAGGACTCTTATACTTTTCAGCTTTCAAAATAACTCTTCATAGGGAACTTATCAATGACACCAGCCATTATGATATTTCTGTTCATGAAACATTTTCTTTCAATAATTCTAAACTTGAGTCTAACACACAAAATACATTAAATACTATTTTCTCAGACCAAATCTAAAGCGACACATTCACTTTTCCAATGCAGGAAGTAATTGTTGAACAAGTTAACAAAAGTAACTTATTTATGATACTAAATTGTATCTCCAATCATCATGCAATTAATTATGCACTATTCAAATTGGAACCCATGCTTCATCACTCAAATGGATCCAAAGAATTCAACTAACTCTCTATTCTGATAACTAAAACCTCACCCCTCTAATAAAAGGCAAAGGCAAGAAGATCAGGAATAAAATCTTTCCAGATCCCCAATAAGGGCTTCCCTGACCAACTTGCCCAACCTCCTCTCCCTGCTAGAATGTGAATTCTGAAAGGTAGGGTACATATCACTCAATAATCTGGTATCCCCCATATTTCCTACGTATCATTCATTAATCTAATACTCCCATACTATCTTTCAATGTGCTTCAAACATGGATCATGTTCCATACATGAGTGTGGAATGCAATGAGCTGACGGAACAGTGTTATCGGAGAAATAAAAATAAATAGTTTAGTCATCCTACTTACGGTTCAGGTTCTGCAGTAACAACAGGCATATCTCTTCTCAGTAAAAATCGGTTCTCAGGCACTGGAGGAATCTCTTCTGGGCGGACCACAGGTTTTTCCCTTTTAGCACTGGAATCAACTGACCTTTTTTCATTGGTATCACTCCTCTCAGAGTGACTTAGAACAAACCAAGTCACTGATTAAAATGTATAATGTTTGCATTTCATAATAAAAGCACATAAAATTAGTTACTAAAACAACAGCATAATTAACGATAGCTTACAAGTCTCACTCAAAAGAGTTATATGATTTTCACAAAGAGAACAATATCAACCCAGTGAAAAACCCAAAGACTAGAATTTTGATAGGAAAATTGTTAAATGATCCTAACTTTTTTATTTTAAGAGTTCCAGGAGGCCAGGCATTGTGGCTCACACCTGTAATCCCAGTACTTTAGGGGTCTTAGGTGGGAGGATTGCTTGAGGACAGGAGTCAGAGACCAGCCTGGTCAACATAGCGGAAGACCCTGTCTCTACAAAAAATTTAAAAATTAGCCAAGCATAGTGGTATACGCCCGTAGTCCTAGCTACTCAGGAGGCTGATGCAGAAAGATCTCTTGAGCCCAGGAGGTGGAGGATGCAGTGAGCTATAATTGTGCCACTGTATTCCAGCCTGGATAACAGAGCAAGACCCTATCTCTTAAAAAAAGAGTTCTTAGGACTATTTTCACCCGAAAACTGAAAACACACAAATCTTTGAAATGAAATGCCTATGCTACCTACTCCTAGATTTGCCAGATTTCAATTTAAAGTTTAAAAAGTGCTATCCTTTTTCAATAACAGGTAATAAAATTGAGTTTATAGAATTATACATACTTTTCCCATTCCAGAGTGTTTGTTTTTAGGTAAGAGTACATTGGTGTTTTACACGTACCCTTTTGGGTTCATTGCATGTTTATTCCTTGGCTCTTCTGAACTGCTTGCTTCCTTTCGCCTCTTTTTAGAACGTTTAACTTTTGGCCTCCTCTTATGTTTCCTCCTTCTGCTTCTCTCATGTTCAAGTTCACTTTCTGAAGATGATTCTGAAGAAGAGGAGGAATTGGAAGAGGAATCCGAGCCTTCTGAATGAGTTGGTTTCTTCCTTTTTTTCTCAAAAACTTTTAAGAAACATTAATAAAAACATTAGTACTAAATTCAGTGCCTACCTTTCAGAGTAAAAAATGTGATTACTGAATATCATAAAATATGCTTTACATACAGCAAACAAAAAATGAAATGTAGACAGTTTTTTTCAAGTTTATAATAAAATTACTGGCAAGATTGTAAGGTAGTAAGTCCCTTGTCTTTATGAAGCCTATATTCTTGTTGGGTCAAGTAACAAGAAATAGGCCCGGTGCAGTGACTCATATCTGTAATCCTAACACTGTGGGAGGCCAAGGTGAGCAAATCACTTGAGGTCAGGAGTACAAGACCAGCCTGGCCAACATGGTGAAACCATGTCTCTACTAAAAATAACAAAAATTAGCCAGGCATGGTGGTGCATCCCTATAATCCCAGCTACTCCAGAGGCTGAGGCAGGAGAATCACCTGAACCCAGGAGGCAGAGGTTGCAGTGAGCCGAGATAGTGCCACTGCACTCCAGCCTGGGTGACAGAGCAAGACTCTTGTCTCAAAAAAAAAAAAAAAAAAAAAAAAAGAATTGCATAATATGACAAATGATTAAGTGCTAAGACAGAAAAACAAAGCAGTGTAAAGGGAATAGGAAGACTAGGGGTAGTTTAACATAACATTTGAACAGAGACTTAAGAGCAAGGGACAGTGTCATGCAGATATCTTAACAAAGGGTGTTCCAGACAAAGAGAATAGGCAGCACAAAATCCCTGAGTGGTTGGCATGTCTGAAAAAAGGTCAATGTGCCTGGAAGGCAATGAATAAGGGAAAAGAGTTTAGAGAGACAGCAGAGAGCCAGACCAGCCAGGGCCTTAGAGACCACCATAAAGACTTCTGCTTTGGATGATTGAAGATGGGAGTCCTTGGAGGGTTCTGTGCAGGCGTGACATGAATGCAAACTATGGTTCAAAGGGATCACTCTGGTTGCTGTTAAGGACAGACCACAGCGGGCCTAGGATATAAGCAATGAGACCAGTTAGGAGGCTATTGCTGCTGACAAAAGATTATAGAACGGAGGCAAGGTAAACAGTTACGACGCTACGGCAATAATCCAGACACAAAATACTGGTGGTGTGGATAAGGCTGGTGGCAAGGAAATAAGAAAAAGTAAGATCTGACAAGATATGCTAAAAGATTAAACATGTAGGGTATGATTCAGGGGCACCAAGGGCTATTGCTATACCACTAGTTCCACTAATCAAATCTAGTTACAGTCTTCAGCAATGCTTTACCTGCATCTTAGCTTCATCTACTGTCAAAAAAGTTCTTACCATCTTTTATTGATTTTGTGGCAAGTACTCCACAGTCAATAACTCGCACATCTGCATATGGTCTGCTTGCAGCATCGGTCTTCAGATTTTCAATTTGTTCGATTACTTCAAAACCAGAAATAACCAGTCCAAAGACTACATGCACCCTGTCATAATACAAATTCAAGAAACAACTGGTTTGATAATTAAGCTATAAACAGTAATCAAGACAATTAACTGTAATCAATGACATGTCCACAGACCTGAAAATAAAACCAAACTGTTTGTTGTATGAAGCAACTAGAATGGAATGAGAACTTGAAATCTGCTTCATAAAAGGAAACGATTATGCAAACTGGGCCTCAGTTTTCTGCCTTTAAAACAATGGTTCTTAACCATTTTAGGGTAAAGAGTCTGGTAACATTCAGATTTCGCTTGGTACTTGGGAACCTTCCTTACAGGGACACATGATATTGTACTGCTTACTATCCGACCCATTTTGGAAAACTGAAGAGAAAAATAAAAAATAAAAAGAATTATATTGCTGAGAAGCCCATCCATGAGCACAGATTGACTCCTTCAGTCACATGAGAGCCATGGGGTCTCAAAACAAGTATATTCTGTGATCCTAAGGAATAGCTTTTGCTATGAGATTAAGCCAGACATCAAGAGCGCTCCCTTGAGGGCTCAACCATGGTCCAATCTCTCTTTATGGCTGGCCACCCAAACACTTCCCCAATGTAGTAAGAATGTAACTCTTACCCATCCAGGTGTGGAGCAGGCTTTGTGGTACTATGTAATAAACATCAACACAAAGATGATGTCAAACACGATGTGTTCAGGTGAAGAGAGCAGAAAGGTTTAAACACAGCATGTAGAGAACAAAGAAGTAAAGATAAAAAGATAGGGGAAAAAGTTAAACATGATATATATCTAACCTTAAAAACCCCAAAACAGCAATAGTAGCCATCTTACTAATTTAAAAAACTCAAGATTATAATGAATTACAATCATCTCTATTAGACTATATGTATGCATACATATGAAATCAGTTTGACTTGTAGCCATAAATACACAGCATGAATACACATAAAAATTAAAGTTACTCTCAACTCCAAAACAACAAAACAAAACACTTAAAAAAAAAAACCCTCAAAATTTATCAGCGTAATTAAATAAGAAAAGCACCTCCTATTTGCCCTATGGAAAGAAAGTGATTAACATTTGCCCCAAACACTTAAATGTTTTCTTGTTATTTCTCATACTGAGTCAGTCCACATTTTTAGGCAGGCAGAGGTAGGTCTCAGGAGTTCTGTTTCCAGAATTCCTGCCCATCTTCCTTCACCCAAGGTGAAGCTCTGACACGGCAACTCTGAAAATGCGATAGGGAGAAAAGCTTCAATCTGCCATCCCTTCTGACAGCAAAAAGTAATGATGGATAACATTGCAGACATTTTAAATTTCCTTGGCCCAGAAAACACCCAACCAGCTTCTTCTACAGTCACCAACTGTCAGACAGTCACTCTTGGGAAGCCTACAGGGTATATTTGGTTAAGATATTTTGAACCCAAGCTAGTTTTCCCATAGCATTTTCACAGATCTTCACATTATATGAATTGCAGTGGAAAAAATTCAAAAGCAGATAATTAGTCTCAGAATTATATACTA
Organism: Homo sapiens; assembly: GCF_000001405.40. Lineage (NCBI taxonomy): Eukaryota > Metazoa > Chordata > Mammalia > Primates > Hominidae > Homo > Homo sapiens. Next base: position 42,629,669 of record NC_000003.12, on the reverse strand, counting down.
CAAGCATCTTGATTTATAAGAATGAGAAACAGATATTTAAGAGCTAGAAAACAGAAATTTGAAAGAGAGAAAAATATCACTAGATGTCAGGCCATGTTAAAGCAGTCAACTGTACTAGAAGCTGCCATATAAATTTCTGTATTCATTTTAAGGCAATTTTAAGACATGTAAGTGAACAAAACCCAGTTTTTAACCTTCGTAACAATGCTAAAAATATTTATTCTACAAGGATTTGTAATGCTTATACTTACATTAAGAATATTCGGTTCTGTAAGAGCACTACAGAATTTAATTTAAAAAAATTAAAATGTCAACTTAAGAAGTTCCAGAATTTTAAAGGAAATATTAAGTTTTAAAAGCAAAAATCTCAAATATTCCTTAGAAGATTGAAAAGTGGAAATTCATGCCAATGTAATTATAAAAATAAAAACAGGCAGCAAAAAGAAAACAGAACAAAAACTATCTAGTGAATTAGTGAGCCACTAGTGTTTAAATCATTAAACTAGCATCCAGAAACCACCTTGGATGGTAACTTCAAGATAGAAATGTGCTTTAATTATAAAACTTTACCAAAGTACACTAAAGACAAGAAATTGGTACAGAAGCTAGTGACTCTATTATATGAAAGATGTAAAGAGTGCTTTTATTTTTATTTGTTTGTTTATTTTGAGATGGAGTCTCACTCTGTTGCCCAGGCTAGAGTGCGATGGCATGATCTCGGCTCAATGCAACCTCTGCCTCCCGGATTCAAGTGATTCTCCTGCCTCAGCCTCCTGAGTAGCTGGGATTATAGGCATGCGCCACCAGGCCCATCTAATTTCTGTAATTTTAGTAGAGACGGGGTTTCACCATGTTGGCCAAGCTGGTCTCAAACTCCTGACCTCAGGTGATCCACCTGCCTCAGCCTCTCAAAGTGCTGGGATTATAGGCATGAGCCACCACACCCAGCCAAAAGGGCTTTTAAAAAAGTAAATTTTTCTACAGTGTAAGGGATCAGCCCCAAATATTTAGAAGTAAAAACGATGTATGGTTTCCTGATTAGATACATTCCTTCTCCTTCTTTGATCCGTTCCTCCCATGACTCACAGATCCTGCAGTATTGGGGAAAGCCTGCAAATTTTTCTTAAAACATAAAGAGCCCAATTCAATTTGCCATCTTGGCTGATAGAAAGGCTGTAAAAACCACTTTATGGCAAACCTTTGGAGAAAATGGTGGAATAAAACATTCCAGAGTAGTGTAGCGATGCAGCAACATACTACTTGAGACTCAATTTGAGGATGGAATAGCTATCTTTATGACATTCAAGTTTAGTTTTTAATTCAAATGAAAACTGCCAAGAATAGGCAAACTTGGTCCTTTATAGCAGTAGTGCAGAAAACAAATGAAGACACGAATGACTATTTCAAGGACAACTCAGCCTGCCCATAGTGCCTAAACCTGATATGAATGATTAAAGTCCATTACTTGCATCTGCAACTCAAGATACAGAAATATAAGTCTGCACTTTAATTGGATTAGATTACATATTAAGAATACTAAAAGTATTTAACAAAAAGAAGCCCTCTGGGGTTCTCAACCTACATTCCAGGAGTAGAAATCCCAATGTAAAGCAGGGTTACTGGCACTTGGCTAATACGTGGATGAACAGAGGACATTAGCCAAAGAGGGTTACAAAAGGGCGGAGAGAAATAATATCCACAATCCAGACTATTCAATTCTACTAAAAGAGGCAGAGAGCTCATCTCACTAACTCTTAATCTTTCAAAATCTTCAATTAAAAGAAAAATTGCATTGATCTTAAAAGCGGCTGTTTAAAGAGCTGTGCAATGGTGACACATGCTCAGTAAGTTAAGGCCAGAGGCTATCAAAAATGTTTAAATTTATATATGCTTATGAAAACATACCTAAAAAAGAAAAAACCACAAAGAACATTTCAAATTGTAAAACCTTTCAATATTTATGCATTTCCATTTTTCTCTTGTACTTAAAGACAGTGATTTTTCAGTTTTCCCGACCCCTGAATCTACTTTAAAAAACATGTGTGCAAGGTATTTAAGCCTTATAAATCTTAGAAATTGACAAGTGTCACTGCTACTCCAAAAACAATCTATAGTTTTATACCATTATCAGAGAACCTTTTGCCCTTATACAGAAATGACTAATTCCACACTGAAATGAGAACTAAAACCATACTATAAACTAATAACCCCACTCCCCCACCAGAAGATGTACAGGAACTTGGTGGAAACAAGCCACTGAAGTTAAAATATAGTTCCCAGGATTAACCATGAAAAATAAAATGCACTTGTTTTACATGTACTGCTGCTATACAGATAAAGCAGAAAGTTTTTTTTTTTCTTAAAATGTTTCAATGCACATAACAACAGAATTAAAGAGATAAAGGCAAAGAGAGAGAGAGCCTTAGAGTAATGAGACATTACCTTTGGAGCGCACGGTGTAACACTCTTTCTGTAAATTTTACACAAAAATGGCAAGAAATAAATTGTAATACACTTTTAAGACAAGACTGAATCTATGTTTTAATATCAATATAACTTTGAAATTAATTATTTTCAAGTTTTATGCAGAGCAAGAAAGCTTTTTTAAATGGAGGGCTCTAAATTTTCTTTCATATGGGATATTTACGTAGAGATGAATTATGCTTAAGAAAAGCATCGTGGCTAAGTGGGAATCTATTTAGATCCTTAATATTGTAACATAGAGTGCCAATAATAGCTATTAACATATTACATTTCCTTTCACAAATCCCAGAAATTAGCTAAGACAACATTTTCTCAAAAGAGAATAGTGTATCTTGCATACATACATAAATATAAAAATCTGAATGCCCAGGACCAGTTACTACCAGTTGAAAGCAAAAATTTCATTAGAAAAAAGTGAGTTAAGATCATCCAAAATAAAATTTCAAGGAACTTTTAACTAATTCACATCAAATAATTAAAGAACCTTTCATGCTTCTACATTTGAAACCTTTGTTTGGTGACGTATCACAACAGACTACTTTCAGGAGTTAATGAGCAAATGTTCGGACCCTAGTTACTGTTCAGTGATATTAGATACACATTGAAGTTAAGTCACTGAACATAATAATAAAGCAGCATTAACTACAATTTTAGGGACCTTCTCAGAGAATAAAAAGGCAAGAGAGATGAAAGCGTAAGTGCAGTCAAATCTTAGCCACAATATCTTCTTTTCCTGTCTAATCTCTGATTTTCCCCATTATCAAGATTTTTTTTTGGAGAACACACACTGACCAATTTTTATCTATATTTAAACAAATAAATCTATTACTACTCAGATCAAAATACTATTATACCATGAACAAAATGCTTTATAAGAGTTTTGAATGTAATAAATCTTGAAATATTTAAAAATAAGCTTAAAATTATCATAAAGGCATTGACAACATGAATAAGTCAAAAAAGAACATAATGTTTGAAATAATGTGGAGTTTTCAATGAATGTTGCAAAAAAAAAAAATAAGTGACTGTAGGTGTAAAGTAGTACAGAAGAGGGAAATAAAGATAACTTCTGTCCACTTTAGCTTTTAACATGCAATGCTTTCCCTTCAACTCCTGAAACTATCACACTGTCAGGGAAGAGGCACCAAATTGTACAGAATGACAACACTTGTATAAGGGTAATGGAAACTAACCAAGCCACTTGACAATGCTCTACCCATGTGTTCCAAAAGTCACCAAAATAGAAGTGCTTTCTAAAATTCAGCACTAATGTTAAGATAATACACACCAAACATTACTAGATAAAAAATTTCTTCCACATTGCTAGCACGTAAGTCACATAAACATTAAGTTATTAAGCCTGAATGTTAGGGATGACACTTGATATTCAGAGAATATGGTTTATGGCTAAGTTTCACGAACATCTTTGCTCATGAAAAAATCTGAAATTAACATATGAAGGTATTACCCCAAAAAAAGGAAGGAAAAAGCTAGAGCTTCTCAGGTTATTAACACTTACTAGCATTTCTTCTTACATAAATTTATGAATACGTGGGTAGAAAAAGCATTTCTACCCCGAATCTAGTTTTATTACCCAAAACATCAACACAGCTTTACAAACCCCTTAAAACCAACTACTCCTCAACTCTCCTTGCTCCACTACTTTGTAATAATCAGCACTTCTCTCCCATTCAGGTACTTGCAAGTCAGATTCTTAAATGACATAAAACATATTCTAAAACTTATGCCCCGCCCCCCCATTGCCCTATTTATGACTGTTAAAATGTAGCAAACATGTTTTGTTTAAAGTTCAAAGTTTGACTCTTCTATATTATCTTGTTTTCTTACATTGTTATAATTATTAATGACCACTGACAGTGGCCAGTGACAGGAACTGTTCTTGCAGGGTCTGCAGATCCCTACTCTATGGCTGCGCAGACTCATGTTCTAACAGCAGCTGATGAAGAGACTTCTGTTGCTCTTGATTTAAGATGAGCCCAATACTTCTTTAAGACATTTTTCAGACTAATGAAAACTAGGCAATTATGACTATTTCCATTAGGCAAGACAATGTTTGCACATAAATCATTCCACACATTCAGGAACTTACAACTACCCTACAAAATACCTTCTTCCTTTTACATCCATATTTTTATACCAATGTTTAAGAAAAACGAACTGAAGGTACATAGGAAACTAAAATCAAGGTTTCCTGACAGCTATATTAGTGTCCTATCCCAGAAGTTACTACAAAGCTATAAACTATTTACTCAATCTTTTTCATGACTATTTTATACAACATCTTTGTCTTTTTGATTAATGTATATAAAGACAAAAAAATTACAGCCAGAATTAATAAGCTATCAGTAACAGCAAAAGGGGAAAGAATGTTTCCCCAAATGTCATTTTGTTTTCCAGCAAAATGTTTGATGCTTCTAATCCTTAACTAAAATAAATTCAGAGCAGAGTGGTTAATAAAATTTTGAGCTTAAATAAGCTTAAATTTATAGTAAAGGCATTAATAATATGAATAAGTATGCAGCATTCTTTTTCTAGCTATCAGTTTCTTCCAGATTGTAAATAAAATTTCTATAACCTGGACTTTACATGACTTTTCAAGAATTTAGCATAATCTACAGAATGAAAAGGTTGGACTAGATAATCTCTAAATCCCTTTCCACTCTATGACTTTATAATTCCAGCTTTTATTGTGGTTTCTTCCTATTCTTTAACCTAAAAAATAAGAATACAAAGGACAAAATAAATACCAAATTAACTTGGTAACTTTAGTCCCAAATCTTTGAATTTCTTCAAAAATGTTCAAAATAAAACCACTGTTTCTTTAGTGATTCATGGGTATAGTGCCATATATCACTTCTTCCACATTTCTTGAGCAGTACTATTCCAAAAAGAATCAAGTTTTCTTCTATATAGACCCCCGAGAGCAAAATCATTATGACAAATACAGTACTAGAAATAAAGTTACTGTAAAAATTACAAATAGATTTATAGAAGAAAATCTGATTTTCATCATGTATATAATTGTTCCAGCCAAAGAAAGCAATATATGCAAAATTATGTTGAATAAAAATGACATATGCCTAAGGAAGGGGGAGTTTTTAGATGTGTAAGTAATGAAGACAGTAGTTAATGCACAAAACATAAGAATCCTTGAGGGATGTCTTGCAAATACCCATACTAACAGCACCAAATCTACTCCTTAGGAATTGCAAAGTAACAGATTTGTAACAAAAACTACAAAAACAATTTTGCAAGGATGTATTAAAAATCCTTATTGAGCCTATAAAGCAGGAACTATAAAGACAGTTCTTTTTATTTTACCACCATTCTTACACTATCCTTTCTTTTTCAGATTCCAGAACTGCCACTCAAAGTGCCCTATGAGGAGCTGTGGTAACAAGGTAAAAGGCAGGAGCCATCCTTTGGAAGCCATCAGCAAGCTCTGTGACCATCAGAGCTATTATCTGTGATCATATACATAACCTGAAGATAGCATATCATACTTTTTTTTAATACTTTCAACTCCAAAAGGCTTTGGGCTTGTAAAAACATAGTTTCAAAGATTTTTATTTTATCAGCCACCATCTCCATTTTTACCTATCCTTCCCATAAATGCAAGGATATGTTTTAGTTCTGAAACATGAAAGTTAATTTGATTTTATCCTGCAACTCTTGAGAACTGATCTTTCTAGCCAGCATAAAGAAAGTATACTGACACAAAAATCTTCAGAAAAAATATAGGAGGATTAAATACTCAATTACTTCCAGGATTGCTTACTCCTTTCCAAAGGGACTGCAAACCCCTTTCCAGAAGGAAATTTCAAACTAAAAAATTTTCTTTCAATCAGAAGTTCAGTGATTTTACTGCCATCTAAAGTAAATTAACTTTGAAAATAAGTATAAAAATTATAATTGTAATTTATTGATTCAAAATTTTGTATTTGGCATTCCTTCTCAAAAATTGTAGTCCAATATAAAATTAGGCCATGTGGAAAACAGTAAAGGCCTTTACTAGATATTCCTAGAAAACACTGAAGCAAGTACTAAATAAAATAAAAATAAGATGTTTTTGAAGGGAGAATCTCGTATACTGAATTTTAATTAGTTTATGTTTAACGATAGCATTTTTAATGAGTTTTAACTCTAACATTTTATGAACAAGCTAATGTATGTAACAATATCAAGAAGCTGCTGCTACTTGATAAATCAAATTTTAATTGTACTGATATAAAAAAGGAAATCTAAAAGAAACTTTAGAGCCCTCAAATGGTAGCTTCTTGACCAATGAATCATTACGTTTTTCATGTTCACAGTTCAGATAAGCTTAAAAATGGAAATGGGAAACCTCAACCAAAGGATAAACAATTTTTACATTAAGTTACTATTAAAAAGGCTTTCTGAAAATATTTCTTTCTACTCTGTATTGGCTCTTAAGAAGGTTAAGAATAGAAAATCACTCTGTTAAAGAAGAGTAATAACAAATAACCTATGGGATCAAAACAAGAGAACAACTGTTGTAGGTCTTTTACCTGTATAATTCTAAGCATAATCTTTTATCAGCTTTCCATTTTTAGGACATTCTTAGGAACAGAATGCCCCTTATCTGAACTTTATCAGATCATGTAGAAATATATTTTTCAGACAAATTTAACATTTGAGTTTTGTATGTCAGTAATATACTCCTTTAAAGACAGGGAAGCGCCATTCATACTCATTCATTCAGAAAGATGACAAAGAAAATGTTTTCAATAAATTATTAATGAAATATTTCTCCAACATACATAGGACAACTGAGATTCACTTCCAATCAAAAGCAATAACCCTCATGCTGGACAGTTATCTTTCACATTTTATATGATAGAATTATGATAAAAATAGGTTTTGAAGCAGCCTTAGATAAGAATATAACTAAAAGTATGCCAAAGGATTTATTTAGAATTTTCAGATAATAAAAAGGTAAGTTTTTGGTTGTGCAATGCACATCCATGTAAATATATTTGCTTTTTCAAAAGCAAATTTAGTATTCTTAAGTTTCCTGAGTGACAATCTCATAAATTTTGGTGGAAATGACAGCAACATTGGGTTATTTCAATTATGCATGGAGACCTCATAAAATGAGTTTTTTAAAATGCTCGCTCAACAGCAGGTCACCTATCTCTATACAACATCAGAAAATAATAGTACCTCTCTCAAAATTGCCTCAAAGAGCAACAGTAAGAGGAAAAAACAACCATGCAATGGTTTACTCAAACTGCTTTCCCTGTTGAGGGGGTACAGTAACTGAATACTCGTCTATGAACAATTTTTACATGTTCATCAATAGTTTATGTTCCAATCTAGTTTTGGTAAAGTCAGCACTCGAATTTGACAGGGGCTTAAATATGCCGTCATCTTTTCTGAAGATGACGGCATATTTTGAAAACAATGTATAAGTTTTAAATTTTTTAAGTCCCATTCTTCCAATTCAGGATATATGCTGAATGCTGAGGCAGTTGTTAGACCTTATAAGTTACTATGATATTAGAAATTAATAATAAAAATAAAGCTGACAGAATTTTAGCATTAAACTTGGTTTAACTATACCATCTTTCTTATGAACAGCGCTTCTCTGTTTAAGAAAAGCTCATCTCTGAATTATGCCTACTCACATGAAAAACTGGGAACCATTGGTATGTTTCCCTCGATTTGCCATTGATAAAAGGAACGCTCTGTCATGTTTGAGAATAAAGTTTTCATCTGTTTGAAGAAAACACAAATTTGTCAGTCTCCAATTATAAGTCACTTTAAAGTAATGTTCAAGTAATAAATAGAAAGCAAAAGATGAAATTCCTCTTCTGGTCAGTACAGATAACTTGACTGAACACTCAGAAAAGAAAAATTTAAGCTAATCAAATAACAAAAGCATAAAAAGGCCAAAAGATACTAATTAAAGCCTTGAGGAAAAGAACATATATTTAATACTTCACACAAACAGCCTTAGAACAGTCACTTTTAGTAGTAACATACTTTGGCTAAATGATATTTAAATTATTAACTTTCAGGGAAAACTAATAAAATTTTAGAAAAATCTCTAGCTTACTTCCTCCAAATTTCCAATTAGCTTGCCTAATGTGCTATACATGGAAGAAGTTCAATAATCTTTTTAGGTGTTTAATTTTTATACGGTAAATTTATTATTCAACTTAATTGAAGCTAGACTGTAAGACAAAAAAATTATGTTATATTAAGTTACAGGAACATATCTAAATTAAGTATGTGTATACTCAATTGTATCACAAAATTATCTAAGGAAGAAAGCCCTGTGAAACAAAAATTTAAATAGCAAAATACAATTTTAAGGTACAAAAGTATCTGCCACAAGGAACAACCACAAAGTGGCCTACAGCATTAGTTTTAAATTGCTACATAACAGAACCAGCTAAATAGCTGTTTCCTACTAGTTCAAAGGAAAAAAAAATCTGTGATAAAGATCACTTAGAGTTATTTTAATTCCAGCAGGAATATCCTTGAAAACTAACTTATATGTCCTTTTAACATTCATACAAACAAATCTTCTTCAGAACAAACAGAAACACAGAAAACTTTAAAAAGTGATTACCTTGGGAACAGGCTTCTGAAAAAGAGTAGTAATCCATTTTCCCCCAAAGGAAATATAAAAGACTATTATAACACTGAAGCTATTATAGCGTTAAAACCTAGTAATATTAGATTTCATTACAAATCTCTGCAACTGACTTTTCTAAGGCTTTTTGGGGCAAGTGCAATAGTTAGATTTATGCAGATGCTACTATTATGAGAATAAACACAGTCATAGTTCTAATATACAAAAGAAAACATACAAACCTTTGAAAAACGAAATTTCAACTTTTATTCAAAGAAATTGCTTGGTTTAGGGGAAAAAAAACCCCACAACTAGACTCTTTTCTCTGATGTGAAATTAATAACCCATTGGGAAATGAAAAAAGATACAGAAGCATGTATGAAATAATACACAGAATTTTCCAAGTCTTCAAGCAATATAGAAATCCAGCCACAACCTGACCCAGACTGTCCATAAATTTATTAGGAAGGGTGCAAGGGAACAGAATTGGAGTTTGTGTTACTGAGCTTCGTTCTCTTACCTTTTCATTTTGCAAAAGACCACATTCTCTATAAACAAAAGAATATGTTGACAGTTTTAGGCAGGAAGATAGGAGTTTTCATGTATATAGTTGCCTAACCTCCATGCTGAAAGTCATGTTTAACCATAAAGTTAGCCTTAATTAATCTTGTCAATTAAAAATTATATATTACAATATAATTTATCCCCAAATTCATGCAAATAAAGTATTTTCATGCAGCATTAGTTTCATGCAAAAAGTGAACTATAAGTAAACCTCTTCTCATTAAAAGTATATGATCAAACTTGCTTTAATATCAGAACTGAAACAAAAGACCGTAAAATATTAAGCCTTACCTTTAAAATATCCACCATAAATTGATTCTCCACCTTTTCCATTACCTGCAAATAATCACCTACTTTAAGCCATAATGAACATTAAAAATATACTAACACAGAAATCATTTTTGATAGCTTCAATTCGCTGAAGGAAACCTTGGAATGTTATAACTGCTGCAATAATCAAAATTCTCAGAGTCCTCAATTAACTTCATCTGTAAAATATATGTCAAGTCCCATTACAAGAAATACCATCAAAAAAGTCATCTTCACAACCTACTTATTTCAAACAGTAATAACACCAAAAACATTCCAGAACAAAAGCAATCAGACAGTACTTTGGCATTCATTGTAAAGGAATTCACTAAGTAACTATAATATTAATAAAATAAACTGCATAAAAACAAAATAAAATGTCTTACGTGGTACTTTGCTTTTTCATACATTCTGGACCTATAATATTCACTCATCCAACAAGTATTCACTGACCACATTTTATATCATACTGTAACTGACACAATATTTAGAACTAAAAGTAATAATGAAATACTTTAAAAACTGATAGATGGAGTTATTAGGAACACAACTTTTAGCTCTACCTTCACTGAAGTCCCCACCCTGAATCATAAAGTTTTTAACCACACGATGGAACGTAGAACCTTTATAACATAACTTCTTCCCAGTTGTTTTCCCAAGGCCTTTCTCTCCTGGAAAAAAAAAAAAAAAAAAGAAATGAAGTTTAATTATTTATACATCCTTCCATGGAAAGAACAAACCAATTAATCCTGTGTCAAATCTTTCCTGTGTGCTAGGCACTGGAAGAGATATAAGAAATAGATGACATGATAATTTAACATACACACATGCACGCAAACCAAAATAAATAATCCAAAGCAGCATGTAAATGTAAAATTGTGTGGTACAGACTCTACATGCTATAGGACATAATACTAGACACACTTATCACTCTAGTCAAAGAATGAGGTCAGGCGCAATGGCACACGCCTGTAATCCCAACATTTTGGGAGGCCGAGGCAGATCACTTGAGGTCAGGAGTTTGAAATCAGCTTGGCCAACAGGGTGAAATTCTGCCTCTAAAAAAAAAAATACAAAAATTAGCCAGGTGTGGTGGCACAGGCCTGTAGTCCCAGCTACTCAGGAGGCTGAGGCAGGAGAATCACTTGAATCTGGGAGGTGGAGGTTGCAGTGAGCTGAGATCACACTACCGCACTCCAGCCTGTTTTTGAGACAAGAGTCAGACTCCGTCCCAAATAAATAAATAACAAAATCAAGGAGTTAGTGCAAAAATTGCATATGTGTATCCAAGTAAGAATTTAAAATTTCAGTGTGTTCTAATTTTTTTTTTTTTTTTTTTGAGACAAAGTCTGGCTCTTGTCCCCCAGGCTGGAGTGCAATGGCGCAATCTTGGCTCATTGCAAGCTCCGCCTCCCGGGTTCAAGTGATTCTCTTGCCTCAGCCTCCTGAGTAGCTGGGATTACAGGCGCCTGCCACTACGCCCGGCTAATTTTTGTATTTTTAGTAGAGACGGGGTTTCACCATGTTGGCGAGGCTAGTCTTGAACTCCTGACCTCAGGTGATCCACCTGCCTCGGCCTCCCAAAGTGCTGGGATTACAGGCTTGAGCCACCGCACCCGGCCAGTTTGTTCTAATTTTAAAGTAACATTATAGATGTTTCCCTCCCCATTTTTTCTATTTATTTAAAATTTATTGTAAAATTTGGAATACTAAATTTTTTCAAAGTAGTGAAATTCATAAAATTCTACCAAATCAGTTTTGAATGTGTGCTATTATTTTATAAATTAAAATGTATAGAGAAGATTCCATTATATAACGTAGATTCTTACTCTCTTTTTCATTTTTGAGATCATTCCTTTCTAATCTCTTCCCCTTAAGAAATGCTTCCCTGATTTCATATAAAAGTCAGTATAAGTAACTCTTTTTTTTTTTTAATTCACAAAACTAATTTCACGAGTCCATTATTCTTCCAGGAAAATATCTATTCTGTTCAGCAAGGTAAAACTGTAAGCCACAGCTTCTCATTGGAAATAATAATTCACTTACCTGAGCACAAGCAAAGGAAGTTTTTGCATGTTTTTGGACATATGTCTGAGAAGAGCTGAAACATAATGCGACCAACTGAAATAAAATACATAGGAAAAAAATAGTAAGCAAGTTAAATATATCACATTTAAATGGGAGAAAGAAACAGGGCTAACAAATTAGAAAGTCTATTTTTGTAATTCATTTTAATTTTTTAAAAGATGTAATGGGAAAGCATTTAACTGGGTGATACCTATGAACAAGAACACCATTTTATTTGTTATTGTTAAAATTTACATGCAGCCAAATTGGTTCCAGCCCCAAAATTATAGGATTTTAAGTGTGTTTTAAAGGAACTTTGTATTATTAGATTCCTCGTAGTATAGTTCCCTATCTGAACTATAAATCTTCTTTAAAAATACTCTCAATAGTTGTTTGATTTATGCTTGGGCCCTTCCAGTGATGAGAGTACATCAAAAGACAGTAATTCTGGCCAGTATTGTTAAGAAACATCTCTGTCTCTTTATTTTCAGCTTTCTTCCTTTAAGCAAGAACTGTTAAGAGCCACCTTCCTGAATTGCACCAATCACACTTAAAATTCACATTTTAAGCTGGGCATGGTGGCTCACACCTATAATCCCAGCACTTTGGGAGGCTGAGGCAGGGAGGGTTGCCTGAGGTCAGGAGTTTGAGACCAGCCTGGGCAACACAGAACGACCCCTGTCTCTACAAAAAATTTTAAAAATTAGCGGGGGATGGTGGCACATGCCTGTAGTTATTGGGGAGGCTGACGTAGGAGGTTCACTTGAGCCCAGGATTTCAAGGCTGCAATGAGCTATGATCATGCAGTGAGCTTTGATTGTGCCACTGCACTCTAGCCTAGGTGACAGAGCAAGACTCTTAAAATAATACTCCCCATCCTATCCCCTGAGAGAGCAGAAAGAGAAGAGGTTATGCTTCCCTACAACAAACACGAGATTACAAGGAAAAGTCAGCAACTTCAATTTAACTATGCCAGAGAAAAATGGTTCTCAAACTCTGGTCTCAGGGCTCTTTTAAACTCATTACTGAGCTTTTGTTTATGTAGTTCATATCTATTGCTATATACCATATTAAATGTTAAAACTCAGAAATGTTTAAAACACAAGAATACACAAGCACACATTCCATTAGGTGTCAGGGCAGTGATATCATCACATATTAATATATGATCTCTGGAAAACCTGACTGTATATTCACAAGAGAATGAGAGCACAAAAGGCAAATCATAATCTATTACTATAAAAATAATTGTGACTTTATGGACCTGTTGAAAGCGTATCAATAAAATAAGAAACGTAATTCTGATTTGCAATTAATTACTCTTCAGTTCCTTTCCCCTTTATTCTACAAGATCTTTTCCATTGTAAACCTTTTTATTTATTCAAAAGGACTTACAGAATAAATAAAAATTAACTGTGGACCAAGCATAAATCATGTTCAGAACAGACACAAAATGACTCTGTATCACTAAGACTGTATTGTATTCCTGGCCATATCGGTCAGTTCCTGTGAGGAGGAAACAATGATACTGCATTATAGACATCGTTAATGGGTAAAGCAGGATGGAAGACCTTCCTGTGTCAACATTCTTAGCCTATAGCTTTAAAAGAGCCAAACTATAAAGCAATTTCAAAACTTTGTAGCTGTTCTTAAAACCTAAGGGAATGAAGAAAAAGACGGAAAGCAAGCAAAAAGGAGGACTCAAGATTTTCAAGCAGGGAGCAGTGTATCTAAAGTCATTTCAGAATTAAAAAAAAACCCTATAATATCAGTAATAGTAACTATCACTGTATTTATATAGAAACATTTTACCAGTATAATAAATGTATTTTGATCAGTCCTCATAAATCTCTGGGAAATGGCTTAGCTGGTGTCAAGTTCAAAATCATCCCGCTTTGCATACCAGAACAGACTTAGATCTTTGCAATCCCTGTAAGATGGCTACTTTTCAGGATAGAAGACATAATCGAAATAATCAAAACATAGGGCTTTTCTTAGGGCCACAGTAACTTCAACATTAGGGTGTTTTTTGTTTTGTTTTTTTCAAAATCTTGTAATGCCTCAAAATGAAAGCTGTTCAAAGTTTCAAATGTTTTTAGTTTCTCCTTAACAGATAATTGGAAATTGTGTACCCTCCAGTAGTACAACACACACTTGAAAACAGTTAAAATGTGATTACATTCCTATCCAATATTCGGAGAGGGATAGCTAACTAGAGTGGTTTAAAAAAAAAAAAAAAAATCTCGGCCAGGCATGGTGGCTCACGCCTGTAATCCCAGCACTTTGGGAGGCCAAGGCAGGCAGATCACCTGAGGTCAGGAGTTCAAGATCAGCCTGGCCAACATGATGAAACCCCATCTCTACTAAAAATACAAAAATTAGCCAGGTGTGGTGGCAGGCGCCTGTAATCCTAGCTACTCGGGAGGCTGAGGCAAAAGAATCGCTTGAACCTGGGAGGTGGAGGTTGCAGTGAGCTGAGGTTGCATCACTGCACTCCAGCCTGCGCGACACAGTAAGATTCCATCTTAAAAAAAAAAAAAAGAAAAAACAAATCTCACCTCTAATATCTTACCCTCTTCTAGCCTGGAGCAAAAAAAAAAGTCTTTTGCCCTCCGAACCTCATGGCACAAAGGATAGAGTAGAGGTTTTATCTCCTCTATGGCATTATGTTGTTAAGAGCAAGAGGAAAAATACAACAAAACTGAATTGTTTTTGCCTCAATAACAAGGTGCAAGATTAAACCTGGCACATAAGAAAAATAATTTTAAAATCCTGAAAAAAACACATTAACCTAATTAGGTTTGCAAAGCATGGCAAAGGCTGAACTATGGATATTCAGACATTAGTTGAGACTTTCTTAAGTTAAAATGCTAGTATATATGCAATTTGAAGGGTTTAAAAACAAAAACCAAGGTCAAAAAAACAAAACAGCATTATGATTTATACCTATAAAGAGGTAACCTAGTATTAATTCCCTTCAAATTAAATCCTGAGATTGAACACTACAGGATACAGATCAGCAAATACTAACTTGAACTGAAGCTCATTAGCAAGATTAACAGGTTTTCAACAAATATTTTTTATTGAATTGTATGATTTTATAGAAAACAGGCTACCATGTGATGATACTTCTATTCTGAAACTCAAAATAGACAATATTCTAAAGGTATGGTCTTTAAAAAAAAAAAAAAGTCAATGTGGTTCACTAGTTTAGTTAGTAAATATTTTCGGTGATGGCAAGCATAAACTATGATTACAAAACATATTGAAGATAAAAAAATTAAGCTGTAGTTACAATAAAGGACAGACTTGGAATGAATTTGCGTAAGTCTCTCTGGCTCCCAAACTGATGAGAAAAATAAGTGTGACAGTAACCCCATCTCTGTAAAGAGTTAAGAACACCTGCTGATGATGCCTCTTTGGAAACTGCTGCTGACTAAATAAATAATATCTAAGAAAAATTTGTTACTCAACAAATACTATTTATAATTTAGTGGAATTTAGTAATCTTTTAGAATCAGTTGATACCGGCTGGGCACTGTAATACCAGTGCTTTGGGAGGCAGAGGCTGGAGGATCACTTGAAACCAGGAGTTCAAGAATCAGTCAATACTATTGATAATATTCTTATACATAGTTTTCGTCCACAGAATTAATGTTATGCCAATAGATACACAGCTCTATAATAAGACTAAAATCTACTGTTAGTGTAAACATTAGTATGTTGCTTTTATACATGGCTAAGGACAAAAATGACACAAAGCAGGACTAGTTTCTAAATTTAATCCGAAAATACCAACATGCAGATCCTTAAAAATAAGACAGGGGAACAATATTAAGATTAATCAGGTAATATCAACACATGTTAAGCTTTGACTACAGACAGGAAAAGTCTATGTCATGGTGTAGATTCTGATTTGGCCACTAGGTGAAAGGAATAAAATCACCAAGTACACAGATGGAATAAAATCAAACATCATCTTTCAATACTGTTCCTTGTTTTCAGAAATAGTTGCGCTGGAATTGCAGATTCAATGGTTTAAAAAGGAGACATGTATTATGTACATAGATGATATGGTAGTTGGAAAAGTGAGCATCAATTAGAAAAATGTTGCAGAGGTTGATAAACTACAGAAGGCAAAGAATAGCCCATAGAACAATTAATTACAAGCAAGGGGTGAGGAAAAGAGCAAAGGTTAAGAACAGATCACACTAGGTAGGCCAAGAGCAAAATCTAGGAAGAAGATTAAGAAACAGGAGCAGCATAACATCGGGCCATTTACTCAAATATTATTTACTGAGATCTTACCCATATGTCAGGGAATCCAACAGTACTATATACTGTTGTGCCTGAGTTTCAAGAAGAACGTAGTGCCTAAGTTTCAAGAAGCTCACATCTTGGCTAGGAATGACACATGGAAATGCAGCTGCTACACAATATGAGCTATCATTAGTATGAACTAAGGGCACTTATATATAACCTAGGTCTGACTGTTGTGTGTGACCGCAGAGAGATAGGGACCATGACTGCTTTACTTACCACTATATCCCCAGAGACTTACGTAGTGCCTGGTACAGTTAGGTGCTCAATAAATATTTAATAATAATAATACTCAAAACAAAATTATTCAAAGACAGATTTACAAAATACTTTCATAAATGAAGGAACACCCAAATATACAGATTAAAATTATTCACTACATACCAGGAAAAAATATGTAAGTGGAGCAACACCAAGATATCAATTAATAAAGCTATTTAGTTTTGGAGACATAAATGGAAAAAAAAGCCTCCTAGTATCCAGGCAGTAGAATCATATCGTTCACAAAGAAAAAAGAAAGAAGACCAGCTTCAGACACCTTATATTACAAACTGGAGACAACTGAGCACAGTCTACCATTTTTAAGGAATAGGCTGTGAAACAAGAATTCTATACCTAGCAAAGGAAATACATTTTATCCTGAAATATCTATTTGAATACATATCCCTGAGATATAAGTCAAAAAATTAATGAATGAGAACTAGTAGGAAGAGTGGCATTGGGCACTGAATATATTACATTACAAAATTAAACCTAAATCACTATAATTATGGTTTTAAAATAAAAGGAAATGAGGCCGGATGTTAGAGCTGCCAGGTATGACAATGCAAACAGTGTTAATTATGGTTTTAAATGTTATCAGTATTAGGAAACAAAGTTATGTAATGGCAAAATTTTTTTTATGTACCATCTGAAAATGTTCTTTCTTTTGAATAGGAAATGTTCTCATGACTCAAAAATCAGTGGAAAAAGGTACAGGATGAGAAGCCTTGTTTCCCAACCCTATCAACAGGTACTCACTTTCATTAATTTTCTGTGTATTTTTCCAGTTTCTTTTCATACACAAGCAAATATTGATAAATTCTTATTTTTCTTCCTTTAAAAAATGGTAGATTATGCACACTGTACTGCACCTTGCTCTACTAACATATCATGAACTTTTCTCATGCCTGTGATATAAAAATAATGTATTTTATTTTTTAAGAGACAGAGTCTCGCTCTGTTCCCCAGGTTGTAGTGCAACGGCACAACCTCTGCTCACTGCATCCTCAACCTCTTGGGCTCAAGCAATCCTCCTGCCTCAGCCTCCTGAATAGATGGGAACATAGGAGCATGCCACCATGCTTGGCTAATTTTTGTATTTTTTGTTGAGACAAGGTCTCACTATGTTGCCCAGGGTAAAAATAATTTCAGTTGGAGGAAGGCAGTGGAGAATCAATAAAAACCAACAAGGATTTGGACTGGTGAAAGAAAATACGCATCCTCATACTTCATAGTGGGAATCAATAGGTAGACTTTTCTGAAGCAGAGAGGAAATAAGGGTTTAGGCATACATTTTTTTTTTTTTTTTTGAGACAGAGTCTCACTCTGTCACCCAGGCTGGAGTGCAGTGGCACGATCTTGGCTCACTGCAATCTCCGCCTCCTGGGTTCAAGCAATTCTCCTGCCTCAGCCTCCCGAGTAGCTAGGATTATAGACACCTACCACTATGCCCAGCTAATTTTTTGTATTTTTAGTAGAGATGGGGTTTCACCATGTTGGCCAGGCTTGTCTTGAACTCCTAACCTTGTGATTTGCCCGCCTCGACCTCCCAGAGTGCTGGGATTACAGGCCACCATGCCCAGCCAAGGGTTTAAGCATACTTAAACAGGTATTCACAAGTAGAACTAACAATATTTTACATCTTTCAAGCTTCTTTGGTGGGAGGGGCAGCAACCTAGTAAAAGATATAAAACAAAGGAAATAGCCAGAAAAACATAAAATATAAGGCCGAAACAACTTAATTATTTAGCCACATGAAGCTTTTTCCATGACATGTCCATAAACACCCAGCTAAAGGTTTCCTGCAGATAGTACAAGCAAAAACTCAAAAGAGAACATATTTACTGGCTCATGTAGTTATGATGAGGATATTAGTGCAGATCAGAGAATCAAAGGGCCAGGATGTCAGGAAATGAGGTCAGATGTTAGAGCTGCCAGGTCTGACAATGCAAAAAGTGTTAAATACCACTTATTTATCCTGATCACTGCATATAGTCATAAATATTTTCATTAATGAATAAAACTAAAGATAAATTAATCACTTAGGAAGATAAAAGGAAGAATACCAAAATTTAGAAAAAAGAATTATAAGATAGTATACAGATAAAAAACAGGCCCAATAAAGAAACTAAAATGCTGCTAACTATCCAAAAGAGTGCTGCTATTAATTCTTTAGATATAGATGAATTACTTCTAATCTTCAAGTAACATTAAAGTGTAACACTATATCAACTGTTCTAGAGCACAGCAAAAGATGAAAAGCTTAATTTTTTTGAAACAAAATAAAATCGAAACCAAAGCCTGGGAGAGATGATATAAAACAAATTTAAAACCCCATATGCCAATCTCATTTTAAAAGAGACACTATTCAACATTAGGAAATCTACTAATATAGTTTATTGAAGTGAAGGAAAAATCCTATAAAAATCCCATGATAGAAAAAAAAAATCCCACGATAGAAACCAAAAGTGCACGGTGAAATTCAACATTCATATCTACTACAGAAACAACAAAATAAATTTTAAAAAAGAAAAATATAAATTAAAAAAAAGAAATTCAACATTCATTCCTTTATATGACACACATATTCTCAGATATTTTTCAAATCAACAATCAGCATTATCGTTAATGGTGAAACACTCCTGTAGCATTAATTCCAGTGAAGCAGGAAACAAGTCAAAAGTAGTTGTTAGCATCACTACTGTTTAATGCTCTTTCAGAAATTCTAGTCAATGTAGGCTAGGCGTGGTAGCTCACGCCTATAATCCCAGCACTTTGGGAGGCGGTGGGGGGCGCGGATCACCTGAGGTCGGGAGTTCGAGACCAGCCTGACCAACATGGAGAAACCCCGTCTCTACTAAAAATACAAAATTAGCGGGTGTGGTGGCTCACTCCTGTAATCCCAGCTACTCGGGAGGCTGAGGCAGGAGAATCGCTTGAACGCAGGAGGCAGAGGTTGCAGTGAGCCGAGATTGCACCATTTTGCACTCCAGCCTGGGCAACAAGAGCGAAACTCTGTCTCAAAAAAAAAGGAAATTCTAGTCAATGTAAGTAGATAAGAGGACAATAGGAGAGATTTACAAGTAAAAAAGAGCATATTTATCACCATTTGAAACATTAGCTATACACCTAGAAAGCCCAAAAGAACCAACTGAAATACCAACAGATACTGAAGTTGTTGATATTTATATTATGACAAACAAGAACTAGTAGAACAAAATACAGTAAAAATCACATTCTCAAAAACAACAAGAAACATTCTACCTACATAACCATAAGAGTATAGGATCTATAAAAACAAAACTCCAACTTTGAGAGGCATAATGCCAACATGAATAAAGGGAGAGATACCTTGTTCTTAGACAAGACTCAAAATTGCAAATGTGCCCAATATTCCCTAGAGTAACCTATAATAACTTAATTGCAACCTTCAAAAATACCAGTGAGATTTCTGAGGGAACTTGACAAAATGATCCTGAAGGTTGTCTGAAAGAATAAATGTGCAATTCCCCTTCTTGAACTTTTGTTTTGAAATTTTCAAATCTACAAAGATGTTTTGCCATATTTATCCCTCTCTAAACACACAATCTTCTGGAACAAACTGAAAGTTAAAGACACTGTGACACTTCACCCCTAATTATTAATACTTCAGCTTATATTCCTAAAGAATAAAGATATTCTGCTACTTAAATCCAAAACCATTACTACACCAAAGAAATTTAATAGTGATTATCATCTACTCCATAGCTGTGGCATAACATGAAACATTACATTTGACCTCTGTCCCCAGTTCCTACATTTGACCTCTGTCCCCAGTTTCTAGCACAGTGCTCCTAAAACTTGTAATTTTCTAAGTGATAGGACTGATAGGAGCATCTTTTGTTCTATTTGATCTTTCTTCTTTTTTTTTTTTTGATATATGAGTCTTGCTCTATTGCCCAGGCAGGAGTGCAGTGGTATGATCTCTGCTCACTGCACCCTCCACCTCCCAGGTTCAAGCAATTCTCCTGCCTTAGCCTCCTGAGTAGCTGTGATTACAGGTGCTCGCCACCATGCCCGGCTAATTTTTGTACTTCTTTTTAGTGGTCAGGGTTTCACCACGTTGGCCAGGCTTGTCTGGAACTCCTGACCTCAAGTGATCTGCCTGCCTCGGCCTCCCAAAGTGCTGGGATTACCGCCATGAGCCACCACACCCAGCCTACTATTTGATATTTCTCTCAGATTCTTGACAGAGAACACTTAAATCCCTTAGCATTCGCATCCAAAGAAGAGACTCTTGGCAGACCCCCAGATAGCTTCAGGATAGGGCTGGTTGCCAGAAAAACCATGCCTTGGTTAGAGGTCTGTAACTTTCAGCCTCACTTTCCAACCTTCAGAGAGAGAAGAGGGGCTGGAGATTCAGTTAATAATTGATCACACATATGCAATCATACGTGATGAAATAATTGATCATACATACATATATTTTTAGCCACAAAACCCCCTAAATGGCAGGGTTTAGAGAGAGCTTCCAGACTGGTGAACACAATGAGGGAGGGCGACATGTCCAGAAGGCCCATGCATCTCCCCACCCTCTGCACCTACAATACCTTGCCCTAGGCATCTCTTCTGTTTGGTTGTTCCTGAGATATATCCTTTATAATAAACCAGTAATAGTAAGCAAACTGGCTTCCTAAGTTCTGTGAGCTGCTCTAGCAAATTACTGAAGCTGAGCAGGGGGTTGTAGGAATCCCTAATTTACAGCTGGTTGGTCAGAAGTAAGAGTGACTCAGAAGCCAGGCGCAGTGGCTCACGGAGGCCGAGGTGGGTGGATTACCTGAGGTCAGGAGTTTAGGACCAGCCTGACCAACATAGTGAAACCCTGTATCTAATAAAAAATACAAGAAGTAGCCAGGTGTGGCGGTGGGCACCTGTAATCGCAGCTACTTGGGAGGCTGAGGCACGAGAATCTCTTGAACCCGGGAGGCGGAGGTTGCAGTGAGCTGAGATCGCGCCATTGCACTCCAGCCTGGGTGACAAGAAGGAAACTCAAAAAAAAAAAAAAAAAAAAAAAAAAAAAAAAAAAAAAAAAAAGAGCGACTCAGGACTTGCGATTGGCATGCCCGCAGTGGGAGCAGTCTTGTGGAACTGATTTCTCTTAACTTGTGGAATATGACACTAACTCCAGGTAGATAGTGTCCAGAATCAAATTGAATTGTTGGACACTTAGTTGGCTTTGAAGAATCTGTTACTGTGGGAAAAAACTCCTCATAATAATCCATATTCAAATTTACCCAACTACCCCTACAATGCCCTTTACATGTTTTTTCCCCCTTTTCATTCTTTTTAATGGCTGAATGGAATTCTGTTGTTTGGCTATATCAAATTTTACTCAACCAATCCTCAACTGATTAGCATTTGAGTTCCTTCTAGTTTACTGACAAATATACATCTATTTTTTAAAATCCAGGAATCTCATTCAAGCATTATATACCCATTTGGTTTTCATTTGTTGGCCTCTTTTAATCTAAAACAGTCTCCATCTTTTTTTTTTTGCACCCCATTAGAAAGCATGTCAGTCGGACCCATTAAAGTACCTTTATAACTGAGATATTAGCCACATCTTAGTTGTAAAGGAATTTTCCTCCATTTTAAATAAATAATCTGTTGGATACTTTGCACACAGCACAACTTTTCACCTATGGTTTGGCCACTGATGACTACTTTCTGAACCAGTTATTACCATGGGGGTTGCAAAATGATGATTCTTCTGATTCCATCAATTCTTCTGTATCTATTAAACTTGAATCTTTCTGTTAAGAGCCGCACGCACCCACCCCATGTCAAAAGTAACACAGTATCGACACAAAAAGAGCCTGGATCCCTCACATGGACAGCCCTGATCTGCTGATTCTGAGTGCTGTGTGACAGAAAAGCAAAACTTTTATATTGTTGTAAGTACTGTTATTTAACCTTTATGTTAGAACCAATCTTATCATTTAGCCTAACTAATACAAGGTATCTTCATATGAGGGTAAACTACAGTCACCAAAAGTGATTACGTATCAGAAGGCTGAGGTGGGAGGATCATTTGAGACCAGGAATTTGAGGCTACACCACACTATGATCATGCCTGTGAATAGCCACAGTACTCCAGCATGAGCAACGCAGTGATACTCTGTCTCTAAAAAAAAAGCCAAACGAAATTTTTTTTTTTAGGGATAGTGTCTCACTATGTTGCCCAGGCTGGTAGGTTTCTAACTCCTATGCTCAAGCAATCCTCCTGCCTTGGCCTCCCAAAGTGCTGGGATTACAAGCATGAGCCACTGTGCCTGGCCAAGAAAAAAATAAAAATTTAAAATAAAAGTAAAGACAAAATATTAAAAAATGTTAAAAAGTGATTACATAAAGATTAATTGGTGTTTAATAAAATAAACATTGCTGAATTAAGAATCAGGCTTCAATTCTTTGTACAAGTATACATACATAGGGAGTGAAAGCAAGAATTCAGGATTTCACTTTACAGCACTGTCTCTCGGACTTTAAGATACAATCTCTGGGAACAAAAGGGACCAAAATCAAAGGTCTACCTGCACAATACCTAAATATGAAAGCCCCTTAACTTGACTTAGTGTCCATACTCCTGCACATGCAATACTTAAAGCAACTTAAAAAAAAAATCAGATACTGTGCTATATATACTTAACAAATACAGACTGCTCTACAAGAACAGTGATAGAATTTTAAGAAACACTGCATTATCGAAAATCACATATAAAAATAACTATTTCCATATAAAAATGGGAACTGGGGGGGACAAGGGAGTTTCCAGTTGCAGTAAAAATATTTTTTTCTTTAGGAGTATCAATAATAAATTTTAGCTATAAGAGGACGTTATAAAATCTAAACATCATTGAGGAAACCCTACAACTGACCAAACCTCATTTCTGCCTCCATTCCCAGCACTGTCATTAGCACAGTGGCCTTCAAATCAGTTAGGACAAACAAGAATGACTCAGAGCAGCAGAGCTATCCAACTGTTCTCTCCCACGCCACTCTTCCCCACCTGCTTATCCGATTGTTATACCAAACAGTAGTGTGCCTAATTAAAATTGTGCTCCTTAATCCACCCTATTAGAGTAAGTTCATGTTACTCTAATACAATCTATAAGATGGCATTATTTAATTACTCTTCTCAACAATCTTGTTATGTAAGCACTATTACACTGGAGTCCTATTATTAGGTTAATAATATAACAGGTTAATGAGCATATACAGTGCAAGTCATTTAAATTTCAGGCCATTGCATCTAGTCACTCTACTCATGAGCTTATGACCCAGGGTGACCTTGAGAGCGGAGATGCATTTCTCCTATTCCCTCAGAACAAACCAGATCCCATATACCTCACTCGAAGTATGAGCTATTTTGAATGTGAGTCTAAAGTTTAGTTTAATTTTGAATATAAGCAAATTTTCCTGTCCTGTTAGCTTTGGAACCAAATTAAGAACAAAACTGTATAGTAGTTCCATTTCACAAAGAGGTTGTTAAACGGCTTGACCAAGGACACAAGTAGTACTCAAACATTTGCCTGAATCCTTTGTCGCCTCTTAAGACTAATTTCTTGGTATCACTTCTAAATACTTTACAATGTTTGCTAAAAACACATTTTCCAGTCTGTTTTTATGAATCTTAAGCAGTAAAGCAAATCTAAACATAACTAATTATATTAAATGTATACAGTTAAACATACTGACTAAAAGACATTGTCAGAGTGGGACAAGACCCATCTATTTGCTATCCAGAAGAAATCCACTTTAAATATTATACAGAAAGGTTAAAAGTAAAAGGATTGAAAATGATATACCATGTAAACACTAATAAAACGGAAGTAACTATATTCATATCTGAGGCAAAGGAAACTTCAGAGCCAGGAAAGTTACTAGGAATATAAGGTGTCATTACATAATAATAAAAGAGTTCACTAAGAAGACAACAATCCTAAATATGTATGTACCCACCTAAGAGCCTCAAAATGAATGATGCAAAAACTAAGAGAACTTAAAAGAGAAATACGGCCGGGCATGATGGCTCATGCCTGTAATCCCAGCACTTCGAGAGGCCGAGGCAGGTGGATTGCTTGGGCCCAGGAGTTCAAGACCAGCCTGGGCATCATGAAGAAACCCTGTCTCTACTAAAAATACAAAAAATTAGCCAGGCATGGTAGCTCACACCTGTAGTCCCAGCTACTGGGGAGGCAGAGGCACGAGAATCACTTGAACCAGGAAGGCAGAGGGTGTGGTGAGCCAAGATCATGCCACTGCACTCCAGCATTCCAGCCTGGGCGACAGAGCAAGACTCAGTCTCAAAAAAAAAAAAAAAAAAAAAAAAAAAAAAAAAAAAAAAGGAGAGAAATAGATAAATCCACAATTACAGTTGTTATAGTTGCAGACTTCAATACTCTTCTCCTGGTAATCAATAAACAAGTAGAAAATCAGCAAAGATATAAAAGAATTGACCAACACTAATAGCCAACTGGATTTGACATTTATAGAACACACTACACAAAAATGTACATTCAAGTGCAGAATGTACATTCAAGTGCACAAAGAACGGAAATCATGTGTGTTCTCTAGCCATAATGGAATTAAATTAAAAGTCATTTGAGACTGTCTCAAAAAAAAAAGGTATCAAATCAACAATCTATGCTTCAACATTAAGAAACTAGAAAAAGAACAAAATAAAAATTGAAGCAAGCATTAGAAAGAAAGAGAACAATGAAATTGAAAACAAAAATAGAAACAAAATTCAATCAGATCAAAATCTGGTTCTCTGAAAATGTATAATGAATAAACCTCTCGTCAGACTGACAAAGGAAAAAGACAAAAGGAAGAATTATCAATATCAGGAATGAAAAGAGACACCACTACAGACCCCACAGATATTAAAAGAGGCTGTGACAAACAACTCTAAGCACATAAACTTGACAACTTAGATAAAATGCACCAATTTCTTTAATAAAAACCACAGGCTAGGCACCGTGGCTCACACCTGTAATTCTAGCACTTTCGGAGGCCGAGGTGGGCGGATCACTTGAGGTCAGGAGTTCAGACCAGCCTGGCCAACATGATGAAACCCTGTCTCTAATAAAAATACAAAAAAATTAGCCAGGGGTGGTGGCACATGCCTGTAATCCCAGCTACTAGGGAGGCTGAGGCAGGAGAATCGCTTGAACCTGGGAGGCGGAGGTTGCACTGAGCCGAGATGGCACCACTGCACTCCAGCCTGGGTGAAAAAGTGAGACTTCGCCTCAAAAAAAAAAAAAAAAAAAAAGTTGTGTAAAATCCACTATTTAGTTAATATACTCAAAAAGTGCTAGTTATTTCACAAGACTGAACCATATGAAATTTCCAACTATCAAATGATTAAACCTAGAACAATGTAAGCATTGCATTTCCTTGTTTTATATGATTCGGCGTTCTCAAGAGTGCTAATCACATCTACACATCTATCACAATGAATTGCCTTGGATGTTGAGGAATGAGGTTCATTGAACATTTGTCAAACATATTCTGGAGATTTTTCACAACACAGGTTATGTGCAAATCTAGGATCTGAACATTTACTAGGAAAGGAGTACTTAACTACAGAAATTTTTATTTGTACTTTTTCTTAAGCTGTTTTTTTTTTTTTTTTTTTTTTTTTAGAAACAAGATCTTGCTCTGTTGACCAAGCTGGAGTGCAGTGGTGCAATCATAGCTCATGGCAGCCTTAAACTCCTGAGCTCAAGCCATCCTCCCACCTCACCCTTCCAAGTACAGGTGAGCACCACCATGCCTGGCT
The DNA here is from genome assembly GCF_000001405.40 of Homo sapiens. Classification (NCBI taxonomy): domain Eukaryota; kingdom Metazoa; phylum Chordata; class Mammalia; order Primates; family Hominidae; genus Homo; species Homo sapiens. The sequence continues at coordinate 42,603,222 of NC_000003.12, read as the reverse complement.
AATTAAAAAAAAATTGTTTTTTGTAGACAGGGTCTTGCTATATTGCCCAGGCTGGTCTCAAACTCCTGGGTTCAAGCAATCCTCCTGCCTGGGCCTCCCTAAGTACTGGGATTACTGGTATGAGCCACCATGCTTGGTCATACTTCTACTCTTCAGCAATCTACTATTTTTCTTTTCTTTTCTTTTTTTTTTTTTTTGAGACAGGGTCTCACTCCGTCACCCAGGCTGACATGCAGTGGTATAATCTCTACTCACTGCAACCTCTGCTTCCCAGGCTCAAGCAGTCCTTCAGTCTCAGCCTCCCAAATAGCTGGGACTACAGGCAAAAACTAAGAGAGCCACCATGCCCAGCTAATTTTTTTATTTTTTGTAGAGATGGGGTTTCGCCATGTAGGCCAGGCTGGTCTCGAACTCCTGACCTCAAAATGATACACCCGCGTCTGCCTCCCAAAGTGCTGGGATTACAGGCGTGAGCTATTTTTAATTCTTAATAGAAAATAACCCTGTTATCTAAAGCATGGATTCACTACAAAATAAAGATTAAGGTCCATCAAGGCTTTCTAGTAACACTTATTTAAAAAAAAAAAAAAAAAAGATCAATCAAGGCTAAAAACATTAAAAAGAGAGAGAAGGCAACCAAATTTCCAGGATTATCTCATCCCTTTGCTCGAAACCCTTTAATATCTTCCTACCTCACTGAGTCAGTCCTACAGGCCATTTCTTACTATTCTCTTTCCTCTTCTACTCCAGCCACACTGGGCACCCTGCTGTCCCTCAAACATGCAAGTACAGTCCTCCATTGTTTAATAACCAGGACGGATTCTGAGAAATGTGTAATTAGGCAATTTCGTCATTGTGTGAACATCATGGAATGTATTTAAACACACCTAGATGGTACGGCCTACTACACACCTAAGCTATATAGTCTATTTGCTCCTAGGCTACAAACCTGTACAGGATGTTACTCCACTGAATACCGTAGGCAACTTTAACACAATGAAGTATTTGTATATCTAAACACAGCTAAACATTAAAAAGTTACCAAAAAAAGGTATTATATATAAGACCATTGTTAAAGATAGAAATGTCATTTGGCGCCTGACTGTATACTACTCCTCACCTCAGGGCTGTGCTGTTTCCCTCTACCACGAATGCTCTTCTTAAATACGGCTCACTTCATCTCCTTCTGATACCTGCTTAAATCTCATCTTCTCAAAATGGCCTTGTCTGACCAACTTATTAAAATAGTATCCCAACTACAAGTCACTGTTATTTTTTTCCTAGTTGTCCGTCTTCCCCCCAATAGAATATAAACTATAAAAGGAAGAGGCCTTTGTTTTATGCGCTGCTCTATCTCCAGACCCTAGAACAGTAGCAGGCTCTCATAAGAATATGCAGAACAAGATGTTGCACAAAGACAACACATATATATATGTCTCCAATTAAAACTTTTGTCACGGATAACAAAAAAAGCTAAGAAAACAGTTTGAAACCCTGCACGCTCTGCTACTTAGAATGAAATAACTATGCTTTAGAAGGAAATGTTTCATTTAAAAAAAATACACTAACAAATGTCTGGATTCCCTAAAGACAAACATTAATGCTAAGTGCATGCATGCTGCAATTCTGCTGGTACAAAATGCTCTGGTTTATCACAAAAGATCTTCACTAAGCCATTTTCCCAGGAACCACGAAATTCTAGCTAAAGATTCTTAAGGAAAAATAGAGGCAAAATTAACATATTAGTGATATATCGTGATTAGGAAACACACAATATTTCCTACTAGTTGAAACTTCATAGCACCAAGCAAGATAACCGGAAATCGGATCGGGAGTGTCTGCCTCACGGAGACACTGGGAGAGAAAAAGTCCTCAAAGAACTGCACCTCCTTTTCTTGGCGCCAGGCTGGCTACGAGGACTCAGTCCGGAGATGCAGCGGGGTGTGTGGGGTTTGGCAGGAAGAGGCCCGGACTGCGAGTTAGGGGTGTGCCCAGGCCACCTTCCTCTCCCACTGATTTTCTCTCAAGAGAAAACGGAAAGTTGCCTGCGCCTCCTACCCGCTCCCAAAAAGGCCGGGGGAGGGTTGCTGAGGGTAGACCCCTCCCCTTCGCCAAGGCAGGCCTCGGCCCCAGCAGCGCTCCCCAGTTTCCAGCTCACCCGGCTCCCGGTTGATCTCGATGTCGAAGTGGCACTGCGGCCGGTCCTGCGCCCCCATCGCGACCGAGGTGGCGGCAAGAGCTGGGAGAGAGGGGGAGAAAAGCGGTCAGGGCAGGGGCGAGGGCGGGGGCGAGGGCAGGGGCGAGGGCGGGGCTGAGACGAAGTCCGCGCCACGGTGCCTCACGCCGGCCCGTCGCGACAGCGCAGGAGGCCAAGACGAGGCCCCCTCCCGCCCCGGGCCTCGCGGCTCCCACGCAGCGCGCACGCATGCGGGCGAGCTCTTCACCTGGCTGGCCTCCAGCCTGAGCGGGTCCCCGTGAGCAGAAGAGAAAGCACTGCCACTGCAGCCAAACCCCAACGCCGCTAACGGAACGCCGTCTCCTCCCCCAGGCCGGGCCTCCCAATGCCACGCTAAACCCCGCGAGAGTCGGGACAAATACCGCGAGAGTACAGTCTAGATGGGGGTGGTCAACCGAAGGTGGCGGCAGCGGGGGCGTACGCACGGGGGCGTACGCACGGGGGCGTGTCTGGGGAGCTCTCGAGGAGCCTCCAGCCAGCGCTCCTATACCTGCGCGTTCCCTGTTTGCCCCCCCCTTTGAAGTCAGTCGCCCAATCTGAAAGCCGTGGATGCGCCTGCGCCCTCCATCTCGTCAGGTGTGGCTGTGAGCGCCGCGCATTTTCCGATACCGCGAGACTTCTCTGTTTCCGAGCGCTGTGAAGGAACTGAGTGAATTGAGGCTTTGAGTTTTCGTTAGCCAAGACGTTGTGTTGCTCTGTGTTCTTTTTGGCCGGGAGTGGTTATGTCCGTGTCCTACTGTTAGGTCTTTTAGGCTGAAGAATGCGTTCCTTCCCGCTTTGGCACCAGCGTCACTGGCACCGTTTTTGTCCTGTGCTTACTGACCATTCTGCATCTTTTGTGAAGTTTCAGTTCCAGTCTTCTGCCCGTTTTTAAATCTGGTCCTTCGTGTTTAACAGTTCTGGATACAAATGTTTTGTTAGATATATGTATGCTCTGAATGAAAATCTTTTGTTACATAAATGATTGCGAAGTCTTTTTCCCAATCTGGGCCTGTCGTTTCATTGTTTTGACGTTTTTGGCAAAGAAGTTTTTAATTCTGATTAAGTCAATTGGTCAGTTTTATATTTTAATGGTTTGTGCTTTTCCTGTGCTAGGAAATCTCTGCCTACCTCAAGTTCTTGAAGATATTCTGTGTTCTCATATATGTTTTACATAGTCTTTAACGTGTAAGTCTATGATATGATCTAATATCATTAATTTTTGCTTATGTTGTCAAGTAAGTGTCAACATTTTCCTATTGGGATATACAGTCGTTCCATTACCGTTTGTTGAAAAGACTCTTTTTTTTTTTTTTGAGACGGAGTCTCGCTCTGTCGCCCAGGCTGGAGTGCAGTGGCGGGATCTCGGCTCACTGCAAGCTCCGCCTCCCGGGTTCACGCCATTCTCCTGCCTCAGCCTCCCAAGTAGCTGGGACTACAGGCGCCCGCCACTACGCCCGGCTAATTTTTTGTATTTTTAGTAGAGACGGGGTTTCACCGTTTTAGCCGGGATGGTCTCGATCTCCTGACCTCGTGATCCGCCCGCCTCGGCCTCCCAAAGTGCTGGGATTACAGGCGTGAGCCACCGCGCCCGGCCTGAAAAGACTCTTATACATTGAATTACCTTCGCCTTGTGACCATATATGTGTGGGTCTGTTTCTGGATTTTTGTTCCAATGATCTGTGTCTGAGTACCACACTATTTTATAAGTTTTTTTTTTAAACTATAAAATACACATTACATGGGCGGGCGTGGTGGCTCATGCCTGTAATCCCAGCACTTTGGGAGGCCGAGGCAGGCGGATCACGAGGTCAGGAGATCGAGACCATCCTGGCTAACACGGTGAAACCCTTTCTCTACTAAAAATACAAAAAATTAGCCGGGCGTGGTGGCGGTCGCCCGTAGTCCCAGCTACTCGGGAGGCTGAGGCAGAAGAATGGCGTGAACCTGGGAGGCAGAGCTTGCAGTGAGCCGAGATCGGTCCACTGCATTCCAGCCTGGGTGACAGAGCGAGACTCCGTCTCAAACAAAAAAAATCTATCTATAGATCTATAGATCTACAGATATCTAGATATCTATAGATCTATAGATATATATACACATTATGTGAAAGTTGCCATTTTAACCATTTTTAAGTGTACAGTTCGCTGGCATTAACTGTATTTCACACGGTTGTACAACCCTCAGTACCTCCCATCCGTCCACAGAACATTTTCCATCTTGCAAAACTGAAACTCTGTATTATTAAACAGTAACTCCCCATTTCCCTCTTTTCCCAAGTTCCTGGCAGCCACCCTTCTACTTTCTCTCTGTAAATTTGTCTACTCTAGTATTTGTCTACTCATATGTGAGTAAAATCATGTAATATTTGTTCTTGTAGGCTAGGTGCGGTGGCTCACACCTGTAATCCCTGCACTCTGGGAGGCTGAGGCGGGTGGATCACATGAGGTCAGGAGTTCGAGACCAGCCTGGCCAACATGATGAAACGCCGTCTCTACTAAAAATACAAAAAATTAGCAGGGCGTGGTGGCAGGCACCTGTAATCCCAGCTACTCAGGAGGCTGACGCAGGAGAATCACTTGAACCCGGGAGGCAGAGATTGCAGTGAGCCGAGATTGCGCCACTGCACTCCAGCCTGGGTGACAGTGCGAGACTCTGTCTCAAAAAAAAAAAAAAAAAAATTTGTTCTTTTGTAGCTGGGTGATTTCACTCAGCATGTCTTCCATTTCATCCATGTTGTAGCATGTCAGAATTTCCTTTTTTGAGGCTGAATAATATTCCATTGTATGTGTATATCATATTTTGTCTATCCATTCATATGTCAGTGGATATTTAGATTGCTTCTACCTTTTGGCTGTTGTAAATAGTACTGTTATGAATGTGGGTGTACAAATACCTCTTTGAAACCTGCTTTCAATTATTTTGGATATATGCCCAGAAATGGAATCACTGGATCATAAGCTAATTCCATTTAAGATTTTTCCAGGAATTACCATACTGTTTTCCATAGCTGCACTATTTTACATTTCCATCAGCAGTGCACAAAGTTTCCAATTTTTCCACATCATCACCAACACTTGTTATTTTTTGGTTTTCTTTATTGCCATCCTAATGGATGTGAAGTGGCACACTGTTTTAATTAATGTAGTTTTATAGTAAATTTGGAAATTGGGCTCACTTAGATTGGGTGTCCAATCTTTTGGTTTACCTGGGCCACATTGGAAGAATAATTGTCTTCAGCCATACATAAAATACACTAACACTAACAATAGCCAATGAGCTTAAAATTGCAACAAAATCTCATATTTCTTGAAAGTTTATGAGTTTGTGTTGGGCTGCACCCAAAGTTGTCCTGGGCCACATGTGGCCCCTGGGTGGCGGGTTGGACAAGCTTGACTTAGATCATTTCTGACCTGTTTCTGCACCTATGTCACCTTTTTTTTTTTTTTTTTGAGACAAAGTCTCGCTCCGTCGCCCAGGTTGGAGTGCAGTGGCACGATCTTGGCTCACTGCAACCTCTGCCTCCTGAGATCAAGCGATTCCCCTGCCTCAGCCTCCAGTGTAGCTGAGACTACAGGCACACGCCACCACACCTGGCTAATTTTTTTGTATTTTTAGTAGAGACAGGGTTTCACCATGTTGGTCAGGCTGGTCTCGATCTCCTGACCTTGTGATCTGCCCGCGTTGGCCTCCCAAAGTGCTGGGATTACAGGCATGAGTCACTGCACCCAGCCGTCCATGTCACCTTTTTAAAGTACAGTCAAACCTTTGGTACTTCCACACCATCACAGAAGTGCTGTCCTTTGTTAGAGCTTGCCCATTCTACCTCCCTGAGAGTCCAGTGTGTCTATTAGAGGAGCAGTCTGTAGGCTGAATTGAGAAGCTAGCGGTCTTGGGTCTGATTTTGCTGACAATTACAGACTTGAACAGTATGAAATGTACATGCCTTTCTGGAGATGAAATAGTTTGATAAAGCTAACTTTCATACATGGATTCATGAAAGGAAAGGATGGAGACCATTACCCAGCTTTGTAATTACCGTGTTTAGGACATCAGGCTTCAATGTAAATAGGTTTTAGAGCTCAGGAATGAAATATTTAATTTGGGATATACTTAAACAACTTTAAACCTAGAATTCATTCTTATCTTGACATTCCAGCAATTCTCTTCTTTCTGCCACTGGTTATGTGACCTGAGACAAATCACTTTGATCTCTCTGAAGTTTACTTTCTTCATCTGTAAAATAAATGAGATAAAATATCTCCTTTCTAAGGTTCTGCCTCTCTCAAAGATTATTTTATTCTGTCTTGTGATTTGAAATTATATTTTAGATGATTCGAAGATAAAAGTATGCAATTTGGTCTGTGATTAAGGTGAAGAAACTCCTGGGACAAGGCAGGCCTAGGGCTAGTATCAACCAAAATGACTGACACCTCCTCCATCTCTTCCAAGAGTGGTAGAAAGTTGGTATCCAAAGAGTTTACAAACTCAGGCTTAATTTGTCCATGATTTATCATGAAGAAGAACCACTGGTAGTACGAATTTTCAGGTAATGATTCTGGGGTTCAGCCTTTTAGAGTGTGATTATGCCAGCAATTAGAACTTCAGGGGATAGGACTCTGGAAAACCATCAGGAATGCTAGTGGGGAAACAGACAAAATAATTTTCTAGAAAACAGAAATGATCGGCTGGGCGCGGTGGCTTACGCCTGTAATCCCAGCACTCTAGGAGGCTGAGGCAGGTGGATCACCTGAGGTCGTGAGTACGAGACCAGCCTGACCAACATGGAGAAACCCCGTCTCTACTAAAAATACCAAAATTAGCCAGGCATGGTGCCACATGCCTGTAATCCCAGCTACTTGGGAGGCTGAGGCAGGAGAATCACTTGAACCCAGGAGGTAGAGGTTGCAGTGAGCCAAAATTGCACCACTGCACTCCGACAGAGCGAGATTCCGTCTCAAAAAAAAACAAAAACAAAAACAAAACAAAACAAAACCAAAAAAAAGAAGAAAAAGAAAAAAGAAAGAGCCAGAGCCCTCAGCACATTAGTGCTAACATAGATTAACATGTGCCCAGTTCTCAACCACGTTATCTCAGTCTCACAACCTCAGGAGGCAGATGCTATTTTCATTATCCTCACTTTAGAGGTGAGGAAACAGAGCTTTCAGAGGTTAAGGGATAGAGCTGGGATTCAAAATGAGTTATCTCTTCACTATTTACATGTATTTTACAGTTGCCCTAGGTTGCAACCCTTGACTCCAAAAAAAGGAGCAGGGACCTGGGCTTCTAATTTTGGATATACTTACAAGAATCCCTTTGCCTCATCTTTCAGATAAATCTCCAAGAGTGAAAGTTTTTTATAGAATACAGCTAATAAAGTCAGAAAGAATGATAAATTAGAAAATCCTCATTATGTAATCCCTAATGAATTACCACATCAAAGCTGGGTGGATCATAATTTAAGTGAAAGGCTGGTTGGGAACTTAAAAGTCAGGTCACTCCTTATGTGATGCAAAAGCAAGTACTTATCACCTTCTAATATATTCCTGCTAAAAATATTAGAACATGAGTCTGCATGAGCCTCTAGATCTACTAGTTTACAGGAAAAGTGGATGATAGTGGCACATAATTAACAACACTACAGAGATACAACTGTATGTAGAACACGAGAGAATTCTAGGGTAAACACCTAGTTATTTCAACAAATAAAGAAAAAAAGGAACTATTAAGTATTCTTTAAGTGACTTAAAGGAACATCAACAAAATACAACATGTGAATCTTATTTGGATTCTGGTTCAGACAAATCAACAAAAAGACTATCTGATAACTGAAGAAAATTAAACATCATCTATTATCAGATGATATTAGATAATAATTAGAAATCACTATTCATTTTGTTGGCAATGATAATAGTATTGTTTTTATATACTTTATGGTTAAGTCCTCACAGTTATTCTTGAAAACCAAATGGAATACTTATTACATGAAAACTTCTATACCTCCACATCAGTATTTTATAGAAAAATAAGCTTTATTTCAAAGCAATCTGAAAACAGCAGTCAGGGGGACCACATTTACAAACTGATAGGAAGGAGCACACAGTTACATGTCCATTTAGCAAGGTATCAAGTCAGGAATCTCACCAATTCCTGCCCAACACCTACTGAGTTTCCTCTTCAGGTTGAAACTAAAAAGTAGACTTGAACATCCCAGTGATGTCTTTGTTATCCAAACATGCTCCAAGTTCAGGAAAGAGGACACCTGGGCTCAACTTATTGAGGGATTTGCTTAATTATTTAAAAAATATTTACATGAGAATACAGCTAAGTTAGTAGCTTTCTTCACATTTTCACGTTTCGAAAGAGCCACAGAGGTTTCATTCATGTTTTAACCAGTTGAGTTGGTAAAGACCCTGTCTCCATTTTGTAAGAGATGGATTACATTCAATTACTCCTCACGACAGCCAAATGGAAGATTATTCTATTGCTTTTGAAAGATTATTCCATTGCTTTTGAAGTGCTGGTTGGACTGGCATCTGCAATGGTAGCCAAATAAATGAGATTTCTATGTAACACATGCTGGTACCTATGGGCAAAAAAACAGGCAAAAATCAGAGGCTTGTTTTTACCGACCATGAACAAAAAACTGGAAAATAATTTACCCACTCTAGTGGAATGGCTCATCCACTGACTGGATGATTCAGTGTTATCAACCTTCTTGTTTAACATATTTAAGGAAAATATAGTCAGATTCTCACCCATTCTTACTGATTACTTTCATAGCTACTATCATTTCTTGCTTGAACTATTGCAGTAGACACCTAGTCTCCCAGATCTATCTTTGCGCACCTACTTTATTCTCCACATAACAGCCTGAGAGATTACTGTACAATTTAAATCAAAATCATGTTATATGTCTATTCAAAACCTTCCAAAGGCTCCCATCTCATTCAGGTAAAGGTGAGCTGTTCTTGTGTCCTAATAAGGCCCTACATGATGGGGGCCTCCAGTCCCCCTCTGATCTCACCTCTTATGGCTATACCTTTGTTCACTGAATACTGGCCACAGTGGCCTCCTTCTGTGACTTGAAGATATCCGGCACACTCCTACTAGGGGGCTTTTCCACCTGATGCTTTCTCTGTCTTACTTATCTCACTATGCCTTACTACTGCATAGCTGGCTCCCTTACCCCAGGTCTCTACTCAAATATCACCTTATCAGACATACCATGTATAAAATAGCACTCCTCCCCCCACTTACTCTGCTTTATTCTTATTCAAAGCACTTATTATTATGTGCCTAATTATACATTTCCTTATAGATTCTAGAGTCTAGAATGTCAGCTCTGTGAGTGCAGAGCTGGTATCTGTTTTACTATGGATTTCCCAGAGTCTGAAACAGTGCCTGGTACCAGGAGTACAATTGTCCCTTGGTATCCACAGAGGATTGGTTCCAGGACACCTCCCTCCTCCCCTTAGATATCAAAATCTGAGGATGCTCGAGCTCAAGTCCCTTATAAAAAATGGCATAGTATTTGTATATAACCTACACACAGCCTTCCATATCATATACTTTAATTTATTTATTTATTGAGACGGAGTCTTGCTCTGTCACCCAGGCTAGAGTGCAGTGGCGTGATCTTGGCTCACTGCAACCTCCACCTCCTGGGTTCAAGCAATTCTCCTGCCTCGGCCTCCCAAGTAGCTGGGATTACAGGCACACACCACGCCTGGCTAATTTTTGTATTTTTAGTTTTTAGTAGAGATGGGGTTTTGCCATGTTGGCCAGGCTGGTATTGAACTCCTGACCTCAGATGATCTGCCCGCCTCAGCCTCCCACTGTAATGCCACAGTACTGGGATTACAGGGATGAGCCACCACACCTGGCTCACAGTTTAAATAATCTCTAGATTACTTATAATAACTAATACAACTTAAATGCCATATAAATAGTTGTTATACTGTATTTTTTTTATTGTTGTGTTGCTATTTTTCATTGTTTTGTGCTCCCCAATATTTTTGAAATGCAATGCAGAACCCATGGATACAGAGGACCAACTGTACTTATAAAATATCTGTTCAACAACTTCAAGAAGGGACAAAACATTTTCATGATCAACATAAGTTTACGGTGGGGGGGGTAGAGTTCTTCACCCAAAAAAATAAATCAGACAAGGGCTCAGAAAGCATGGCCTGTGCAATTGAAAAACCCCACTAGGAGATTTTGATAACTTTCTTACCCTTGGGTTGAGAATTACTGTACCAAATGGAATGTTTTGCAACCATTTTTCATATAGAAAAAGGAGAAGGTATTTACCATAAACTTTTAAAAATCAAATTACCAAATGCCAGAGTCAGATGTAAAGATTTACCCAAAAACTGATATCTCTACTATTCTATTAAGGTATTCAGTGAGGGACTGTAGGTAATTTTTCTAGGGGGTAGGGATTGTGAAACATTTCTTCAGTAACAATGAAATAATATATTTTTCTATAAGAAATGGGCATAAGGTCGGCCGTGGTGGCTCATGCCTGTAATTCCAACACTTTGGGAGGTCGAGGTGGGTGGATCATCTGAGGTCAGGAGTTTGAGACCAGTCTGGCCAACATGGTGAAACCCTGTCTCTACTACAAATATAAAAATTAGCAGGGCGTGGTGGCACACGCCTGTAGTCCCAGCTACTCAGAGGCTGAGGCACGAGAATTGCTTGAACCTCAGAGGTGGAGGTTGCAGTGAGCCGAGATTGCACCACTGCACTCCAGCCTGGGTGACAGAGGGAGACTGTCTCAAAAAGAAAAAAAAAAAGAAAAGAAAAAAATGGGCGTAATACCTGGACTAGATTCGGAAAAGAGACTCAGACTCTATTTTCTCTCATTTTGGTATCTACTTAGGGAGTGCATTAAATTATTATGCACAATTTACCTTTGACTTAACTTGTAAATCCTTTGTTTGTCTTTGTGTGTGTGTCACTAACAGACTGACGGGAAGTTAGAAATGAGAGGAAGCTTAGCAGTCAAATGGCCTGACCCCTTCACTTAACAGAGAAAGGATGAGGCAGGGATCCAAGATGAGAAAGGGGCCATGGCTCTAATCTCCTGAGCTTAGTTTTCTGTGTGCTCTCACCCCCATCCCTGTTGTCATCAGCCGGCATAGCTTTGAGTGAAGGAGGCTTTGCAGTGAGAATAATTCACATTTTGAAGAAAGAGCCACGTCTGACTCCAGGCTCCGCAGTGTACTCGTTGTATGGTCTTGGGCAGGTTGGCAAACTCTTTGAGCCTCTCTTTCCTCAGTTCAAAGAGGGGCTTAACTGCGATCAATCACCCAAGACTCTTAGTTCGAGAAAGCACCGCATCACACAGGCTTCCCCTCTACCCACAGGTCAGGGGCGCGGGGGTGGGGGTACTTACTGCACGCACTCGTTCCCGCGGCCCTTGTTCTGATACTCCACAATACAGCGGATCAGCTGGTCATTCTCCTCAAGGAGCTGAAAGATCAGAGAAAGAAAGGGTCAGTGCAGGCCGGGCGCAGTGGCTCACGCCTGTAACCCCGGCCCTTTGGGAGGCCGATCTAGGCGGATCACGAGGTCAGGAGTTCGAGACTAGCCTGGCCAACATGGGGAAACCCCATACTAAAAATACAAAAATTAGCCGGGAGTGGCGTCGCGCTCCTGTAATCCCAGCTACTCAGGAGGCTGAGGCAGGAGACTCGCTTGAAGCCAGGAAGCGGTGGTTTCAGTGAGCCAAGATGCACCACTGCACTCCAGCCTGGGCGACAGAGCGGGACTCCGTCTCAAAAAAAAAAAAAAAAGGAGAGAAAGGGTTAGTGCAGTGTGACGTCTGGACGGCGGGGGACCGAACCCCATGCCGGGGTCCTGCCCCGGCGCCTGTGCTGATTTCGTGCCCATCTCACCCCGCACCCCGGCTGCTCAGCACCCTTCACAGTCAGCTGGGAGGCCGCTCACTACAGGATGCTTCTCGCACCCCGCAGCCCCTCGGGATCCCGACTTCTCTCCGCCCGCCCGCCCGCCCGCGTGGATGCTCACCCGCTGGATAGTCTCTTGATTGACTTCCGCCTTGCCCCTCAGCCAGTCCGGTACGAAGGCCACCGACATCCCGAGGAACCTCCGGAACCACGACCGCCAAGCAACTCGACCCACGATAGGTGGGGCCTACGCTCTCGAAGTTGATTGGATGCTCCCGCCTACAGGGCGGGGTACAGAAGGGACGTCATTTGTGACTGGACGCGCAAGAGCTATACTCAGCGCTTTCCTCGGTCCCAGCCCCCAGAACGCCGGGGGCGTTTTCGTATCCTTTGCGCTTGCGCAGTCTGGAGAGCGAAACTTGTGGGTTGGGGCTGGGTCTACTGCTGACCTACCTGGCGTCAGCACCTCCAGTGTTAGGCTGTGCATGCTTTTTTTTTTTTTGAGATGGAGTCTCGCTCTGTCGCCCAGGCTGGAGTGCAGTGGCGCATCTCAGCTCACTGCAAGCTCCGCCTCCTGGGACTACAGGCGCCCGCCACCACGCCCGTCTAATTTTTTGTATTAGTAGAGACGGGGTTTCACCATATTAGCCAGGATGGTCTCGGTCTCCTGACCTCGTGATCCGCCCGCCTCGGCCTCCCAAAGTGCTGGGTGTGCATACTCAATCTATCTGCAGGAGCGGTTTGCTCGGCTTCACCCAGCGTGTCTGGCACCCAGATACATGGCTTCAGATCCATTGTCCTCTCTACATCACTCTGTGCCTCCAGGTCTGCATCTGGAGCATGAACATTGGCTATGGCATTGTCTCCTGCCAGGCCAAATCTGCAGGCCAGGAAAACTCTGGTATTAGCTTTACTCTTTGCTGAACGAGAAATTCGCGTTTTTCCACATAGCCTGGACTTATTTGGGGCAGGAATAATGCTTATTAGGTTGGCAACCCTAAAAAGCACTGGTATTTTCTCCATTTTACAGATGACGAAACAGGTTAAGTAACTTGCCCAAGGTTCCTTAGCAAAGCCAGTCTCTGAATACGGGCAGCCTGGCTTTAGAACTCTCACCCTTAACAACCCGGGACTGCCCAGGCACCATACCGCAAAGGTGTTGTGCCGCAAGATGCAAGGAGGAAGCTGGACATACCTTCTTGGGCCACATGGTTACTCCTGGTGACCACTGCAACTGAATTGGTTGTAGTCTTCTAGACCAGTGGTCCCCAGCCTTTTTGGCACCAGGAATTGGTTTCGTGGAAGACAATTTTTCTTGTCTTCCACGGAGGTGGGGGTGGTTTTGGTATGAAACTCTTTTACCTCACATCAGCAGGCATTAGATTCTCATTAGGAGCGCGCAACCTAGATCTCTTGCAAGTCCAGTTCACAATAGGGTTCACGCTCCTGTGAGAATCTAATGCTCCCGCTGATCCTAATGCCCCCGCTGATCTGAGGGGGCAGAATGCTCGGCGGTAATGCTTATCCGCCCTCTGCTCACCTCCTGCTATGCGGTACCGGTCCCCTGTTCTAGCCATCCGTGGTGGATGTGGTAACAAGATTCGTTTTCCCTGGAGTGAGCAGCGGCCACTTCATTTAGGAGGGAGATCTTGGGAACCTACACTCCTAAAAAGGGGAGGTCCCTAGAGCTTTATTCCCCTGAGTGGTGGCCCTGATCCTGAGCAAGCTCATCTGCTTTACTGGGCTTTCTCTCCACAATCCCTTTATTCAAACCTGTGAAAAGGCAGCTTTCATCCCATTTCTTTTTTCTTTTTTTTTTGAGACAGAGTCTCGCTCTGTCACCCAGGCTGGAGTGCAGTGGTGTGATCTCGGCTCACTGCAACCTCTGCCTCCCGGGTTCAAGCGATTCTCCTGCCTCAGCCTGCTGAGTAGCTGGAATTACAGGTGCCTGCCACCACACCCGGCTAATTTTTTTTTTTGTATCTTTAGTAGACATGGGGTTTCACCATATTGGTCAGGCTAGTCTTGAACTCCTGACCTCGTGATCCGCCCGCTTCGGCCTCCAAAAGTGCTGGGATTACAGGTGTGAGCTACTGTGCCCGGCCTGCTTTCATCCCATTTCACAGAGAGGTAAACCCGGTGAGAGAAGTGAGGTAACACCTGAGCTGGGGCGGACTCAGGGCTTCCTGGTTACCAAGCCTGCACTGTTAACTCCACATCAGGCTTCCTCCTCAGGAAAATTCCCCAAAGCTTTCAGAGACACAGAGTGGGCAGAAAAGGAAACATCAGGAGCAGGATACAGGTCTTCCGTAGTTCCACTCAGCCCTATTCCTGTTTAGACAAGTGAGGAATGACAATAACATGAGATGGTCCAGACAACAATCCTCCCACCTGTGAAAGCTTCCCTGGGATTATGGGCATGAACCACCATGCCCGGCCTATACTTTTGTTCATAAAGTTTAAGTGACTTGCTTACCAATCTTATGCAAAATTTCATGTAATTTATATAATACTATATAACATAATGCTACATATGGTATGTATATATACACACAAAGATCTGTCCTGGGTATTAAGTATCTTACCTGTAGGCTTTATGTTTATGGCTCTGAAATGGAGGGAACTGGGACATACATGTTTTGAGGAATAAAGTGAAGGGGTTTTTTTGTTGTTGTTGTTTTTTGATACAAAGTCTTATTCTGTTGCCCAAGCTGGAGTGCATTGGTGCAATCTCAGCTCACTGTAACCTCCACCTCCCAGGTTCAAGCAATTCTCCTGCCTCAGCCTCCCGAGTAGTCTGGGACTACAGGCATAAGCCACCATGCCCAGCTAATTTTTTTGTATTTTTAGTAGAGATGGGGTTTCTCTATGTTGGCCAGGCTGGTCTTGAACTCCTGACCTCATGATCTGTCTGCCTCGGCCTCCCAAAGTGCTGGGATTACAGGCGTGAGCCACCGTGCCTGGCCCCGGTTTTTGTTGTTGTTGTTGTTATTGTTGTTTTTGTTTTTGTTTTTTTGAGACAGTTTCACTCTTGTTGCCCAGGCTGGAGTGCAATGGTGCAATCTCGGCTCACTGCAACCTCCACCTCCGGGGTTCCAGCAATTCTCCTGCCTCAGCCTCCCAAGTGGCCAGGATTACAGGCATGCACCACCACGCCCAGCTAATTTTGTGTTTTTGGTAGAGATGGGGGTTTTTACCATGTTGGTCAGGCTGGTCTTGAACTCCTGACCTCAGGTGAACCACCCACCTCAGCCTCCCAAAATGCTAAGATTACAGGTGTGAGCCACAGAGCCTGGCCTAAAGCGAAGGTTTTGAGTGAGGTTTATATAAGGATTTGATTTTTTTTTTTTTTGAGACGGAGTCTCGCTCTGTCGCCCAGGCTGGAGTGCTGTGGCACGATCTCGGCTCACTGCAAGCTCCGCCTCCCAGGTTCATGCCATTCTCCTGCCTCAGCTTCCCCAGTAGCTGGGACTACAGGCGCTCGCCATCACGCCCGGCTAATTTTTTGTATTTTTTTTTTTTCAGTAGAGACGGGGTTCCACTGTGTTAGCCAGGATGGTCTCGATTTCCTGACCTCGTGATCCGCCTGCCTCGGCCTCCCAAAGTGCTGGGATTACAGGCGTGAGCCACCGCACCTGGACTGATTGGTTTTTTAACATCATTAAAGTTTCTATCAGGTAAAAAAAAATGAGATGGTGTTAGGGTGAGGCAGGTGTTATAGGGGACCAACCTGTTCCAGCATACAGGGAAAGACCTCCAGAAGAAAAGGTTTATAAAGGCAGTATAAAGGCAAAGTGGAGGTTAAGCAGGACACAGGTGTCCAGATTCTGTACTCTCCTAGGAGTAATGGGAGCCATGGATGGTTTTAGGCAGAAGAATGATGAAGCCTGAGATGCATTTAGAGTTTTATTGGCTGTAACATGGTGAAAGTTAGGGAAGACGCCCAGATGAGAAACAAAAAGAACAGTGACAAGGCTGCTACAAGCATGCAGGCCAGAGATAGTGGGAGCAATGAGAAAAGAAGTGTGTGCATTTGAAAGACATTAGAAGTAGATTTGGCAGGCCTTAGTGATCAAGTGGGGAGGGAAAGAAAAGGGAAATTAGGGATGCCTTCTGGGGTTCTGGGTTAAGCAACTGAGAAACTGGTGATGCCCCTTATGTAGGCAGGGAACAGTGGGGGAGATGCTGGAATGGAAATGAAGGTGATATATTCAGTTGTGGAAATGTACAGTGTGAGGTGATGTCAAACGATGTTGAGGCTTGTGGCTATTTGGGGCTGAAACTCAGGGACAAAGGCTAGGTTGGAGATACAGCTTTGAGAAACATCACTTGTAGAAACTGACTGGAACTATGTAGTGGATAAGACTGCCTAAGGAGAATGTGATAGTTTCTCTTATGGCAGAGGAAAAGAAGCTGCAATGGAGACTGAGGGGAGAAAGAGACTAGAGATATAGGAAGAGGAAAACCAGGAGAGTGGGGGTTATGGCTTTTTTTTTTTTTTTAAACAGTGACTGAAAAGGACATACAGGACAGCAATGACAAATGCTGTTGAAAGGTCAAGGAAGGGGTGGGTGCAGTGGCTCACACCTGTAATGCCAGCACTTTGGGAGGCCGAGGTAGGCAGATCACTTGAGGTCAGGAGTTTGAGACCAGCCTGGCTAACATGTTGAAACCCTGTCTCTACTAAAAATACAAAAATTAGCCAGGCATGGTGGCACAGGCCTGTAGTCCCAGCTACTTGGGAGGCTGAGGCTGGAGGATCACTTGAATCCGGCAGGCAGAGGTTGCAGTAAGCCTCAGTGCCATTGCACTCCAGCCTGGGTGACAGAGCGAGACTCTGTCTCAACAACAACAACAAAAGAACAAGGAAGAATAAAGACTAGGTCTTTGAGGAGGGCATTTTCAGTGATATGGTGAAACAGGTATCAGAACTGCAGGGGACTGAGAAATAATGAAAGGTGAAGGTGAAGCAATGGAGTGTTCACATATAGACCACTTTTTCCATGAGGTTTGGTTGTAAAGGGGAGAGGGGAAAGAAGGTGGTAGCTGGAAGGAGAGGAGTTGTCTGGAGCTAAGGGACATCACTTTGATGGTTGCTCTTTCTTCAGTAACGGAGGTTCCTGGGAGAGCAAGCGGGGGAGGGGGGGTTGAAGAGTGGGAGATCTGGGGAGCATGCAGGATATTTGGAAGTTGATTTTGGGGGAGAGCTGGAGAGAGAGCTGCCTTGGCAAATAGGAGCGCTGAAAGGTGTTGAGGACCTAGTTGAAGTTGACAATGTATGTAGCACTGATCTGTGTGGTTGTGAGATTTTGTCCAGCAGCACTTAGAGCCAAGAAGCAGATTCAGAGAAGACAGAAGGTTGGATTCTTCCAGGATTGTAGTGCTGCCAGATGGGTGTTACTATCCTTCTAGTTATGCCAGAAAGATAACTGTGCAAGGAATATAAGTATATTGGGAAGAATGTGATGGAGGTGATAAACCCTGAACTCTCAGCTGATGGGGAAGGAAATGAAGACTCGATGGAGCTTATAAATAAAACAAAGTAGAGGGACAAATGAACTGGAAGTTTCTGCAGGCTAGAGAAACCATGAAAGGAATTCAGAGAATAGCAGAAGGACAGATGAAAGATCAGGTGTCTGCATTTATAACTTCAGAGGTGGAGCTCTTCTGTGGTCCAGGGTGTTACCCTAGGAGTGGAGGACTGAAGAGGACTGGAAGAGAAAGACTCTGGAGTTGACTGTGAACCTGGAGCCAAAGTGAACAATGATTGGAGATGAGAGCTAGGACTTTAGGTACTACATCTCACCCCTGTTGTCCAATCTACCATGGTGCCTGAACCACACCAGTTGCACCAGTCAGAGAGTGTAAGGTCCTGTTCTAAAGCACTCGCACCACAAGTTTTGAGAGCCCAATTCCCCATATTTGTTTGTTTGTTTTGTTTTGTTTTGTTTGTTTTTTGAGATGGAGTTTCGCTCTTGTAGGTCAGGCTGGAGTGCAATGGTGCGATCTCGGCTTACTGCAGCCTCCTCCTCCCAGGTTCAAGTGATTCTCCTGCCTCAGCCTCCCAAGTAGCTGGGATCACAGATGTCCACCATCACGCCCGGCTAATTTTTGTAATTTTTCAATAGAGACGGGGTTTTGCCATGTTGGACAGGCTGGTCCCTGACCTCGTGATCCACCCACCTTGGCCTCCCAAAGTGCTGGGATTATAGGTGTGAGCCACCACACCTGGCCCCAATTCCCCATATTTGAAGAGCACTTATGCTACAGGGTTTTCAATTGCCTTTACCAACCCTGAATCTCCTGGTTTTTCTCCTTCTTTGTGCCTGTTATGACCTACCCTCATTATCAGAGACTCATTGTGGGAGGGGACTACACAAGGGTATAAATCCCAGGAGGTGGTGAACCCTGGAGGCTATCTTAGACTGTATCACAATTCTCTTCAGTTTTCATTTTGTAATTTTTCTCTGGCTATGTAAGCCCCACTTCGATTTCCGCCCATATGATGCTGACTTTCAAAAGTCTATGTCCCGGCTAGGCGTGGTGGCTCACGCCTGTAATCCCAGCACTTAGGGAGGCCAAGGCGGGCAGATCACTTGAGGCCAGGATTTCGAGACCAAACTGGCCAATATGGTGAAACCCCCATCTCTACTAAAAATACAAAAATTAGCTGGGCGTGTTGGCAGATGCTTGTAATCCCAGCTACTTGGGAGGCTGAGGCAGAAGAATCACTTGAGCCTGGGAGGCGCAGGTTGCAGTGGGCCGAGATTGTGCCACTAAACTCCAACCTAGGCCACAGAGTGAGACTCAGCCTCAAAAAAAGTCTGTGTTCAGCCCAGACCTCTACATTGACCTGCAACCTGTATATGCACCTGCTGTGTTGACATCTGTATTAGTCAAGGTTCTCCAGAGAGAGAGAACCAATGTGATATCTATATATCTACAATATAGATCTATATCTATAGATATATGGGAGGGGATTTATTAGGGGAACTGGCTCACATAGTTATGGAGGCTGAGAAGTCCCACAATAGACCATCTACAAGCTGGAGAACCAGGGAGGCTGGTAGACTGCTTCAGTTCAAGACTACCCTGTCTTAGACTTGGCCTCAGAACCAGGGAAGCTGAATGGTGTATCTCCCAGTCCAAGGCCCAAGCCGGGAGAACCTGGGGAACCACTGGTACAAGTCTTGGAGTCCAAAGGCTCAATACTTGCTAAATGAATAAATGGACGGACTCTACTACCTAATCTCCTAGAGTTAGGAGATTAGGGGAACGGGGAATTCTGATGCCAAGGGCAGAAGAGGGGTGTCCCAACTCCAGAGTAGAGAATTTGCCTTTCCTCTGCCTTTTTGTTCTATTATGTGGTGCCTGCGCATATTAGATGAGGACAGATCTTCCTTACTCAGTCCATTGACTTAAATGCCAATATCTTCTGGGAACACCCTCATAGACATACCCAGAAGTAATGTTCCCCCAGCTACCTGAGTATCCCTTAACCTAGTCAGGTTGACATCTAAAACTAATCATCGCAAAATCCTAACCAAGTCTCAAAGGTGCCTCAAATTCAACTTGTCTAAGATGGAGCTCAAGATCAATCTTATCTCCTCTTCCAGTGTTCTCCATATCTGTGAATCCCTGCACCATCCATCCATTTATCCAAGGCTGAACAGTGGCATCATCCTTGAAGCTGCTTCATCGCCCCTTCACATCCAACTCATCACCAAGTCCTATTGATTTTGCTCCTACATTTCTCTGCAGCCTTCTTAGATCTCTTTTTCTTCACTCTCACCCTAGTCCACACTCCAGCTCCATTCTCTCTTGCCCAGATGACTGCACTGGCTCCCAGGCCAGTCCCACCATAGCTCTGTTGAGACTTCTCCATTTTGATCTGCACTTTAGCAGCCAAAGTGAGTTTTATAAAATGCAATTTTGACCAGTGTTCTATGGTCCTAAACTTTCCACTATGGTCCATAAAATCCTACATGGTCCTGCCCCTTCTATTCGCTCTAGTGGATCTCACTCCACTCCTTTATTCTCTAAACTCTGAGTTTCTTTTCTTTTTGTGGTAAAATGTACATAACCATTTTTAAGTGTGCAGATCTGTGGCATTTGGTACATTCACATTGTTGTGTGATCATCACTACTATCCATTTCCAGAACTGTTTCATCTTCTCCAGCTGAAATTCTGTACCTATTAAGCACTAACTTTCCATTTCCCCCTTTCTGGGTTTCTTTTCATCCCTCAAAGGAGCTCTGCTGCCTTCCACAGAGTTCTTATATACATGCTAATCTCTCCATCTGAAACACACTTCCTCTCCCCTTTGCCTAGTTAGCCTCCTGTGATTCCCAACACCAGCCTAGAAGCTTCTGTAAATTCTCCCAAAACCCCTGCTCCTCCCTGAAGAGCAGTTTGTATTTATACAGGTGTTTGATTGTTTGAAGGGTGCTCTCACCCTGCCTCCTCTCTTAACATAGTTTTTCGTGTCAGGAATTCCTCGCTTTGTCCACAACCCCTGGCACATAGCAGGTGCTCAATACTTGCTAAATGAATAAATGGACGGACTCTGCTACCTACCTAATCTCCTTCCAGCCAGTCATCCATCTGTGGGTGCCTCGGTCCCCAGCTTGGGGTGTGTCCCCCTGGGTCGGACTTTGGCGCCCCATCCAGGCTGGCAGTAGGTTGTGCTCTTTGGTTTGCCTATCTCGGGCCTCCCGCCCAGCCGCGCGGACCGCAGAACATACGCCCCGGGCGTTATCACTCTGTCACGCGGAGCCTCCCCGCCTCCAGACGTCAGTCCGGTTGCTACCCCGGCAGGAATCGAGCTTAGATCACGAAGGCTCCTTCTCACCTCCGGACGTGAGAATTACAGGCTTGGATCTCAAACCGCCGCGGTGAGAGCCGGGAGGTGGGAAGAAAGTTGGGAGGCGCGCGCCCCCGTCACACTCCCTCTCCGTTTGGGTCGCAGCCCTTTAAGAACCACTACGTTCGCGCCTTCGCCGGGACGGGGGCTGTGGAGGCGCGCCGGGATTGGTCGGTTTGGGTGCGGGTGTCGCTTAGCAGCAGCGAATGCGGGGTAGGGGGGAGGTGGGGTGGCTCAAGACTCGCGCACGCGCACCACGGCCTACCTGCGCCTGGGCTGCCGGTGACCTGGGCCGAGCCCTCCCGGTCGGCTAAGATTGCTGAGGAGGCGGCGGGTAGCTGGCAGGCGCCGACTTCCGAAGGCCGCCGTCCGGGCGAGGTGAGGGCTGGCGGGCGGAGGCGGGTGCCGCGGCCCGTTAGCCAAGAGCAGGCGGGTTAGGGTGTGGCGCAGGGCGGGCCCAGAGGTGGAGGCGGCCCAGGGCCCACCCGGCCCTCAGTCCCGGCCTTGACCATGGGGCTCCCCACGGGGCTTCACTGGGCTTCTTGGAGTCCTCTGTCCCCTTTCTCCCGTCAGCCTGTTCCCGGACCCCGGGGCCACCCAAGGCACGCGCCTGCAGGAACCCTGGGCTGACAGATGGGCGCCAAGGGCTTCTCCCAGTTGGAAGAGATGGGGAGTGAGAAAGGGGACGATTGTTTCTTTAACCATTCACGAAGCTCACGTCAGAGCATTGTTTAATCTGAATAGCAAACTTCCCTTAGCATGCCCGTGTTATTAGACTTTAAATATTGGATACACTGAACCAACTTTTCAGAGCACTAGGTGTAGGACGTTCCATTACAGGTTTTGTGTTCATTACAGATTTACACATGTACCTCCAGAGCCAGAAGGATAAAGCACTCGGGGAAAAATTAGGTTTGTAGAAATAAAAGCCACGGAAGACTATTGCCAGTGTGAAAAGTAATTGGTGAAATTTGTGACATGGTCAGAAAAAAATACAGCTCAGAACCAACATATAGGGTAATATTTAATTACATTTTGCAGAGAAGAGTTGATCCCACTAAAGATAATTTTAGTAAAATGAAAAATGGAAGCAACTGGAAATGGTTTAACGTTGCCAGATAGAATTAAATAAACAAATAGTGTTTCCTCTGGAAAGTACATTTTGGACAATGTTAATAGCTCTGATTTAAGTGTTTGCATTTGCAACAGAAGCCATCTTGGAGTCAGTGTTTTTTATTCTTAGAATAACTTAGAAATCAACTAAATTCAAAAAGTAACATGATCATAGAGAGGACAACCTGACTTCAAGGTAATACAGTGGATAAAGAGCAGTTGTAACAAGTGTAATCTCAGGCTCCTTCCTCTACCAACAGGTCTCTGATTAGCTTATTAGTGCTCTAAGGAGAAGAAATTATTTTAGAGAAAGGGAGTAGCTGTAATTCCCAAAGTTGGATTTGTAGAAGAAGGATGTGGTGGAAAGATCCTAGGCTTTAGAATATTTGAAGTAAGGAAGTCTGGGTTGAATCTAGCTTTACCTCTTGAGCCTTACAGCTGCAGTTTTCCCACCTATCCGGTATAGATTATGTCTACCTTATAGTTACAAGCATTTAATAACATTATCAGTGTAAAAGGTCCTATCAAGTTTAGTTCCCTACCCCTCTTAGTTCCTAACAAATGACGAAACTGACCTCTACCCTCCTCTTCACTCCATCCCCAAGCAACTTGGAGCCTTAATAGAATCTACAGATTTGGTAACCAGTTCTCAAGTCCTGTGGCTGAAGGTGAATTCAGTAAGGGTGGCACAACTCAGTTTTGTCTTCTGTATTGTGTATTTGAGTCTTCTGTATTCTGTATATACTTTATGGTGAACACTTTGTGTTTGAATATTTGTGTGCCAAATGAAGCCTGTTTTGTCTAAATTCCTATTTTGCAAGGTGCAGTCATCTCTCTCTTTCTCTCTGTTTTTCTCTTTCTTTCTGTCTCTCTCAGCCTCTCTCTCTCTCAGTGCATGTGGTAGGGGCTTGAGGAGGGGTTAAGGGTAAAAGGTGGAAGAAAAAACAGGATCAAGGGTAGCCTGCAGCATAGGCATAAAGTCTTTGTTAATAGAACAGAGATAATCTATGACATGAGCAGTTTATAAACAGATGCTGGGAAGAAGATTTAGGAAATAAGGGAGGCAAATTAAAATATGTTTTTATAAAACCTAGTAACACGGATGCTGTGTATTTGATTACTACTTCACTCTACTTTTAGACAAATTTCATCTGTATAAACCTTTCTCTTTTTCTCTCCAAATACAGATTTATTGTGGAAAAGTGTTCAAACTGTAGATCAGAACTATGGCAAGGGATCTGTAAACCTGCATTTCTTGTTTCAGTGAGCAAAAATAAGGCAGCCCTTAGGTCATTCATTCATTTAACTTAGCAGTGTTTACTGAGTGCTTCCTAATATGTACCAGGCAAGGTGGTAGGTTATGACATCCACTGCCTTGTGGAAGGATCTGGTAAGATCTGGAAGACATTCCAGTGTCTCTTGTATGAACATTCTGAAGCTGCCTTTGTCCTTGTGGAATTGATTTTCTTTTCTTTTCTTTTTTCTTTTCTTTTTTTTTTTTTTGTTTTTTGAGACAGGGTCTCACTTTGTTGCCCAGGCTGGAGTGCGGTGATGCAGTCGCAGCTCACGCAGCCTTGACCTCCTGAGCTCAAGTGATCCTCCCACTTCAGACTCCCAAGTAGCTGGGACCACAGGTGTGTGCCACCATGCCTGGCTTTTTTTTTTTTTTTTTGTAGAGATGGGGTGTCATTGTGTTGCCCAGGCTGGTCTCAAATTCTTGGACTCAAGCAGTCCTCCCGCCTCAGCCTCCCAAAATGCTGGGATGACAGGTATGAGCCACCATGCTCAGCCTGCTTTCCTAGTTTTTTGTTTTGTTTTGTTTTGTTTTGTTTTGAGATGGAGTTTTGCTCTTGTTGCCCAGGCTGGAGTGTGATGGCACAATCTCAGCTGACTGCAACCTCTGCCTCCTGGGTTCAAGTGACTCTCCTGCCTCAGCCTTCTGAATAGCTGGGATTACAGGCATGTACCACCATACCTAGCTAATTTTGTATTTTTAGTAGAGACGGGGTTTCTCCATGTTGGTCAGGCTGTTCTCGAACTCCCGACCTCAGGTGATCCACCTGCCTCTGCCTCCCAAAGTGCTGGGATTACAGGCATGAGCCACTGCACCCAGCCGCTTTCCTGTTTTAAGTTGAATACTAGTTGTCTTTGAGCAGCTTTATTTCAAAGAGTCCTGAGATTATAGTACCTTCCAGTTTAGAAATGTGATGTAGTAAAGGAGCTATTCACTATAAAGTGTGCCCTTCAGTGTTCATGCATAAAACATCAAAATTACAGTTAATTAGCAGATAAGATATTGGTGGGGATATTTAAAAATTATATTTAAACAAAAAAGTATTAGCATAATTTAAGTAACCAGTACATGAGGATCTTAAGTTAATACTTTTTTCCAGCTTTTATTTTAAGATAATTATAGTTGCAGGAATTTGCAAATATAGTACAGAGAAGTCTCATGTACCCTTCACCTAGTTTTCCCCATTGATTACATATTATATAATTCTAGTAAACAGCAACTCCAGGAAATTGATGTTGGTATAAAGTGTGTGTGTGTGTGTGTGTGTGTGTGTGTGTAGTACTGTCACTTTATCGTGTGTAGATTCCTGTAATCATCACCGCAATCAAGATACAGAATTATTCCATCACCAGATGCCTTTGGCTGTTCATTCATAGTCACACCCATTCCCTTCCTCTCTACCATCCCTAACCTCTGACAACTGTTTATCAGCCCTCCATTTCTATAATTTTGTCATTTCAAGAATGTTACGTAAAAGGATGCATATTGTATATAACCTTTTGATACGGGCTTTTTATAACCAAGCATAATGCACTTGAGATCCATTCAAGTTGTTCTGTGTACCAGGACCATAGTTTATTCTTCTTCTTTGCTGAGTAGTATTCCATGGAATGAATATACTGCGGTTTGTTTAACCATTCACTATTTGTAGGACATTTTGGTTGTTTTCAGGTTTGGTTGTTATAAATAAAGCTGCAATGAGCAATTGTACAGAGGTTTTCGTGTAGACACAAATTTTTATTTCTCTGGGATAAATGTCAGGAGTGTGATTGGTAGATTGTACAATAATTGCATGTTTAGTTTTAAAAGAAACTGCCAAACTGTGTTTTGTTTTTGTTTTTTTTTTTGAGATGAAATTTCATTCTGTTGTCCAGGCTGGAGTGCAATGGTGCAGTCTTGGCGCACTGCAACCTCCGCCTCCCAGGTTCAAGTGATTCTCCTGCCTCAGCCTCCCAAGTAGCTGGGATTATAGGTGCCCACCACCATGCCTAGCTAATTTTTGCATTTTTAGTAGAGATGGGGTTTCACCGTGTTGGCCAGGCTGGTCTCGAACCCTTAACCTCAGGTGATCCACTCACCTCAGCCTGCCAAAGTGCTGGGATTACAGGCATGAGCCACTGCGCCTGGCCCAGACTTTTCTAGAGTATACCATTTTACAGTCCAGTAATGCATGAGAGATCCAGTTTGTCTCCATGCTTGCCAGTGTTTGATACTGTCACTATTTATCATTTTAGCTGTTCTGATGGGTAGGTAGTATTATCTCATTGGGGTCTCAAGTTGCATTTTCATAATAGCTCAATATCTTTTCATGCTCTGATTTGCCATCCATATATCCTCTTTGTGAAATGTCTGTATGTGTGTTTTTCCCATTTTAAAATTGGATTGTTTGTGTTTTTTCACTGTTGAATTTCAAGAGTTCTTTATACATTCTAGATTTGAGTTGCTTATCAGATATGTGGTTTACAGATATTTTCTCCCAATTTCTAGCTTGTCTTTTCATCCTCTTCACATGGGCTTTCCTAGAGAAGCAAAATTGAAAAGTGTTCAATTTTGTTGCAGTCCAGTTTTCCGAATTATCTTATGGATTATGCTTTTGGTGTCATATCTAAGAGCTCCTCACCAAGTCATAGGTCCTGAAGATTTCCTCCTATGTTTTCTTCCAGTTTTATAGTTTTATTTTTCATATTTATATCTATGATAAATTTTTAGTTAATTTTTATGTAAGATGTGAGGTTTAGGTCAAGATTCTTTCTTTTTACTCCCGGCACTATTTATAGAAAAGACTACCCTTCCTCCCTTAAATTACTTTTGCACTTTGTAAAAAATCAGTTAGATATACTTATGTAAGTATATTTTTGGGTTCTGTATTCTGTTTCATTGATCTATGTCTATTCCTCCAACAATACCACACAATCTTGATTACTATAGCTATATAATAAGTCTTGAAGTAGGATAGCATGGTTTTTCCTATTTTATTCTTTTTTCAGAATTGCTTTAGCTATTTTAGTTTCTTTGCCTTTTCATACGCATTTTAGAATAATCTTATCTATAGCCACAAACTCGCTTGCTTATTTTTTTTTTTCAGTAGTTGTATTAAACCTGTATATCAGTTTGGGGGAGAATTGACATCTTTGCTTTGTTGACTCTTCCAATCCATAAAACATGATATATCTCCCCATTTATTTAGCACTTTGATTTCAGGAATATTTTGTAGTTTTCAGCATACAAGTTCTGTATATGTTTTGTTAGATTTATATCTAAGTATTTTATTTAAAAAATTATAGCTTTATTGATATTATTTTTTAGAGTGATTATAAATGGTATTTAAATTTTGGTTTCTATATGTTCATTGTTCGTATATAGAAATGTAATTTTTTTTAGATGAAGTATCACTCTGTCCAAAGGACCAACTTTTTGTTTCATTGATTTTTCTCTGTTTTTAAAATTTTCCATTTCATTGATTTCTATCCTATTATTTCCTTCCATGTTTGTGATTTAAGTTTATTTTGCTCTTCTTCTAATTTCTTGACTTGTGAGCTTAAATTACTGTTTTGAGACTTTTCTTCTTTTGGAATGTAAGCATTTAGTGCTATGGATTTCCCTCTCGGTACTGTTTTAGCTGTGTGACACAAATTTTGATATATTTTCATTTTCATCTAGTTCAATGTATTTTTTTAATTTCCTTTATATTTCCTTTTTAACTTACGGATTGTTTTAAAGTGTGTGTTTAATTTTCAAGTGTTTGGAGGTTTTCTTTACCTTTCTGTTATTAATTTATAATTTGATTACACTGTGGTCATATAACACACTTTGTATAAATTATTTTAAATTTATTGAGTTTTGTCTTATAGTCCAGGATATGGTCTATCTTGGTAGACATTCTGTGGTTTCTTGACTTAAACTCCTGTCCTCAGCAATCCTCCCACCTCGGCCTCCCAGAGGGCTGAGATTACAGGTATGAGCCATTGTGTCCAGCCTATTCTGTGGGGTCTTCAAAGGAATTCTTCTGTTGTTGGATGCAATATTATAAATCATGATTATATCCTTTAGTTGATAGTGTTTTCTAGTTCTTTTTGTAAATCTTTGCTGATTTCTGTTTACTTGTCTTATCAATTTTTGAGGTGCAGTTGATTGAAGTCTCCAGCTATAACTATGGATTTGTCTGTTCCTCCTTTCACTTTATGAGTTTTTGCTTCACTTATTTACATCTTTGAAGTTTGGTGCAAACACATTCAGGATTATTATGCCTTCTTAGTGGACTTATTCTTTTATCATTATGTAATATCCTTCTTTGTTCCTGGACATTTTCTTCACTCTGAAGTCTATCTGATGATAATATAACTCTTGCTTCTTTTGATTAATGTTTGCATGCTATATTTTTTCCATCCATTTACTTTCAACCTACCTATATTGTTATACTGGAAGTGAATTTCATGTAGATAGTATATAATTGGGTCATGTCTTTTATCTACTGTCAGTCTCTGTTTTGGCAATTGTCATATTTAGACCATTTACATTTAATGTAATCATTGATATATATTAGGGAATAAGTCTGCCCTTTTTTGTTTTGTGTTTGTTCTGTTTGTTGTTGCCATTGTTGTTATTTCTCTGTTTTCTTTTCCTTGACTTCTTGTGGGTAATTTGAACATTTTAAAATAATTACATTTTAGGCCAGGCCTAGTGGCTCATGCCTGTAATCCCAGTACTTTGGGAAGCTGAGATGGGAGGATTGCTTGAGACCAGGAATTCAAGACCAGCTGTGGCAACATAGCAAGATCCTGTCTGTACAAAATATATCTTTTAAAAAATTAGCTGGGTATAACGGTACATGTCTGTAGTCCCAGCTACTTGGGAGGCTGAGGCAGAAGGATCACTTGAGTCTTGAGGCTGAGGCAGAAGGATGACTTGAGGTTGAGGCAGCAGTGAGCCATGATTGTGTCACTGCGTTCCAGACTGGGTGACAGAGTGAGACCCTGTCTCAAAAAATAATAATTTCATTTTATAATCTATAGTGTTTTTTAGTATATCTCTTTGTATAGTTTTTAGTGGGGTGTATATGTGTTTGTGTGTGAGTATGTGTATGACTTGTTGTGGTCTCCTGATGTGTTTTACTATTTCAAATGAAATGTAGAAACTTTACCTCCTTTTATGTCTTTGAACCCTCCCATTTATAATTGTCTTAAATAGTTCCTTTACGTATGTTGAGAACCACATGAGACATAATTATTGCTTCATTCACCGAACATAATTTAGAAAACTCATGAGAGAATAATCTGTCATATTTTTAAAAGTTTTTACCCTTTCTGTTGTTCTTTCTTTCTTCCTGATATTCCAGGATTTCTTCTTTTATCATTTCCTTTCTGTTTAGAGAACTTCTTGACAAATTCCTTTAATGTTCCTTCATCTAAGTATGCTTTAATTTTTCTTTTATTCCTTTTTTTTTTTTTTTTTTTGAGACAGGGTCTTGCTATGTTGCCTAGGCTGGACTTGAACTCCTGGGGCTCAAGCAGTATAGCTGGGACTACAGACACATGCCACTGCACCTGGCTGCTTGAAGGATATTTTTGCTGAATACAGGATTCTGGGTTGGCAGTTCTTTTCTTTTAGTATTTGAAAAATGTGCTACTTCCTTTTGGCCTCCATGTTTTCTATGAGAAATTTGCTGTCATTTGAATTGTTTTCCCCTTATAGGTAAGGTTATTATTTTTCTCTTGCTGCTTTCAAGATTTTTTCTTTGTCTTTAGTTTTCATAAGTTGGGCTTCTGTCTGTGTGCTGGCATGGGTTTCTGGGTTTATCCTTTCTGGGATTTGTTCAGTTTCTTTGAATCTCTGGGCTTATGTCTTTTGCACAGTTTGGGAAATATTCAGAAATTATTTCTTTGAATACTTTTTCAGCCCTGTCTTCTTTCTTTTGTCCTCCAGGACTCAAGTAACATGAATAGTTGGTCATTTTTTAGAGTCTCACAGGTCTCCAAGTCTCTGTGAAATATTTTTCAATCTAGTTCCTCTCATATTGTTCAGATTGAGTAATTTCTATGTTCTGTCTTAATGTTTACTCATTCATTCTTCTCCTCCCCCCCATATTTCTATTGAGTCCATCCATTGCATTTTTTACTTTAGTTAATTAATTACTTTATTTATTTTCATACAGATGGGGGTCTCATTATGTTGCCCAGGCTGGTCTCAAACTCCTGGTCTCAGGTGATCCTCTTGCCTTGGCCTCCCAAAGCATTAGGATTATAGATGTAAGCCACTGCACCTGGCCTCAGTTTTGTTTTTTGTTTTTTTGTTTTTGACGGAGTCTCGCTCTGTAGCCCAGGATGGAGTGCAGTGGTGTGATCTTGGCTCACTGCCATCTCAGCCTCCCGGATTCAAGCGATTCTCCTGCCTCAGCCTCCCAAGTATCTGAGACTACAGGTGTGTGCCACCATGCCCGGCTAATTTTTGTATTTTTAATAGAGACGAGGTTTTACTGTGTTGGCCAGGCTGTCTCGAACTCCTGACCTCAAGTGACCCACCTGCCTTGGCCTACCAAAGTGCCAGGATTACAGGCATGAGCCATCGTGCCTGGCCTCCTCGGTTTATTTTTAATTCTAGAATCTCCATTTAGTTTTTATATCTTCTGTTTCTTTACTGAGAGTTTTTATTTTTCATTTTTTAAAAGTGGCTGGGTGTGGTGGCTCACCCCTATAATCCCGCCACTTTGAGAGGCCGAGGTGGGAGGATCACATGAGCCTGAGAGTTCAAGATGAGCCTGAGCAACATAGCGAGACCCTGTGTCTACAGAAAAAAAAAGTAGTGGTGTGTGCCTGTATTCCCAGCTATTCAGAATGCTAAGGTGGAAGGATTGCTTGAGCCCTGGAGATCGAGGCTGCAGTGAGCCATGATTGCACTGCTGTATTCTAGCCTGGGAAACAGTTTATAATTGACCATTGAAGCATTTTTATGGTGGCTGTTTTAAACTCTTTGTTAGATAATTCTAATATCTCTGTCATCTTGATGTTGCCATCAATTAATGTCTCTTCTCATTGAAGCTGAGGTTTTTCTGGTTCTTAGTATAGCCAGTGATTTTCTATTGAAACTTACATTTTGGATGTTTTGAGATCTGAATCTTACTAAAATCTTCTGTTTTAGCTGGCCCTTCTGAACACCACTCCAGCAGGGGAAGCAAGGGACTGTCTTATTACTGCCCAATGGAAGTAGAAGTCCAGGTTCCCTACGTGGCCTCTGTTAACACCCTGGGGGAAAGGGGCTGCTCATCATTGCCTGGGAGAGATAGGAATTCTGTCTACCCAGTGACACAGTGGGAGAGAATGGCTCATTACTGCCCTCTAGCCCCCTACTTGGCCTTCTCTGATGCTACCCCGGCAGGATGGGAGGTGGAGAATGGGGCACTTCATTACTGTAGGGCAGTGGTGGAAGTCTAGGCTCTTCACTTGGCCTTCGTTGGCAGGTGTGTGGTAGCTACAGTTTTTTTGTGATGTTTGGCTGGAGTAGAGCAGTTTTTTACCTGCAAGTTTTTTGTTTTGCTATGCATTACCTTTTCTAGTTTTTTTGACTGGAGAGAACAAAGTTTTTTTGGCTTTTTTTTTTTTTTTGGTCTGTACCCATTGGCATTTCTTGCTAGCTTCTCCACCACTCAGTCTGTGATATGTGAGACAAACAAACAAACAAATAAGAAAAAACAAACTCAGCAGACTCACAGCTGTGTCATTCCTCAGACCCCAAGGTCCCTAGCCAGTCTTCTTCCTTCTCCACCTTTCAGAATTTTTATTTTTATTTTTGAGACAGGGTCTCACTCTGTCACCTAGGTTGGAGTGCAGTGACACAATCTCAGCTCACTGTAACCTCTCCCTCCCGGATTCAAGCGATTCTCGTGCCTCAGCCTCCTGAGTAGCTGGGATTACAGGTGTGTGCCACCACGCCCGGCTAATTTTTGTATTTTTAGTAGAGACGGGGTTTCGCCATGTTGGCCAGGCTGGTCAGAATTTTTAAATGTTTATTTTATATATAATGTCCAGGGTATTTCAAGGGAGAAGTAGGGAAAAGTACTTCTACTTCATCTTTCCAGAAGCAGAAGTTCATTCTGTTTTGAGCAGTGGTCAGATCTCTTATTTGAGTACAGGCTGTCTCATAATAGCTCATAACCTGAATTCACAAATATCAAATCCCTGTAAAGATAAGCCCCTTCCTTTTTGTATTATTATTTTTCCATCTTTTAGAATACAAAGTATATTTTTACAAAGGAAAATAATGTCAAGGATGTTGTCTTCATTCTTATACTCTTCCGTGGCAGCCTATAAAATCTTTTAACCCTTCAGGCAGCTGCCATCCTGTACATTCACATACACTCACAAATACACACAAACAAGTTAGTATCACAGTGTCATCTTCATTAAACCATCACAAATATTTAAAAAAGACTTTTAAAAAATAGATGTGAGTTTCACTAGTTTGCAGTACTAGTAACTTGATAGAACTGAAAAACAAGAGGGGTATTTATTTATCTTGAATACTAATATTTGAGGAAAAGCAAGTTTGATCACCAAAGGATAGGATGGAGAAGTAGAGAACCTGGAGGGGTCATTTGGGTCCTTTAGAGAGTGGTAAAACTAGTTCTTCTGATTACCATCGCTTGGAAATGTCACCCTTTTCTTTTTTATTGGCTTAAGATAATACCTGGCATAAGGTAGATGCTCCATAAAGACAGAACTACAGAGGATGTTTGGAATTGACAGTTGGAGTCAGTGCACACTGCTTTCCTTTAGAGGGGCATACAATTTACTCAGCTCCCAAAAAAGTACCTTTCTTATTTTGCTTTGGGGTGTTTCTGTCCTGTCTCTAACTGTTTTGGTATCTCATTGACTGTCTCTTTTTGGCCTCAATGTCTTCATATCTTGGCTTATGGTTCTTTTTGGAGTTATTGTTGAGAGCCTAAGCCCTGGTCTCAAATTGATCTTGTAGCCTTTCCCTATGTCTGTCAGGGCTTTGTGCCCTATAACTCTTTTTAAAAAATGTTTTAAAATTAAATATTTCAAATACTTACGAAAGTATAGAAGATAGAACAAAAGGAATCCCCTGATTCCTTTTGTGGTGCCTTGAGGTCTCATCATTGGCTAGGCGTCTGCTGTAAAACCCACAGTGTCTTCTGGCAGTTGACCTGGTCCTGCCGTTGGTGCTGCAAACTTAGTAGCTTTTATGTGTGGGTCCTGGGGCTTTTCACATTTTTACTCCCCAATGGAAGGTGTGGAGAAATGGGTCAAATGGACTGTGTAGGATCTGTTGGCTGGTAGCCTAATTTTTCTTTTTGCCTCCTTTGTGTTTTTATATCACTGCAGTTTCTACATGTATATTGTGGTAATAATTATTCATTCATTCATCCATTCCAGACATGGTCTTTATTCTTAGAACTTATATTTTGGTAGTGGAAATGCAAAATCAGTAAAATAGAGAACAAAGAGGTAGGTTTCCTAAGAATTTAAAAGAGGGAGAAAGTACTTCTAGCTGGACAAGTCTGAGAAGGTGGATTTGAGACAGTCTTTGATTTGCATTTGGATATGGAGAGATGAAAGGAGTGGCATTGCAGACACAAGTGAAGAATGCATAGAGGTACAGAGATGAAGAGTAGTGTGCATCTTGGGGTTCTGAGATGAAGAACTGAGATGCCAAATAAGGTTGCATCCCTAGAGTTCTTTGGAAGAGAGGTCCACTGGTATCCTGTTATCATCCTATCAAGTAAAGGGCCTGATAGTAGAGGATCCTGTCAAGTAGAGGATTTGTGAAATACGATGTGTGGACACATCCTATTGGAAAGACTTATCTGAGCTGTAATAGCCACCTCACTAATCCCTAATTGCAGGGCTGCCACTCACAGATGTACAGGTTATGCCCTGAACAAGCACCCTGCAGTGTTAACAGATAGGGCTAAAACACAGCCAGGCTCTGCTAGCAGAAATGGTGCAGGCCTGTTTCCACCAAGAGAGGCATCCTTTCCTAATCTGCCCAAGGCACCACGAGGGTTCAGATCTGTTTCTTTCTGTTTCTTAATGGTATTCACATATCACTGTAATATGATTTGCTAAATGATTGCCTTTAGCCATATGTAGGGATTCAGTCATCACTTTGAAGACTGACTCTGTATCAAACATTTGCAGAAATTCAGAAGGACATGATCTAGAGGTTTCATTTTTGCCTTCTGCTTTCCTTGTCACCAGCATTAGGTTAGATGCTCAGAATCTCTCCACCTTCTTCTATCTCCTTGCAAGTGAGGATATGGCAGCTAAACTGCTTAGTGCCTATCTCCATGGGTGACCTGAAGTTCACAGGTCACTGACATCAATCCTCGCTGCTTCAGTGTCTGGTGCTTCCTGTCTCTTTAGGGCTGTCTTGCTCTGTGTCCTGCTACCTGCCATTACTACTGTTGGTCCTGAGCCCTCTGGTCCTGCGTCCGTTCTTCTCTATTCCTTTCCCCATCATCCCAGTTGGCTTAATTCTGGAAAGGGAGAGACTCATTAGAGAAAAAGAAAAAGAGAATTACAACTGCAGAAAAGGCAGGGAGGATAATGAAGGGAGGAAAGTTGGGAGTGATATAGCAGTAGAGGCCAGGGAAATAACAATAAAAGCAACATTTGCAATTATAGTAAGAATGAGGGTGAAAAACCCTAGAGTGGGCATTTCACAGGTGGGGGTATTTCTGGCACTGTCATTTGAGCCTCAGTAACAAGGTGACCTTGCTTTCCTCAGGTGTCCTCATGACTTCTCTTGTGGACCATGTCCGTGATCTTTTTTGCCTGCGTGGTACGGGTAAGGGATGGACTGCCCCTCTCAGCCTCTACTGATTTTTACCACACCCAAGATTTTTTGGAATGGAGGAGACGGCTCAAGAGTTTAGCCTTGCGACTGGCCCAGTATCCAGGTCGAGGTTCTGCAGAAGGTTGTGACTTTAGTATACAGTAAGTGATCATATTCACTTTTTCAGAATATTAGCAAAATTTGGATTACTTTTAACTACATGTAGTGATAATCTTATGCTGATCACATTGTGTATTAAAAGTAGATCTAGCATCAGTGGTCTGAGATCATGTGTGTCTACAACAGAATCATAAAAGAAATGGGTTTTCTTAGAGCCTCAGGAATGGCTGCTCCAACTTTTTTTTTTTTTTTTTTCTTTTGAGGCAGAGTTTTGCTCTGTCACCCAGGCTGGAGTGCAGTGGCACCATCT
Organism: Homo sapiens; assembly: GCF_000001405.40. Taxonomy (NCBI): domain Eukaryota; kingdom Metazoa; phylum Chordata; class Mammalia; order Primates; family Hominidae; genus Homo; species Homo sapiens. The sequence goes on along the minus strand of NC_000003.12, from coordinate 42,568,595 downwards.
TGGCTCACTGCAACCTCCGCCTCCTGGGTTCAAGCAGTTCTCGTGCCTCAGCCTCCTGAGTAGCTGGGATCATAGGCACATGCCACGATGCCCAGCTAATTTTTATATTTTTAGTAGAGATGGGGTTTCACCATGTTGCCCAGGCTGGTCTCGAATTCCAGATCTCAGGTGATCCACCTGCCTCGACCTGTCAGAGTACTGGGATTACAAGTGTGAGCCACTGCACCCAGCCGTGGCTGCTCCACCTCTTAACTTCTGTTAGTGGAGTGCCCATGAGCATTGGGAGACCTGGGTTCATGTCTTTAGTTTTGTAGTTTTTTCTTCACTCAGATGCAGGGGAAGAGAAAAGGTAAGGAGGGAGGAGATACTAGATTATAATGTGGGGAGGGAAAATAATGAGAGTTAGAAAGCCAAGAAATAAGAAAAAAATTTCATTTTTACTTTATTTATACCTTTGCTTTTTAATTTTTTCACTTTTTTATGTTTTAATTTTTCACTTTTTAATTTTTATTTATTTATTTTTTTGACACAGTTTTGCCCTTGTGGCCCAGGCTGGAGTGCAGTGGCAAACTCTCTGCACACTGCAACCTCTGCCTCCTGGGTTCAAGTGATTCTTCTGCTTCAGCCTCCTGAGCAGCTGGGATTATAGGCACCTACCACCACGCCCGGCTAATTTTTGAATTTTTTAGTAGAGACGGGGTTTCACCATGTTGGCCAGGCTGCTCTTGAGCTCCTGACCTCAGGTGATCTGCCCACCTTGGCCTCCCAAAGTGCTGGGATTACAGGCGTGAGCCACTGCGCCTGGTCATTTTTAAATTTTTATTATGTGACAGGAGCAGGGGAGTGAAAAATAAGTGAGAGTAGGTCTCTTTTCTCAAGGAACTTAAAGTCTAACAAGGTAACAAGAGAAATATATAACTAACTATAATACAGTGGGGAAAATGTTCCATTGGAAGTAGGAATCAAGTGATTACAATAATCCTGGTTACAATAACTGATATTATTGAGTGTTTTCTATATGCCAGGCACTATTCTGTGTTTTATGTGGCTAATGATGTAGGTAATAGTGTTACACCTGTTTTGCAGAGGAGGAAACTGAGGTAAAAAAAACTTAACTAAGTTTACACTGTTAGTAATGGGTCAGCCCAGGATTTGAATGCAGGCAGTTAGGCACCAAAGTCTGCTTCTTATGGGTTATACAATTTCCTGTTCTAGGACTCAGAGCAAGAAGCCAGTCATTCTATGGAGGCATCAGGGGCAAGGCAGATTTTAGAATATCAAAATGACTTGTTAGATTTTACGTCTATTTTCTCGTTTTAGACCTTTACTTAGCAAGTCTCTTTTGCTCTCCTTATATTTTTATTTTTTATTTTATTTTTTAGAGACAGGGTCTTAGCTGGGTGCAGTGGCTCACGCCTGTAATCCCAGCACTTTGGGAGGCTGAGGCGGGAAGATCGCGAAGTTCAAGACCAGCCTGGGCAATATGATAAGACCCCATCTCTACAAAAAAATTAAAAATTACCCAAGTGTGGTAGGGTGCACCTGTACCAGCTACTTGGGAGGCTGAGGTGGGAGGATTGCTCAAGCCCAGGAGGTCGAGGCCACAGTGAGCCATGTTCACACCTCAGCCTCCAAAGTAGCTGGAACTCTGTCTCCAGATAGATAGGTAGATTGGATAGATTGATTGATTGATAGATAGCCTCCCAAGTAGCTGAGTCTACACACCACTATACCCAGCTAATTTATTTTTATTTTTTAGAGACAAGGTCTTGCCATGTTGCCCAGGCTGGTCTTAAACTCCTAGGCTCAAGTGATCCTCCCGCCTTGGCCTTCCAAAGCCCTGGGATTATAGGTATGAGCCACCTTGCCTTGCACCCTTTTGTTCTCCTTGAATAGTAAATTTTTTTTTTTTTTTTTGAGACGGAGTCTCGCTCTGTCGCCCAGGCTGGAGTGCAGTGGCACGATCTCGGCTCACTGCAAGCTCTGCCTCTTGGGTTCACACCATTCTTCTGCCTCAGCCTCCCGAGTAGCTGGGACTACAGGTGCCCACCACCACGCCTGGCTAATTTTTTTTTGTATTTTTAGTAGAGACGGCGTTTCACCGTGTTAGCCAGGATGGTCTCGAGCTCCTAACCTCGTGATTCTCCTGCCTCGGCCTCCCAAAGTGCTGGGATTACAGGCGTGAGCCACCGCACCCGGCCTTGAATAGTAAATTTTTAGTTGACCTGCTAAGCTGAGGTCCTTTTAGGGGAATTCAGTCTCAGAATTATAAAAACAAAAGGAAAAGTCCAGGCCTGACCCCAGGCTAGGTGGTAATGTCAGGCTAGAAGGGCCATGTCCTGAAGGGGGTGACAAATAATAGGCACATGCAGCTGTCACCTGGTGATGTGGGCTCTGGATGTTTAGGAGCAAACACTGAGTTGCACCTGCCCACATGTGCAGCCCCTTTCTCTGGACATGCTGAACATGCTGTCCTTGATGGTCTCTCCTTTACTATGCTGTGATTAACTGATTTGTACTTCAAATAGGAAAGCTTTTCTCTGTTAAAGGCTATTTTTCACAGAAAAAAGAAGTCTAAGACTTCAGATTTAAATCCTGGATACTTCAGTAGTATTTTGGAAAAAGGAATAAAAAATGTTCTACTCATTTGTAATTTTGAATTAAATATTTACCATTATTTTCGCAGAGGAAATAGACTTTCTTTTCTTACAGGTGAGCAGTACCATAGCTTTTAATAGTAAGGAGTGTGTTAGTTCCCTAAGGCTGCCATAACAAATGACCACAAACTGGCTTCAAACAACAGAATTCGTTCTCTCACAGGTATCGCAGGGCCATGTTCCCTCTACAAACTTTAAGGAAGAATCCTTCCTAAACCTCTGCTACTTTCTGGCAGTCATTGGCAATCCTTGGTTTTCCTTGGCTTGTAGATGCGTTACTGCAGGCTCTGTCTCCATGGTTGCATGGTCTTCTTCCTTCTGTCTCTGTGTCCAAATTTCCTTTCATATAAGGATACTGATCATTAGATGAGGGCCCACCCTAATCCAGTATGACTTCATTTTATCTTGGTTACATCTTCAAAGACTCTGTTTCTTTGAGTTAGGACATCAGTAAATCTTTTTGGGGGGACAAACTCAACCCACACCAGGGGTCCTCTTTCAAATAGAAACACCTCCATCCTAGAGTGGCCTAGACCCTTCTGAAGGATTTCTTCCATAAGGAGGAGAGTTGTCCTTTTTTTTAGATTGGAAAAGTTTTTATATAGGGAGTTACAGTTTCAAAAAGTTGGTAGAACAACATAACCTAAAAACCGTCCTGCTGAAAACATCCAGAAATGAGGGTAAATATATATCGACAATTACTTTAAATGTGTAGTTAATCTTGAAAGAAAGAAATCCTAAGATGCTAGAAATGAAAGGGGGGCAGAATATTAAGGTAGTAAGTGTGTGAGCGGACAGTGAGGCTCCTGGCATTCAGTCACCATAAAATTGGAGCTTGGTTTGGGCTTACATAGGATGGAGTGTCAGAACAAGACCCTTGTGGCTGGGTGCAGTGGTTCACGCCTGTAATCCCAGCACTTTGGGAGGTTGAGGCAGGCAGATTGCTTGAGCCCAGTGGTTCGAGACCAGCCTGGGCAACATAGAGAGACCCCCATCTCTACAAAAACACGAAAATTAGCCAGGTGTGGTGGCACACGCCTGTAGTCCCAGCTACTCGGGAGGCTGAGGTGGGAGGATGGCTTGAGCCTGGGAGGTTGAGGCTGCAGTGAGCTGAGATTGTGCCATTGCACTCTAGCATGGATGACAGAGTGAGACCCTGTGTCAAAACAAAACAAAACAAAACACTCTTGCATAAAGGAAAGTTCTTGTCAGGCCACAACCTAATGGAATGGTGATAGGTGAGGGAAATAATTTTCCCATTGATACAGGGTAACTCACCTCTACTTGGCTTTGTGTGGGAAGGAAAAATAAATTTCACCTAAGAAATTGAAATGTTGTTCTTGCGCCTCGTAAAAGGTTGAAGTTGGAGTGTATACTCCCCAAAGTCTAGGAATTCCTAAGCCAAGGTTGAAACATCAGTATTGGTCCCAGAGTGATGACACTGCTATGGTAGCCAGCCAGAGCAAATGCAGAACCACACTGGAAGAAGTGTGCCACAACTTGGGCTTCAGGGGATTCTTACAAAAAAAAGTCCCATAGGGATGAGTTCTCAGCAAAAAGGACAAAACACAAGAGGAGACATTCCACAGTGAGTGGGAGTCAGTAGACACACAGATAGGTGACCTAGAACCCCTGTACCCTGAACTTGAAATGATTGCATGACAGCCCAAAAGGGAGTAGAAAAAGAAGAAAAGCCCTGTATTTATTTTATGAGACCAAAATAACCTAAATACCACAATCAGATGAAGACAGTATAAGAAAGGAAAATTATAGGCCAGTCTTATTTGCATAGACACAAAAGTCCCAATTAAAATGTTAGCAAACTAAATCCAGCAGTTGTATGTTTATGAATATGTAGGAACTTAGATCCAACAAGGGCTTATTTTAGGATGCCAGGATCATTTAACATTAGGAAATCTGTTGATGTAGATTAAAGAAGAAAAACGTTTTCTCAATAGATGTGGAGAAGTCTGAGGCTAATTCCCCCAATAGAATATGCATCCCTCATGCATGAATAAATAAGAGTGATCACAGGCTGTCATTGATTAAGACTACTAGACATTTTAAAGGAAGCGGAAGAAAGACAGTCTCAGGAATAGGTCGAACTGAAGAGACAATATACCTGCAGCAAACAGCTACAGGACTGTTTAAAGCCAAGCAAGTGCAGAATTCAGGTAAGGTTGTGTCTGGGTGTGGGATGGGAATACATGGGGCTGTTTCCTGGTAATACAGATATTGCCCTTTTGTTTCAGTTTTTCTTCTTTCGGGGACGTGGCCTGCATGGCTATCTGCTCCTGCCAGTGTCCAGCAGCCATGGCCTTCTGCTTCCTGGAGACCCTGTGGTGGGAATTCACAGCTTCCTATGACACTACCTGCATTGGCCTAGCCTCCAGGCCATACGCTTTTCTTGAGTTTGGTTTGTAACCCTCTTTCATATTTATTTTTCTCTTCCATGGTGTTATATGTGTAGAATTTACAGTTTAGGTTTGGCTTTGACCATCAAGGAAAACCACTGGAGATGCAAAAACATGTCATTGAAGAACAGACTTGTACCATGAGATTTCATATCAATTGAAGTGTCCCGGAAAGCGTCAAGGTTTAACACTCTGGCTTTTCATCTCCACAGAGCCTGGGGGCAGGGTGGAGGAAGGGTGAAACGTGTAGGTTATAACCCACAGCTCTCTGAAGCTGGGGTCAGCAAATGATGGCCCATAGGCCAGCCGCCTGTTTTATAAATAAAGCAGAACGTGGCTATGCTTATTCTTTTACATGTTGTCTGTGGCTGCTTTTGCCCCACGACAGCAGAGTTGAGTTGTGACAGAGACCATGTAGCCACCAACCTAAAATATTTACTAACTGGCATTGTAAGAAACTTTTGTTGACCCCTGCCCCAGAGCATTACTGCTCAAAGGGTGTTTACCATCAGGAGGTAAGCACAGAAAGTGAGAACTGGTGTTTAGAAATTCTTACAGTAATTTGACATTCCTGTGATTATTTTTTATTGCTTTTTTTAAAGCAAAATATCAGTCTGCGGTGGTTTGGAAGTAAGAAAAAAACAGTTCCTTGACCCAGAAGTTTGCTCTGGAAAAATGATACTTCTTTTCTAGGCTCTGCCAGAAAGGCCTTGTTGAGGCTTAGAGACTTTGGAACACAGCATAATAATCAGTGTGTGCCCTATTTTGGTCAGGTGTGGGTCATTTTGAGCTCTTGGGAGAAGAGGAATGGAGATGGCAGTTGGGGGACAGTCTGTGCTCTCCGTGTAAACAGCTGCTGACTCTGTGATGTTCTTAAACAAAGGTTTGGCAGCATTTGTTATAAATGGTCAGGGGGCAGAACCAGCACCTGGAAGTGTTGCCACTTAGGCTTTCTGGCTACTCCTGCCATAGCCCTCACATTCCTTCATGTGTTCTACTGGCTAGCCCATCAGGAATGGGGCTAGCACCCTCTTTTGGTGTCACCCTGGTAGGCAGGCTCCAGCCTGGTAAAGTTCTGCCCCTGAGTCTCCCTGTGAGGTCTTAGTCAAGCTTGTGCTCTGGGCCACACTTCTTTCTCTGAAGAGGGCTGCTAGTCTAAAACAGACCACAGCTGCAGCATCCCTGGGCTGTGAGTTGATTTGGAGCTCGGTAGACCTGTGTTCTTCTCTCCCCTTATCTCTGCATGTGCCTTCCTTCTAAAGCCATGTGCTTGATCTGATGGGAGCCCCTTTTCCAGCATCATGTTTGCTCATTGTTGAGTGGGAGTAGAATGAGTCAAAGTACACTGAGAGTAGAATTATACAGATTTTGCTTTGCCAGTTTGTATGAAACTTCAAGAACTGTTCAGATGTGATAATGGATTTATACTAACATAAATTTAAGAATTAAAATGAATACTTTTCAAATATATAATCCTAGTTTCCACAACGTATTCATTTGTATTTTTTTTTCAAACAAGCCCTTTTTTTTTGAGTTAATCAGGTCAGGAATAACTGTCTCCATTTTTCAAGCTTAGAAATATTCTGTAAATTGCCTAGGGTTGTACCGTACTATCAGAAGTGGTAAGGGGCTAAGACGCATGCCCCTTTCCCCCGACTCTCTCATCACTGAGGTTCTGTGATGCATTATTGCCTTTTTAGTCAATCACATTTTAATTATCCTGCTCTGAAGTGATTGATCAGACAGTGTTCATATTAGCAATCATTTGGCCTTTGTGTTTAACTTGACGCTTTTCAGAATCTGGCTGATTTATTAGCTCTTAGAAATGTGAACTTCAGCTGGGTGCAATGGTTCACGCCTATTATCCCAGCACTCTGGGAGGCTGAGGCAGGAGAATCCCTTGAGCTCAGGAGTTTGAGACCAGCCTGGGCAATACAGTGAGACCTTGTCTCTACAGAAAAACAATTTAAAAATGAAAAAAATTAGCCAGGTGTGGTGGCACACATCTGTGGTCTCAGCTACTTGGGAGGCTTAGGTGGGAGAATCACTTGAGCCTGGGAGGTCAAGGCTGCAGTGAGTTGTGATCGCACCACTGCACTGCACTCCAGAGTGGGCGACAGTGAGACCCTATCTTCAAAAAAAAGAAATGTGAACTTCATTTTGTACGTATTGTCTTATAATATCCATTCTGATGAAAATGCTTAACTTGTGTTGCTCTCTTTTTGCAGACAGCATCATTCAGAAAGTGAAGTGGCATTTTAACTATGTAAGTTCCTCTCAGATGGAGTGCAGCTTGGAAAAAATTCAGGAGGAGCTCAAGTTGCAGCCTCCAGCGGTTCTCACTCTGGAGGACACAGATGTGGCAAATGGGGTGATGAATGGTCACACACCGATGCACTTGGAGCCTGGTAAGTGGCTTGTTGTTCCCTGATGTTGATGAAGTGATATTGTGTATTTCAAATGGACGTTGATTTTTTTTTTCACTAGAAAGCTATTTTTTGGGGAGAGGGAGTAGTATAAAATATGCTGAGAAAAATATGGGCCCATCCTGTTTCTTGGTGGCTGTTATAAAAACTTTGACTACAGGCCAGGCGTGGAGGCTCATGCCTGTAATCTCAGCACTTTGGGAGGCCAAGTCAGGCGGATCACTTGAGTCCAGGAGTTTGAAACCAGCCTGGGCAACATGGCAAAACCCCATCTCTATCAAAAATACAAAAAATTAGCCAGAGGTGGTGGCTCGTGCCTGTAGTCTCAGCTACTGCAGAGACTGAAGTAGGGGAATCACCTGAGCCCGGGAAGTCGAGGCTGCAGCGAGCCATGATTGTGAGCCACTGCACTCTAGCCTGGGTGACAGAATGAGACCCTGTCTCAAAAAAGAAAAAAATTGACTATTATGACAGTGGATTGGTTTGAGGGGAAACTATTGTGATGAAATTCAGGAGCCGAAGAGTGACTTGGCAGGTTACTTTTGTTTTTCTTTTCCTTCTTCTTCTTCTTTTTTTTTTTTTCAAATAGAGACAAGGTTTCACCATGTTACAGCCCAGGCTGGTCTCGAACTCCTGGGCTCAAGCCATCATCCTCCTGCCTCGGCCTTTCAGAGTGCTGGGATTACAGGTGTGAGCTACCACGCTTAGCTGGCAGGTTATTTTCTTAATTAGGGTGAAGTCTACAAGTTTATTATTTTTAAATTTTATGTTTTTATTTATTTATTTATTTAAGTCCAAGTTGTTCTGACAGAACTACAAGTTTAAATGTTATAAAGAAGATTCATTCTCTTTTTCTATAAGTTACTTATTGAACTGTATAGATTGGTATTATATATATTATATATATAATATATATATTATATATAAAATATATATAATATATATAAAACAATTATTATTTATATATATATATATATAGAGAGAGAGAGAGAGAGAGAGAGAATCCTTATCATCTTATTTACTGAAATGTTGTAGATCTGAAACCCCCACTCTTCTTGTTGGAGGGAGGACAGTGGGGATGAGAGCGTTGGACAGGGGGCTGGAGCCAGGGCTTCTAACGTTCTCACTGTCTGGCTGTCTCTGAGACCTGGGATCTCCCTCTATCCCTGTGGATTTCAGAGACCTCATGTGAAGGAAGAGGTCTTAATGAACGTGATCACAGTGTGCTGATATTCCATGCCTTTGTCATTAATGTTATTAGCCACTCAATGCTTATCACATAACAAAGTATGATTTTTTGCATTCCTGTTTATAGTTACATACAATTAAACTAATATTTAATTCAATTGGATATTTATATTCGAAGAATTCTATAATGGCATAAGAGCTGAATCCTTTGCTAAAAGAAGTGTCTACACTATAATAGTCTTAATTACTTTGTTTTTAACTGTTTTATGCTAAACTCATTTCTTGAATTTTAAAAGTGATGTATTATATTCATGGTTTTGACTTAACTTTGTGTTTTAGTTTAATGTGTTTCAACCAATACTTGGATTGGCTCTCATTCCAGTCAATAAGTGTTTCTAGTTTATGTTGAGAATAAACTTAATTTTTGTAAAAGGAAGACTGGGTAATTGAGCTCCAAGATTTTCCCTTACCATATATGAATGCAGGCATATCTTTGTAATGTATGTTTTGTTTTTTAAACACTTAGACAAGAGGAGCAAATCCAGAAAGTGTCACCTTGCCCGTCTTTCTAGGACATTTTACTGTGATTTGATTTACCCTATTGTCCTGAGGCTAGAATCTTTACAGGTAGCATATTCTGTTCTAACAGTAACTTTTAATTGCTCAGTGGAAACTCTAACACACTAACAATAGGCATAAGTTGGATTGTGGCGAGGTATTTGTGTGTGTGTGAAATATAAGTGTAAGAAAGGAGTATAGCGAGAGAATGGGAGGGACACCATTTAATTGTGTGAACCAAAATCAATTTCAGTGGTTATCTTTACAGAGAAAATGAGCATTTGTTCTAATTATAGTTCTAGAAACAGCTTGTAACCTGAATAATCAATGTTTCCCTCTTTCCAATTATTTTAGAATTTTAAAAATTGCATTTGCTGTGAATTGCTCTAGAAGTGCACGTGACATCGCATATTGTTATTGTCAGAGAAAGAGGACAAGTTGAATGTTGAGGCATATAATAGAAATGCTTTAAACATTTGACAACCAATTACAAATAAAGCCTTGGTCCTCTCTGGTAGTATAAGAAACTGTTTTATTTACTTACTTATTTAATTTTTTTTTGAGACAGGTTCTTGCTCTGTCGCCCAGGCTGAAGTACCATGGTGCAATCTTGGCTTACTGCAACCTCCACCTCCAGGGCTCAAGCTATCCTCCCACCTTAGCTTCCTGAGTAGCGGGGACTACAGGCACATACCACCACACCTGGCTAATTTTTGTATTTTTTTTTTAATAGAGATGGGGTTTCACCATGTTGCCCAGGCTGGTCTTGAACTCCTGAGTTCAAGTGATCCTCTCACCTTAGCCTCCCAAAGTGCTGGGATTACAGGCATGAGCTACTGTGCCTGAACTTTTTTTTTTTTTTTTTTTGAGACAAGGTCGCTATGTTGCCTAGGCTTGAGTGCAGGGGCGCAATCATGGCTCACTGCAGCCTCAACCTCCCAGGCTCAGGTGATCCTCCCACCTCAGCCTCCCAGGTAGCTGGGACTACAGGTATGCGTCACCATGCCTGGATAAGTTTTTGTATTTTTTTTTTTTGTAGAGACAGGGTCTCACTATGTTGCCCAGGCTGGTTTTGAACTCCTGGGCTGACGTGATCTGCTGCCTGCCTCAGCCTCCCAGAGTGCTGGCATTACAGGTGTGTGCCAAAAATTGTTTTAGGATTTTTCAGCCTGATCCCTATTGACATTTTTGCATCAGATAATTCTTTATTTTGGAGGCTGTCCTGTGCATTCATTGTAGGATGTTTAGAAGCATTCCTGGCCTCTATCCACTAGATGCCAGTAGCAGCCTGTCTCTAGTTGTGACAACCAGAAATGACTCCAGACATGGCCAAATATCCACTGGGGGGCAGATTGCCCCTGGTTGAGAACCACTGCTTTAGATAGAAAGGAAATTAAGCACTTGAAAAACCTGTGCTTGCCTGGAAAAGAGCCTTTTTCTGGAAGAAACTTTACTCAAATACCCACATCCATTCTGTCCATCATTTCTTGGCTTTTTTCCCTCTAACTTCTGCTGCTTTTACAATTAATATGTTTGTAATTCTATGTTTAACATAGTGAACCTATCATTAGTGTAGGTCTAGTTAATGTCTTCGTTTATTTTTCTTTCATGTAGAAATTACTTACACTAGACACTTGTTTTTTTTCCATTGTGAAGCTCCTAATTTCCGAATGGAACCAGTGACAGCCCTGGGTATCCTCTCCCTCATTCTCAACATCATGTGTGCTGCCCTGAATCTCATTCGAGGAGTTCACCTTGCAGAACATTCTTTACAGGTAACCTTTTTTTTTTTTTTAAAACAGTTTAAATTGAAGGACATATGATAGAAGAAAGTGATAGGGATACATTTTATCTATAAAACTGAGGTTTTATAATTTTTCAAAACTAATATGAATTTTATTATAAATTTTATTCTTTGTAGTAAGTGAATGAATATGAAGGTTGCTCTTTTATGTCTATTGTCCTAAGAAGCAGGAGGGGCCTGCCAAGATATTGGTAAGAAATGGAGAATTTGCTACAAGGACATTAGACCACCCTGTGGCTCTTGGGACCCCAGGAGTCACTCCAGGGACTGGATTATTTACCCAGGACAAAAGGTTCATTCTCTGATTTTAAGGTTCAGGTTCTTTTTCTCCTGAGAAAAGGTTGTCCCATAATCTGATTTGTATAATGCAGATGCCACCTTCCTTGTGTCTTTGTCGAAGAATTATATGTCACTAGGAAGTTCCTTCACTGGTCTGCTCATTTCAAAGGAACTTACTATTTCAGTGCTTTTTAAAAACAGTTTTAAAATTTTGAAGTATTTTGAGAAGTATTTCAAGAAGGTATCGGCCGGGTGTGGTGACTCACTCCTGTAATTCCAGCACTTCTGGGAGGTTGAGGTGGGTGGATCACATGAGGTCAGGAGTTTGAGACCAGCCTGATCAACATGGTGAAAACCCATCTCTACTAAAAATACAAAATTAGCTGGGCGTGGTGGCGCATGCCTGTAATCCCAGCTACTCAGGAGGCTGAGGTGGGAGAGTCGCTTGAAACTGGGAGGCAGGGGTTGCAGTGAGCCAAAATTGCGCCACTGCACTCTAGCCTGGGCGACAAAAGCAAAACTCCGTCTCAAAAAAAGAAAACAAAAACAAAAAAGAGGAGGTATAAAACCATTATTAGCATCAACAAATAGATATTACTTTTAAAGATAGTGCCACCATACTCACACCCATGCATATAGTGGGTAAAGTCTGAAGCATGACTGTTGTTGAACCTCAGGAGACTGATGTAGACTGACCTGTTTGGAGAATGGCAGCAGGCCTGTGTTATGAGTGGTAACTGCCTGTTACCACATCCTGTCTTTGATCAATGTGTGTTGTGGTTTCTACTCTTATTGTTTATGATTGCTCTTAGCCAGATACTTACCAACTGTCTGTTTGTTTGTATACATTAGAATTAGTACCTGGCCAGCAAGATGGTTAAGACATAGTCCCTGCCTTGGGGGCTCTCATGGCCCAAAACAGTGTATGGTGGCAATCCTAAAGAGGCGGCAGTGCCTGGAGATGGGAGGAATTAGAGAAAGCTAGGTCTTAACAGATGCTTAGGTTTCTGAGAGGTGGAGGGATTGGCGGCCCATTCCAGGTTGCAGACTTAGCACAGTCACATGGGGACAGGAGGCACATGCTGTGACCAAGCTGTTGAAAACGATTGTATGCTAACCCTGATCTGGTGCATAAACAGGAACTTGTGTCTCACCCAGCCAGGGATTTTGTACTGTCAACCATACCAGACAGAAGGCAGAGTAAAGTGCTTTATGTCACAGTGTTTCCTTTCATCTAAATATCCCTTTCCTTGTGTTCCTTGTATTTGTTTTAGGTTGCCCATGAGGAAATTGGAAACATTCTGGCTTTTCTTGTTCCTTTCGTAGCCTGCATTTTCCAGGTGGGTGAAACGATATTTTGGTCAGTGGATTAAATCCATGACCTTACTTTGTTCTTCTGTTCATCTATCAGCAAGTTTCTAGATGTGATTTTTGTTCCACCAAGGTCATGGTTCACATCATGGACAATACCAAGCCCTTAGTGGAGGACCTTAGGCCCATCCTGGCCAGTCCTCTCATTTTACAGAGGAAGAACTTTGTGCTCATAAAGGGAAAGCCCCTTGTTCAAGGCCAAGGGGCTATTGACAGCAGCAGAACAGAAACCAGCAGTTTGGATTTGACTTCCCAGAAGGGAGGGATGAGATTACATAGGGATTGGATTAGGCCTGACTAGTGAGTGGCAAGATATTGCCTTGTGCTTATTATTAGGACAGTCCAAGCACAGAAATGTCCTTCTATAAAAGTAGCATCTGTGTACATGTAGTTTTTAAAATATAGGTCTAGGCAGGCATTGTGGCTCACACCTGTAATCCCAGTACTTTTCAAGGCCAAGGTGGGAGGATCACTTTAGGCCTGGAGTTTGAGACCAACCAGGGCAACATAGCAAGACCCCATCTCTGAACTTTTTTTTTCTTTTTTTTTTTTGAGACGGAGTCTTGCACTGTTGCCCAGGCTGGAGTGCAGTGGCACAATCTTGGCTCACTGCAAGCTCTGCCTCCCGGGTTCACGCCATTCTCCTGCCTCAGCCTCCTAAGTAGCTGGGACTGTAGGTGCCCACCACCACACCTGGCTAATTTTTTTTGTACTTTTAGTAGAGACGGGGTTTCACCATGTTAGCCAGGATGGTCTCGATCTCCTGACCTTGTGATCCACCCGCCTCGGCCGCCCAAAGTGCTGGGATTACAGGCATGAGCCACCACGCCCGACCTCTGCAAAAAATTTTTTAAAAAATATATACATATATAAGACTAGGTCAAAGAACTGCTGATTTTTTTGTTGTTGTTGTTGTTGTTGTTTTAAATAGTAATACCTTCTGACTCAGACCTGTTCTTTAGGAACTGAAGCAAACATTAGAACATTAACTAGAGGGTTTTGATTAGTTATTTTCATATAAGCTGTGTACTAAGGGGTGGCATAAAGAGGCGATTTTGAGTCCCTCATAGGCAGAGTTAATTCTAGTGAAAGCGTGGCTCTAATTCTCCTTCCTTGTCCTCCGTATGGACTAGGATTTTAGCACTGTCTCTGAATACATATTTTTTCTCCCTTTTTTTAAAATTAAAATTTCTGTTCTTAGGACGCTTTCCTTCTCTTCCACATACATCCTAGAATGGTTTATTCTTAAGAATTACCCAGGCCAGGTGTGGTGACTCATGCCTGTAATCCTAGCACTTTGGGAGGCCAAGATGTGTGGATCACTTGAGGCCAGGAGTTCAAGACCAGCCTAGGGAACCCCATCTCTATTATAATAAAAATACAAAAATCAGCTGATTATGGTGGTGCATACCTGTAGTCCCAGCTACTTGGGAGGCTTAGGCATGAGAATTGCTTGAACCCTGGAGGTGGAGGTTGCGGTGAGCTGAGATCACGCCACTGTGTTCCAGCCTGGGCAACAGAGAAAGACATTGCCTAAAAAAAATGAAAAAGCATTACCTGATTATGCAAAAAGAAATTTTCAACCCATGAAAATGCATTCATTTTTTAGAAAACAAGTCTCCAAGACCTTGGACATAGCCAGTGGCAGTTTCCTAGAGCTATGTTTTAGGACTGCAGGGATTGTACAGTTCCACCTCATTCCTTCAACTGTGTTCCTGGTTGGATAGCTCACTCCCTCCCTCTGTAGATTGAACCTTTGTCAGATTGATCCATGTTCAGTGATGTCCTTTTTTTAAAAAAAAAAAACAAAGCATTGAACCAAAATGCCGTTTCCACCTTTTGCAGAACAAGAATGGCCCCTTTTATGTGTGATAGTCATACACAAAATACCAGTCACTCTCCCTGCTGTGAGACCTTTCCCTGACTCAGAGATGCTTTGGAAGACATGATAAGGAGGGTGCCCAAGGGAAGAGTGGTGCTCAATGTAGTCGTGGCTCAGGAGAAACCAAAATAGTAAAAGCATGGCTTTCTCTCACCAGCTTGCTTGCCTGTCCTGGCTCCCTGAAGAAAAACTTCACTGGGGGGCCAGTCAGTCACGTTAGGGTCCCCTGTCTGCAGCCTGGCTGTCTGCAGCTTATGTGCAGCTCTTCTTTCTCTACTGCCAACAGCCTGGTCATTTCTGTCTATTTCTTTAACTTCTTTCAGATGTGCCATGCACTGATTCTTCCTGTGACATCTATTTCACTTTCCTTTAATCTTCCAAATCCTCACTTTCGTCCAATAATTAGCAGCCTAACCAGTGGGTCCACGCTTTACTGTAATGAATTCAGTTTAATCAGCTAATGTGAGAGAAATGACACTCTTCATGGAAGCTGTGGGAGGTGAATTTTGCATATGATCTAGTGGCCATTTTATCTCTGATTGGAATTCCTCTTCTGGTCTCATTTCAGTGTTATTTGTACCTGTTCTACAGTCCAGCCAGGACTATGAAGGTGGTGCTTATGCTGCTCTTTATTTGCCTGGGCAACATGTACCTGCACGGGCTGAGGAACCTCTGGCAAATCCTTTTCCACATAGGAGTGGCTTTTCTGTCTTCATATCAGATACTAACAAGGCAGCTTCAGGAGAAGCAGTCTGACTGTGGAGTATGAGGATGACACTGTGATGAATGGATTCTTTGATTTTCTTTTGAGGATCAATCTATGTTTCTCTTTCTGCTTCTCTACTTTACACTCCAGTTTCCATCCTTTTCAGCCAACTGGACTGAAAAACCAGGAATTGGGGATGTTAAACAGTTGCAGTGGAAGTCATGAGGTTGCTTGATACCCAGCCTTGGTTCTGTGCCAAGCATTACTGCAGGATCTCCAGCCAGTTCAGCACGTTTACCTAGGACAGCTGGATCTGGGGGCTCATCCAGAAAGAGCTTTATTGGAAGAGAGAAAGGAAATATTTTGGTCTTTTAAGTTGAATGATACAGTAAACCACTTGATTCAATAACACTGGTTTTAGTCATTGAGAGTTGTCTCCAAGGAACCACTTTAAAATCCAAATCAGCTTTCAGTCTAAACATAACTTGATTAGTTTTTTTTTTCAGAGGGTCAGTACAGGATGAATTAAAAACCTAAAAATATGGTTCATAAATGTAAGCTAGATAAATTTTGTTTACATTTTTTCAATATCTTAGGTTCGATATACCTTTGGAATATTTAATTATATTTTGGATATAAATTGGACTTCATTTAGGGTGAGGGCAAACTTAAGCTGAGAAAATGGTTAAGAAATCTGAGTTTATTTAATTTATATGTAACCTTTTATAGTGGTGGGACTGTTTGGGTACAGAGATGTTTTATATTTATTTGCAGGGTATATCCGAATATTTTAAAAATTAATTGAATAACCAGTACTTCTAGATGATAAGTTTGTCAGCATGAGCAGAAATGAGAATTTCAGGATTACTTACAATTGACCACAACCTGGAGTAGGTGAATGAACATGGATTCAGTGGCACTTTACAGATCCGCTTGGGAGGGGCTGCTGTCATCAGCCTTTTCAGTAGAGCTGAGTGCCTGTTGTTTTAATGATGATGACTACTGTACCCTGTGTACCTGTTCCCAGAGCGCCTCCAAAATTAATTACTCCTCTGCACCTTTCCCAGTCATCTTAATTAGCTTGAGGGCCTCATTTTTTATGAACAAGAGTTAAGTATCTGTTAACTTTTTAAAGCTTGATAGAGATATAATTAACACATACTCTGGAAAGTTACTCTCTTTCACTGTCAAAAAATTGATTGATCACAGTTTTCCAAAATATGGTTCTGGATAAGATCCCTTAGGTTTCCCGAAATTTCAGCCTGGCTTGTTTTGTACCACGCAGGAGGTCATTTTGGGAGTTTGCTCTTTGGATTGTTCTTGGTAGAAGTCTGGAATCTGAATAGTTCAACCACAGTTGCATGGAACACTTTGAGTGTTCAACTGCATTATGTGGTCTTGATAAATTTTTAAAAATCCTATTTTGATAGTTTTTAAAAGTGGAAAACCATTACAAGAGTTGAGTGGATAGGGAATGTAAGAATGTAGTTTTAGAAAAATTCAATTATATTTGGTTATCACTGGTATTGTATTGTTATTGAGCTACCTTGTTATCATTTTAAGAAAAATAAGTTTATATACTGGGAACTATGTTGGGAAAATGTTGCCATAGTAACTTTATTTTTTATAATAGAATTTTCTATTTTTGACCAAACATAAAATATTTGGATATGGGCCAGGCATGATGGCTCATGCCTGTATTCCCAGCACTTTGGAAGGCCAAAGCAGGAGACTCGGTTGAGGCCAGTAGTTTGAGACCAGCCTGGACAACATAGTAAGATTCATCTCTACAAAAAAAAAAATTAGCCGGATGTGATGGCACATGCCTGTAATCCCAGCACTTTGGGAGTCTGAGGCAGGAGGATCCCTTGAGTCCAGGAGTTTGAGGCTTCCATGAGCTATAATCACACCACTGCACCCCAGCCTGCATGACAGAGTGAAACCCTGTCTCTAAAAAGTCTGAATATGAAAATTATATTGGCAGCATACTCAGACATAAACTCCAAAGTTGTCTCTACACTGATTTCACATCTGCATAATTTTCTGCATACCCAGCAGGTGAATTTTCAGTTTTTCTGGGAGACAATTTTGAAGAGATGGTGAAATAGAATGGGAAGTTAAGGAGGGGAGGTAAAATGTTTTAAATGAGAAGAACAAAAAAGCTTTAAAAGTCAATAACACTTTGGGAAGCTGAGGTGGGCAGATCACGAGGTCAAGAGATCGAGACCATCCTGGCTAACATGGTGAAACCCCATCTCTACTAAAAATACAAAAATTAGCTGGGCACGGTGGCTTGTGCCTGTAGCCCCAGCTACTCAGGAGGCTGAGGCAGGAGAATCTCTTGAACCCGGGAGGTGGAGGTTGCAGTGAGCCGAGATCGAGCCACTGCACTCCAGCCTGGTGACAAAGCAAGACTCCGTCTCAAAAAAAAAAAAAAAAAAAGTCGGTAAGAACGGCTTAAAAATGGACTGTTTTCTTTTCCTATGTGGCATTGGGTTGCCATGTAGACCTGTACCCCAGGTGCTTTGGGCATCTGAGCCTATGATCCATATTCAGCAGGCAGTAAAGAAACGGTCCTTGAAGATGAGTCCTTCCTGGTAATGCTTCCTGACCACCGAGGCACTACCAGAGATGTTATCCACACCAGGTCGAATGTGTGGATATCAGTTAACATCTACATGGGGTGAGATTGACTTTTGCAAACAAAAGGGAAAAGATGCACTAGAAAAACAGTACAAGTAATGACCACAAAAACATTGTTTGACTGAAATCCAGCTAGCTAAAAGAATCCTCAGCTCACTGAAGGAAGAGACTGAAAATAGGAAAGAAGTTCTGGTGATTTCATCCGAGGGAAATCCCCAGGCTTAGGTTTGACTTGGTTCAGGGTTGGAGGTTTATAGCCTCTTGTGTGATCCTTGATACCAGCAAACTGGTTCCAAATCCCAGGAGTTATCCTCACTCCACCATGGACTCACTGTTGTTGTAGCACTTTTGTTTTCCCAGTAGTTAAATGCTACCTGTGCAGCTGACATCACTGGACTAGATCTGGGAATAGATGAAATAATGTTGAAAACAAAACTTTAGAGGTGCCTTCTGGTATCAGATGCTGCAAGGCCTTGAGCATCAGAGTGTGTTAAGTCCCATCTACTGTATCAAGGCCAGAGTGTGGCTCCATGCTCTTAGGAAGGGTTTCCCAACCACGGGGCCAGAGCCCAAAAGGTTTCCCCTTCCCTAATATGCTAATGAACGAAACATGTAAATCTGTTTTCCCCTGTTAGGCTAGTCTTACTGTGATGAGAAGTGTACCTGGCTTTCCTTTTCCTGGGTGGAGACAGCTGGGGCATATTCGGGTGGCATTCCCTCTCAGTACCAGAGGCCCCACTGCCTGCAGCTGGAGGCATGTGACCATAAGCTCCTGCTTTTGCTTTTTGGGCTTGCATCCCTCTTTTCTGTGAACTCTGGAGAATGCTGGAATTAAAACATTTAAGCATTTTGATTAAATGAGCTTGAGCTCCTCTGTTCTTTTCTAGGTGCTCTTGTTCTCCAACTCTCCTGCCTCTTTCTACCTCTGCCCTATACATTCCAGCTCTGGAGACAGAGTCTGAAACTGGAGTCTCTGGAGGGATGAGAAAACCATCTTTAATTGTAACAAATGGGGTGGGTAGACGAGCTTCAGAGTGGGAGCAGATTGCATTGAGGTTCAACTCTCCCACCCATGCCTGGGAGTCAAGTCTTGGAGAGGAGTAACACTTGGTGGTCAGCACAGCTCAGAGTCAGAGACAATAGCCAGCAGGCCAGCAAGGCTGGCTGTGTGAGGCACAGGAAGCAGGGCATAGGTAGGGAGCAGAGCTGGGGGTTCTCTCTCTGCTGGAAGATAGCAGCTGCCCCTTGGCATATGGGGGTTGCACACTGCACCTTGTAGCCAGGGCTGCTATTTGCTGTTCTGTGAAGGAGTTGGCCACTCATTGTGACATGCAGGACAGTGGCCTTCTGAGAACCTGCTGCTTGCTTGCATAGTGCAGCACAAGTGAGGACAGGCAGGGGTGGGAGCATTTATGGTGATCAGATGTGCCTGGCAAGCCCCTGTTCAGACATTGCTCACATTCCAAATGTTTTCGTGTAGAATATTGCACAGGTCTGGGGACGCTCTACCTGTGCCCTGTGAGTGTTAATAATGGTGGAGAAAGAGTGTAGCTGTGCCCTTGAGAGAGAAGGTGAGGGAAAGAGTGCACCAGTCAGCTGACCGTCAGCTGGCTAGGCTCTTCACTGAGTCCTATGTCGCAGTGCACAAATCACTGCCCATCAGGCCTCAGTTTCCTCATCTGGTAAATGGTGATAACATCAATCTGCCCCCCCGCCAGGGTGCTGTTATGAGGGTCAAAAGTGGTAGTGGAGGGTAATACTGGGTGAGTCCATTGTGTGTGGGAGGAGAAAGGCTTTACATTCACCTGGTACATGAAGGTTTTTCTGCTTCAGGCAGCACAGCACAGCCATTTCTTCTGGCCTTTACAAAAAGGCATTTTGTTATACTACAGTGTAAACCTCATTTTTTTCACTCCAAAAGGTAGCAGCCCCTCTTCTTCCCACCCTGGACCTGCCTTTCACTCCCTGGGCACAGAGCGCATGGTACCATTGATGTTTGGTTTATTCCAGGATCCAAGGAGCTGGTTCTGCTGGTTGGACCAAACCTCGTGAGCCAGCCACCCCTGACCCAAATGAGGAGAGCTCTGATTCTCCCATCCGGGAGCAGTGATGTCAAACTTCTGCTGCTGGGGAAATCTCATCAGCAGGGAGCCTGTGGAAAAGGGCATGTCAGTGAAATCTGGGAATGGCTGGATTCGGAAACATCTGCCCATGTGTATTGATGGCAGAGCTGTTGCCCACAAGCGCCTTTTATTTAGGGTAAAATTAACAAATCCATTCTATTCCTCTGACCCATGCTTAGTACATATGACCTTTAACCCTTACATTTATATGATTCTGGGGTTGCTTCAGAAGTGTTATTTCATGAATCATTCATATGATTTGATCCCCCAGGATTCTATTTTGTTTAATGGGCTTTTCTACTAAAAGCATAAAATACTGAGGCTGATTTAGTCAGGGCAAAACCATTTACTTTACATATTCGTTTTCAATACTTGCTGTTCATGTTACACAAGCTTCTTACGGTTTTCTTGTAACAATAAATATTTTGAGTAAATAATGGGTACATTTTAACAAACTCAGTAGTACAACCTAAACTTGTATAAAAGTGTGTAAAAATGTATAGCCATTTATATCCTATGTATAAATTAAATGAGGTGGCTTCAGAAATGGCAGAATAAATCTAAAGTGTTTATTAACATGTGTCTTTGCACTTATGTGAAAAATTCCGAGTTATGGATCCTTTGCTAGACAGTGTGATGTGGGCCTGACATAATGGGAGGGGGTTGTTGAAAGAAGTGAAAGTCAGGTCATCTTGTCCAGTGAGGCCTAGACAGGCGCAAGGGCTCAAATAGTCTTTAGTACTAACCCCCAACCAAAATAGCAGTCACAACAATGCCCTGGGGGCTGGGAGGCCTCCCCAGTTTGCAGGCTCTGCCCCTGCCCTGCTATGTGCAGCAGGCACTTTCCGTGCTCCGCGTTTTGGGCTCTTGTCTACTGTGAAGGTGAAGTTTCATCTCCCAGGACCAGCCTGACCACAGAATGGCCACCAGGGGGCGCAGCTGCCGGCCACCTCCTCAGGTTTCCAGCCAAGGGAAGGTGGCCTTTAGCAAAGGCTGTTCCTATAGCAGCTAATAAAATTCCCAGAAAGAAAGCAAATGCACTATCCTCTCCTGACCATCCTCTAAACACATTGGGGAATTCACTCTCCAAGAGTCTCTGCACCATCTGTCCTGAATCAGAATCTTTTGGAGGAAGGCAGTGACTTCCAAAATAAACATCTGAGTTATTGGGTGCTGGGATTTGGTAGTTGATAGTTTTCAGACACCATCTGCTTTAACCACTTTTTTGCTCAGGTTGAGAAGCTGAGGCTTGTTCTAGGGAGCCAGTGACAGTAAAGTTTGGAGCTCTGTTTCCCCTGAGGAGGAAACAAGTGGCTGTCCCCCACTTGGCAATACCCACAAAGAATAAAAGATGTTCCTTCTATGCCAGGAGGGCTGGATGAGAAGTTCTGGCTGGTGAGTTGCCTTCTTTTTTCTTGGGGCCTACCCCTTGAAGGGGCCCAGGTAGCAGAAGTGCTACCTGACAGCTGCCAAGCATCTTTGGGCAGTGCTAGTGGAGGAGAGGCTCTAAGGAGCCCACCTGGCTCTGCTGAGTCAGCACCAAGACATTGCTGGGATCAAATGTGGTCGGCAAATTCTGTGGAATACATTGAAGAACTTGAAGATTATCTTTGTGGCTTGTGGTGGAAAAGGACTTCTTAAGTCAAATGTGGACGGCAAAATCTGTGGAATATGTTGCAGAACTTGAAGATTATCTTTGTGGCTTGTGGCGGAAAAGGACTGCCTTAAGGCAAAATGATTGATGAATTTGACTATATACAAATAAGGATTTCATGGGCAAAGTTAAAAGAATGGGAGGAGATATTTATGATGCCAGAAACCACTAAGGGATTAATAACAGAAGAAATTCCTGTAAATCAGCAAGTAAGAGCAACCCCACTAGAAAATGTGCAGACAATTAACAGAAGAGAAAACGTAAAAAGCTAATAAGCATATGAAGAGATTTTAAATCATTAATACACATTCAAACAACAATAAGACCACCTCACACCTATGAGTTTGGCAAATCTTGCAAAGCTCTATGGCACTAAGTGCAAGAGGGAGTGTGGAGATGCAGGACTTCGTGCGAGGTGGCAGTGAGTAGAGAGGCACGGCCAATCTGCAGAGCCATGCCACTGTTAAGAGCTGAATTCTGTTCCCCCAAAATTCACATGTTGAAGTCCCAACCCATGAGAAAATAAATGTCTGCTTAAACCACCCAGACTGTGCTACTTTGTTAGGGCAGCCTAAACAAACTAATACAGCCTACTTACCCAAGTTAAGAGTGCACACCTTGTGAAGTGGAAATTTGACTTCTGGTTATTTGTCCCAGGAAAATTCTTATACAGATCCTCAAGGGGACATGTTCATTGAAGACTTACTGGTGTTGGTGGAAAGCAATCTGTGTATCCATCATGGAAAGAAAGTGTGCAGGCTCACCACGGAGCACCACGATGCAGGCAGATGTACCAGATTTAGATGTAACATCACATGGATGAATCCTCAAAACTTAGAGCTGAGTGAAAAACCACCGTTATATGATAAGAAATATATGCATACAAGACCATAAAATATTTTGTGAGGATATATGCGAAAAGATACATGTTAAATACACTTGAATGGCTGCTTACAAGGGACCAGGAGCTTGGGAGTTAGGTATAGGGATAATAAGGAATTGTTTTAAAAAGAGGGTTGCTTGTGTCAGCAGTCAGTTATGAGAGCTCTGGGAGAATGGGGTGGGCCTGCATTTCCCCTGGGAGATCTTGTCCTGGCCTTGCCCAGCCCTGCAGTTGACATGACAAGGTTAAGAAGGCTGGCCTTTGGGGCTCTAAAGCCCCATATGCTGCCAGAGTGTTTAAGCCTGCACAGGGCTGCAGTGGTGGGGGAAGGGGCGGGGAAACAAGCCTGGGGTTATATTGGTCAGGGAAGGCTCTGGAAGCCATGGGGGGCTTGGGTGGGGAAGAGCATAGAGGAGAGACTCCAGAGGGGAAAGTGGGCAGGGGGAGCTGGTTCTGACCCCCAAGCCACTAGGGACTCTCCTTCCCATATTCGAGCCGTCTGACCAGCAGTTTCCTGGTCAAGACTTTCCCATATGAGGCACTCAGCTAAAGGGCTCTCATGAGGACAAGGAACACAGCTGCAGGGGGACAGAGGTGCCCTCAAGGCAATTTCTTCCTCCTAACCCAGAAATATCCTGTTCTGGCCACAGAGCCCAGAGTGTGGGCCTGGGGAAGTGAAGCCAGAGGCGGGTCGGGGTGGGAGGAATAAAGGTGACCAGGACCTTTATTCCCCCAGCCCTGGGGGTTATTCCAGGCGCTTTTCCTGAGGCCCCAGGGATCAGAGCAAGGGCCGGGGCAAGGAACACAGGGCCAGCATTAGAATGAACTTTCTCACAGAGCTGTCCAGCAGGGGCTGGAGAGGCAGTGAGCTCTCCACTGTGAGGTGTGCGGGCAGAAATGAGATGTGTCTAATGGAACCTTGGAACATGCTGTCCCCATCTCACAGACATCGTCTCATACAGAATGCTGGCGTCCGAGGGGACATTTGCCTATCTCCCGGAGTGCCTCCTGTTGTGTCCATCCCACAGGGCGAGTCAGACGCCAGTTGCAGGAAACAGCCTGTGCCAGCTCTCGTTTGAAGAGTAAATATTAGTCTTTTCAAGAGCTGCTTGTTCTGTGTCACTTGGCACCGAGGACATTGAGCTGGAGGCAGCCGGGGGGGACACTCCACATCCAGATGGAGTCTGTGGGCCTGGGTCACTGCTGCAATGAGGGACCCAAGAAACAAGCCTCACCATATCCAGCCAGACATCCTCTCCTTACTGCTTGGTCAGCCCCTGAGCCCCTGCCTAGGGGAGTTCAGACCCTGCTGAGGCCCCAGGCCACCTGGTTCTCCTTAGCTACTGTCCAGGCTGCTTCTGCAGAGGCAGGGAACTGGATGTTTTGACCTGGACTGCAAGATCTCTGAGCCCCAGCTCTGATGCATATGGTTTAAATTCCTCTGATCATCAGGGAGGGGGAATGACCTGCTCT
The DNA here is from genome assembly GCF_000001405.40 of Homo sapiens. Classification (NCBI taxonomy): domain Eukaryota; kingdom Metazoa; phylum Chordata; class Mammalia; order Primates; family Hominidae; genus Homo; species Homo sapiens. The sequence goes on along the minus strand of NC_000003.12, from coordinate 42,544,534 downwards.
TGCCCCACTGTCATTCCCTCTGGCCACCCCAACTAACAGAGCACCCCCCTCACTCTAACCCTCATCCTGCCTTCTTTTTCTGTAACTTTTCTCTTTTACTATCTGTCTCCACCATTAGAGGGTCAGTTCCATGAGGGCAAGGGCTCTGCCATGTTCACCACTGCATCCTCAGTGTCTAGAACTGTGCACACAGTAATTATTTGCTGAATGAAAATATGATGGTAATACTTTGAAAACATTAAACAGATACCGTTCTCATTACCTGGCCCCTGAGATTATATCCCTCTGAAGCCCTCCACCATTATGACCTGGGGAAATGTGGAGGAGGGGTATGTCATCTCTGCAAGGAGAAAGTGAGGATAGAAGGAAGGGAGGAAAGCCCACCTGGTCTCATTACCTAGGAAATATTGAAGGGACACATTGAAACCTGAAAACAGAGGGTGTGTGTGTCCCACTCTGTGTTAGGAAGTCAGTCCTCCCAGCAACCTGTGCCCCTTAAGTGGCCCTTCTAGATAAAATGGTGGATCTATAAATTTAACGCCAAGTAGATCTGAGTGAACACCACCAAGCTACCCTCAGCTCCCAGAGGCCTGGAAGGGACTCAGAAGTTCCTGCATGCTCCCTGGGGCATGAGAAAGGTGGCGGAGTTGGAACTGGTGGGTCTGTCATGGTGTTGCCATGGTGAATGGTGAAGTGAGTGCCACAGAGGCCATGGCGGGGGGAAGCTCACACCCAAGGCTGGGTGATGGCATGGCTGGGTGATGGCATGGCTGAGCCTGGAGCGGTGTGAGGGGCCAGAGTGAGCCTCAGTGGGGCCAAGTCAGCTGGGTAGACCCTGGGGCTGCAGCCAAGAGAGCAGCTATGAGTACCCCAGCCAAAGACCTTGGCAGCAGGACCAGTGAGTGTCCATGCAGACCTTAGTGCACGAGGACCTTTGTGTGGGGCTCCTCTTCTCAGCCCCAGGAGGCCACCTGTGTTGGGTCCTCTGCCTCATTCCCTATTGGCCAACCTTAGCCAGCTTCCTGGTGGGGGATCCTGACAGCTCCTCACCCTATCTCTACCACATAGCTGGCCCTTTCTGCCCCGGAGTTCCTCTGACTATGTGATGGGATGCCTGCAGGAACCTGCTTCTTGTTCATGCCTGTCAAGCCTGGAAGAGTGAGGGGGCTAACGTGGGCAAACCTTGAGCAACAGAGGCTGGGAGCCAGTGGTTAATGCTTTCCTTCTCTGTCCCTCAGGAGGACGATTTTGGGCGTGTTCTGCCAGCCCTGCAGAGGGTCCCAGTGAATTGAGTCCTGTTGCCCCAGTAGTGGCCAGTGCAATAACTCACCTTTATCGTGAGACAGGGTCTTGGTCTGTCACCAGACTGGAGTGCGGTGGCATAATCATGGCTCCCTACAGCCTCAGCTTCCTGGGCTCAAGTGTTCCTCTCACTTCAGCCTCCCAAGTAGCTAGGACTACAGGCGTGCACCACCACACCCGTCTATTTTTTTATTTTTTAATTTTTTTGCAGAGATAGGGTCTCACCATGTTGCCCGGGCTGATGACTCACCTTTATATTGGCTTTCCTCACTTCCCCGTTTCACTCTTCTGTTTCCTGGTCACAGGCCCTTGTCTCAGGCTCTGTTTTCTGGGACTTGGGCTACAATGCCACCTGAGCCGCTGTGCTAGAAATTATCTATTGGCATTCAGCCTCTTCTCTAGCCCCTTCCATGTTCCCCTGCTTTGTTGGGGTTGGAAGGCTCAAGGCTTCCTTTCCGGAATTCTCTCACTGCTAGGAATTTGATGCAACTTAGGCTCTACCAGAGGGAAGCACCACCAAGACAGTTGGGAAGCAGAGAAAAGTAAAGGCTGTGTTTCCTGCAGCGTGGTGGCTGATGGGTGGGATATGGCAGACCTGAGTTTTCTGCAGCAGCAGGACACTATGTTCCTTCTGCTTTCTTGTCACTAGCTTTAATGGATGTGCAACCGAGATATTGGCAGTAATGTTCGGCAAGGTGGCAGCTGCAATGGTGTGACCATGGATAGAGGTGCACCCAAACTTCCAGCCCTCCAAGCCTTCCTATATTTAATTCCCTACACTCAATCTCTTTCTGTACAAAACACCCGGAACGTTTTCTGTCTCTTACACTGAAGCATGACTGATTTGGATCTCTCCCCTCCCCCATATACTGCACCACTAGGCTCAGGTGGAGGAATATGAAAGATCACACATTTATCCCAAGAAATGTCCAAAAAGAGACTGAGAGTCAGACTCTGTTGGTTACCTACTCAGCAGCCATCCCCATTTCTTTCTCAGTAGATCAACTTCCCTTATAGAACCCTCACCAATCTTTGCAGCTGTGGTTTGGGTATGTGACCTAATCCTGGCCTGAAGAGAGTGTGCGAAAGGTGGGTCCTGGGATAGATGACTGTCCCTGATAAAAGGAGACATATAGAGGAAATTCTCCTCCCTGCCAGTGGATGGGGTTCTGTGGGAACATGATGCTTGGGCAGCAACAGTCATTGTGCAGTCATGAGGGGGTAAGTCTGAGGATGAAAGTCCACATACTGAGATGGCAGAGTGGACAGACAGAAAATACCTACATCTGCGGTGATATTGCTGAGCCACTGAATTTGCCCTGGAGCTGCCTCCTTCTAGTAGACATCACCCTGACAGGATCTTTTCCTTCTGAGACACGTAAAGACCAGTCTGGAGCTCTCCAGAGTTTCTTCCATGCTAATATCCTGGGACACGGGGATGCTGGGATCCCGGGAGCTGGGCTGGGATTAGAGTGAGGCAAGCAAGATACTTGCTTCAGGTGCAAAATTGAAAGGGGTGGCAAAAAAACCTCAGTGATCAAGATAATATTTTAATCTAATATTTTTAAAATATCAAAATTAACGCAAAACATATATAATCAGCAAAATATCAAGATTTTAAACAAAGAATCAGTGTCACTGATTAGGCCTGCTCTTCATGTGTTTCCACAGAGGGCATCCCTAATGGTCTCACCTATGATGATCTGTGTAATGGAAGAGGCAGGGCTCTGAAGTTTGGAGAACTGGGTTCAAGGCTAGGCTCTATCAGTGACTTTCCTGGTGATCTCGTGCATGTCCTTTCCCTTCTCTGGCCTTTGGTTACCCCGTCTGTCCTGTATAGAGGCTGGGGCATTGCCAGGGTGGCCTTCTGACCTGTCTTCCTTATCCCCATAGCCTACTGGGGTTACTGTCCCTCTTCCTAGGAGGCTGTGTCTCCAGGGTCACTGGCTCCTGCCTATTAATATCTTGGCCATCCCTGGCCTGATTGGGGTGTTTAATGACTGCCAGCTGTGGCTCCGGCCCCCTCCCCTGGGAGAGATAAGAGCAGTTCCTGTTCCCACATTGGGAGAGGCTGGGTCATTGTTCATTAAAATAGGCCCTGGGTGAGTGGTGAGAATGGAGGGGCTGATTCTGACTCTTCACCCCACTCCTGCCAGCACAGCAGATGGGGTTGCCTGGGGATATACACTCCCCACACACCCCTCCCCAAGGGGGCTGCCCTCTGTCCCCACCTGCCACCTGAGCTCTGTCACTTTGGGTCCTGATTCCAATTGCCTTAGAGCTTCTCCTCAGATGTCCTGCAGACATTACATTCAGCATGTCCTAAACCAGGTCATCATTTCCCCAGCCCTCCTCCTCCCCACCTGGATGGGGGACTGGCAGCTTTTCCCAGCCTGCCCCTTGGGCCCTTCTCAGTAGCCAGAGTGGCCCGCCCCAAACCCACCATCATCCCCTCGGCCTCACTTAGGAAGCCTCCACTGTGCTCCTGCTGCAAAGGACCCCTGATGCCCGCCCTCTAGGATTCAGTTATCCCTGGCACCCATCATGTTCTCTTGGGACCCAGAGACCCCTACCTAGCCCTCAGAGACCACTTCGATGTTCCCTCACCTGAGACACCGTCCCCTATCCATACTGCTGGCAAACTGGCCACCCTCCTTGGGCAGCCCATGCCCTGGAGTGGCAGGAATCGCCCAGATGGTGACCTCTGCCATGGAGGGGATGGTGGCTCTCTGCACAGGGATGGTGGGGTGCTCCTTGTCCTTGTCTTCCCAGGAGGTACCCACATGAGTCAACTGGGCTTTGCCCTCAGGGACTGGGCTTAGGGCTCAGTCAGTGGCTAGGGTCCAGCCTGTGGCCAGTCAGAGGCTGGGCTCTATCGGGGGTTACAGCTGGGTCTGAGGCAGGGTTTGTGTGCAGCAGAGGTCAGTGGCCTGGGTCTAAGGGCCAGGCCCCGGGTCGCCTTAATTTCAGACTAAAGCCTGATAACCAGTCCTGCGGCCTCACTGCCTCACCGCCTCCTCCCTCTTGTATCTCACTCTGCATGGTGCTCAGGAGAGAGGCCCACCCTCTGGATCACTTGGCCTCCTAGGAATGGGCCTCCACCCAGGTGTTTGGGCACTAAGGTCAATCTTAGTGAAGTCCTTGAAGCATCCACCAGGGGGCGATAGAGATGAGTTGGCCTGGCCGGACAGGTACCTGGCAAGGGACCTGGGAGTGGGCGGGGCAGGGGGAGAAGGAGGGGACCAGGAAAAGTCCTGCTTGTGGCCAACCCCATTATTCCACGGCTGTTTCCGGCCTGGGAGACTGTTTCAGCTTCTCGCCATCCTTAAGTGCCCATCACTAAGCTTTGCCCTTCCCAGTAACCTCTCTGAGCAGGGCCCCACCTATGTCCTCCCTTTTGTTGCCCACATCTTGGATCTCTGCTTCATTCACTCTCCACCCTCTTGGCTGACAACTGGTCCCCTACCCAGGCTGTCTGCCTTACCCCAAAGCCATGACACACGAATACGGGGGGATATCAGGGACTGTGGTGGGTGGGGCAGATACAGTGTGGTGTGGGGGCCCCTCCCAGCCTTCACACAGCCCAGGCAGTCTATAGGGTCCTAACCTGGAAGGCAAGGTGCTGCCCTTTCCTCTGCATTTCTGTCCCCCTCTCCCTTCTCCTTTCTTCTACTGGCCTGAGTTAATCTCTCAAGGAGTCCTGCCAGATCTCTGACCTTGTTCTCTGCACAGCCTCCATCCTCTGTGTATGCCTTAGCCCCCAACTTCTTGGGGCTCCTCCCACCAGCTGCTGTCCTTCCCCTGAGCCCAGGGGGGCAGAGTGGGTGGCAGAAGGCTCTGGGCAGCCCCTCGTCATTAATCATCTGTGCCTTAGCCAGGGACTAAGCAAAGTCATCTAGAACACTCCCTATTGTGCAGGTGGATGGAGAGATTCATAATCAGGAGGAGACCTGCCCATGATCTCTGAGAAAGTCTGAAGCAGAATTGGGATTAAATGACAAGGGCTGGGTCTTCTGGACCTTACTGAGAAGTATGGGGTGGACAGGGTCTCTGGAAGCAGTTCAGAGTGGCACCAAGTAGGGAGTGGGAGGAGGGAAACCAGAGAGAGAGAGGGAGAGAGAGAGAGAGAGAGAGTGGCATGCCCCAATTGGATGAGGGGAACATGGACAGACTGTCTGTCCCCTGTCTCTCAACTCCTATGCCTTGGAGTGGCGGGAATGCAAGATGCCCAGGGTCAGTAGACTGGGTGCCGTGGCTTACACCTGTAATTCCAGCACTTTGAGAGGCCGAGGTGGGCGGATCACCTGAGGTCCGGAGTTCAAGACCAGCCTGGCCAACATGGCAAAACCTCATCTCTACTAAAAATACAAAAATGAGCCAGGCGTGGTGGTGCATGCCTGTAGTCCCAGCTACTCAGGAGGCTGAGGCAGGAGAACTGCTTGAACCTGAGAGGTGGAGGTCGCAGTGAGCCAAGATCACACCACTTGCACTCCAGCCTGGGCGACAGAGCGAGACTCCATCTCAAAAAAAAAAAAAAAAAGACGCTCAGGGAAGAATGAAAGAAGTTCTAGATGCCCCAGCTCAGCTCTCCACCACCAGTACCTCACTGGTGGTCACCACTGTTGGTCTGGGCAGGGGTGGGGGCTACTGACAATGTTCTCTCTAGCAGGCCTGGGGGTACCTGAGGTCAAGGTTAGGAACAGCGCCTCCTTCTCGATCCTATGGCTGACCATGCACAGGGCAGGGCATGGAGTGTGAATCTAGATGGAGAGACCGTGCCACTCCTGGATATGCTGGGCAACTGATCAAAGGGCATTTCCCTGGGGGTGCCTCTGCCCATGGCTCACAGTCACTTCTATTCTGGCCTGAACACCCCTGACTCTGGCCTCTGAGGATACTGGGTTGGAACTGTCATTGATGATGGGTCCTGGAATGGTACTGGGTCAGACAAGGCATTGAAGTAGCTGGGCAGGCAGATATGAGCCTTTGCCAGCCCATTCTGACCACATTTTACCAGCTTGACATCCCTCTCCTGCTCCTCTAGCAAGTTTGCAGGAGGTGGGACCCAAGGAGGTCAGCATGGGAACGGCTTTGGAGACATCTCTTGCTGACTGATGATATTTGCCATACTGCCTCTGTGTCTAAACCTTTTTATTAGTGCCATATTGTCTCTGCTCACTCAACTTGTGTTGGTGACATTTGTTTTGTCCACTACCTACCTCCTCTTAGCTGAGCCCTGGGTAATTGCAACATGGTCATCCTAGACCCTTGTTTGCAGCAATGTCTGCGGCCTGTGAAACACTCACACTCAACCATTTCTGGGACCCTGGGCAGCTCTGCCAGCTGTTTTGTATTGATCTGAGATTAGAATGGTCTTTTCTTGGCTGGATTTAAGGAGTGGGGGGACACAATGGGGACCTGGTCTTCATCACACTCAGAGGAGAGAGGATACCACTCAAAAAGATGGGAGCTGAAGGCCCTCAGAACTGTGAATGCCTCATATGAAAATATGGATTTCTGTCAAAAGCCAAAAGAGTTGAGGCATCTGGTTTCAGTAATGTATTAGATCACCCATCCTTTGGGTGGAGGAAGATGGCTCCAAGTTGGAAGCTGGTCCCATTTTAGGCCATATGAGAATATCAACCACCAGGGGAACCAAGCCAATCCAAGCCAACATTTATTGTTGCACAAGCCTGTTGCAGTCCTGAGGGGATCTTCTGGCAGAGGTGTGGGTAGGAAGCTGAGTGGCCACTGGGGTGAAGGGCAGACAGAGGAGGCTGTGACCAGCAGGCTCCTATCCAGATGATACATGAGATGGAGGCCTCCTCAGCCACACTCCAGGGAGGGTGGGGTGGCAAGGGGGATTCAGGGATAATGGCATTAATAATACAAGTGGTAAACAAATAACCAAGAGGATCTGGCTGGTTACGATACACAAAAGTTAGCAGTAAGAGTCCGTGCTTTCACATTCCTATCAGACAGATCTGAGTTCAAATCCTGTATGTGTAGCAGGGTGAGGTATCTGCTTTCTGTCAGAGCCCATGGGTGCACATCTCTGAGCCTAGTTACAACAGTTGGCACATAGGTGGGTGGACAAGGAGGGCAGCTCTTGATTCCTGTTGCTTCCACAGCACAGAGAGATAAGTATGGCTGGTGTGACAGATCCCACTTGACAGATGAAGCCACTGAGACTTGGAGAGCAGGTAGGCTTAGTCCGAGACCTAGCATTCGCTGGTGGCTGCCTTCTCATTTCCCAGAGGCTTCAGAGTCCCTCAGTCCTTGGGTTGCACCGTCCTCCCACCAGACTGACCCAGGGGCCAGTCCACTTCGGTGGGGAACCACTAAGATAGGTGTGCTCTCCAAACAAAAACTCCAGAATAACCCACTTTAAAAAGCTGATAACTAAGCGTAAAGAGAGAATAGGGTAGTGAGCTGCATCTTCAGTCAAATGCCTGAGTGGTAATGCTTAACCCAAAGGAACTTGACAGCAATGGTGAAATTTCAGGCACTACCGTGGTGTTGGTGCTGGTGACCTTCCCGGGCAGAACCTTTCTGCCCTCAGGTCACACCAGTGTTGTTTGAGGATCCACCGGTTGCTTTCCTCCAATTGGGCAGAAGAGCCAGCAGGGGGCAGAGTCAGGATGAAAGTATGTAGACTTTTTGCCCTTGATTGGCGTAGGGGGCCTTTGGAGGAGGAGTCTAATGACTGAGTTCCACCTGCAATCCTCCAGGAGAGGAGCTCCCATCTCTCTCACTTGCTAGAAACGCTCCAGGCAGGCTCTAGGGCTGCGTTCTCTAGGAGTGTCCGGACCAGAGACCAGGGGGCCGGGGGCAGCCTCCGAGCCCAGGGCCGGGGCTGGCCGCGCCCGGGCAGGCCTCTGTCCCCGGCGTCTGCCGGGGTGAGTGGGAAGGGGCGGGAGGGGCCGCCTTGGGCCCCTGGGATCCTGGTGGTCAGACCAGGGAGACTTCGGCTTGGAAGCTGGAGGAGCGGCGGGCACCTGGGCTGACGCGGGTCAGCATGGAAACCTGCGTGCTGCACGTGGCGCCGTTGCTGCCTCCCGACGGGTGCCGGTATTTGGGGTTCCAGCCCAGGACGCCCTGCAGGTGCCAGCGCCGCCACTTCCGCCTCAGCTCCGCCTGCACCTAGGAGAGGGGAAGGTGGTCAGGCCCACTGCTGTGGAGCCTCTTCCACTGCTGATTGGGCTGCCCTGGACTTAGGGTTCTGAACTAGCCAGTCTTATTCTCTTTAGGAAATCAAAATGGAGGGACCCCTATGCTGCCTCGGGCGGTGCAAACTTGGGACTGGGTTGAGGCCAGGTTCAGAAGGAGGCCTTGGAATGGCAGGAGGTAAGAGGCAGAGAGGATCCTAGAATACAGTCCAGGGAGAGGGAGGGATGCTGCCTAGGGGTGACTGTACTCCAATTCTTCCCATCCTGGGTCTCCAGCTCACTTGAGTGGGTTTTTTGTGCAATGTAACCAGAGCTCCACAGCAACTCAACCTTCATTGGAAGCCCTCATCCCTCCCCACTCACTGCACACAGCCACTTAACTAGGTGTTTCTCAAACTCTGTTGTGCACAGGAATCCCCCTGGGGTTTAGTAAAAAGCTGTTTGTTTGTTTTTTAAAATAATTATTAAAATGCAGATTCTAAGCCAGCAGGTCTGGGGTGGTCCCAGAGATGCGCATTTTTAACAAGGGCCTAGGTGACACCAGTGCTACTAGTTTGAGGACCATACTTGGAGCAGCAAGGTTTAACCCGTCCTTGCTCTGCACATATCCCACCAATGTTTCCGGACCCTGGTCCTGGGAGTTCCATTGCCTAAGCCCCAAGGACTGGGAGGGGCTTACCTCACCATTGAGGAAGCAGTAGAGGATAGCCACCACAAAACCCTGAGAAGGAAGATGACAGGAGAGGTGAGGTAGACAGACCAGAAGCCCCCAGCCCTGCCCCACCCCTGGCTCCAGCCCCTGTGTTCCCCTGGTTAAGGAAAGAGCTAAGCACAAAGTAGGTGCTTATCTAATACTTATTACAGTAAAAAGGTTGGAATCCAGTGGCAAGGGCCAAGACTCCAGGTTGAATTCCCTTAAAAGCCAGGGAAGAATGCAGCCTTAAGTCAACAGCCCATACCTGGAAAGACCCCACGACGAGCTCAAAGACCATCTTCACTTCAGGCTTAAAATTGTCCGGAAAGAAGGCGAACATGATGTAGTGTACTCCAAACAGGGGGATCAGCAGGAGTGTGGACCTGGCTAGCCTTCTGGAGACAGGGGAGGGACAGGCCATGGGTATGTGTGTCCACACATGTGGATATGATAGGGTGTGGCATGGGGGCAGCTGGAGGCACAGAAGATGGGGACAATGACCAGGAAGTATGAGGATGGACTGTAGGTTCCTCTGAATATTATGCCCTTGTCTGCTCCTGTTCCACAGCTGCAGTGCCTCTGCCCTTCTGCCCCCAGCCCTCCTGGCCTGGAGGGAAGCATGAGAGAGAAAGAAACCCCCTCTATTCTCACCCTTCTGGAGGAGAGAGGGTAAGAGGTAAAGGAGAGGCCAGTGAGAATGATGCTAACAGGGACATGTTAGCTGAAATCCACTATTGGGAGTTCTGTTGCCTGGGCCCCCTGGTCTAGGAGAGGCTTACCTCATCATTGCAGTAGAGGATGCTCTCAGCCATCAAGAGCAGTAGAAAATCTCTTAGGCAACAAGAGATTCTGGTTCCTCCTCTCCTGGTCTCAGTTTTTCCAATTTGTATAATGCAGTAAGTGTATGCTCGACATAGTCAAATTATAGAAACAGAGGCCCACTATGAACTTGGAAGTGTTTTGGGTACTATGAAGTATAGTGCATCCATGAGAGACCATGAGAGAAGACGTACTAGGAAACAAGTCTTTCTAACTGGGTGCTGACCACATATGCCCAGGGCCACTTGGGAGGGTGATGGGGACCCAAGTTCATACCTGATCACCAGGGACAACCCAAAATTAATCAGTATCGCCCTCTATCTGTGTTTTTTCTGCTGTGTCTGCTTCTCCAGAAGTTGCCACCTTCTCTGGGGTTGCATCCCCCTCCTCCTACCTCCCCACACCAGTGCATATACTCCCAGCGTGCTCTGAAGGACCAGCTCCTTCTTCACAGCTTTGTGTGCTCAGTAGGGTCAGCATTCATTCTAAATGCTCACCCGCCTCCCATGGCCCAGAGCTCTTCCTGGTTCAGGCCTCCCAGCCACCTGACCTCATAGCTGATCCAGGCAGTGTGAACCCATTGCTCCCTGGCTAGGAGAGGTGGGGTGTGGATAGGGAGGGTCTCTGACTCTGTCTCTCCTGCCTTAGCAGTCAGTCCAAGGAAGTCTAGCCCAAGGCCTGAGGTCCCACAGCAAGCTGGGGGCAGAGGAGCTGGCCTTGCCCCTCCCACTCCTTCCTGGACCTGGTTCTCAGCCATGCCAAGATCCTGAGCAATGCCCACCCCTCTTCGGCTGCAAAACTATCCCACACACCGGAGGCTAACAGATGGAGGCTTTCTTTAAATCAAAGGCTTATGGGGAGGTGTAGAGTGGGAGCTGACAGCTTCTCCTTGAGGAGCTTCATCTCCAACTGCCCCCACCCCTTTTGCCTGCTGACAACTGTTTCCTTTCTGTCTCACCACACAGACCTGGCCCTGACCATGGCCAGCTCTGTTTGCCTCAGATTCAGGCCCTTTTGAACCATTGTAAGTTGGGGGAAATAAGGTCCCATCGGCAAAGGAGAGGATAAGGGTGCACAGGCCCGATGTGCTGCCCCTCAGCAGACTGCAGATGCCCCCCCCGTCCCCCCCAGCCTTTCCTTCTCAGACAGGAAGGGAAGCTCCGCCTACACACCTGGCAGGAGAGAATGCAGTCACACCAGGAATGTGAGTCTTAGTCTCATCAGGGAGAATCACAGGATTCCAGAATAGAATCCTAAATCCAGCAGTCTGTGACATTCTAGCCAGGAATCTTAGAACCACAGCACAGACTCTCCAAAGAGAAGCCAGGCCAAGAAGAATCCCAGGACTGGAAGGCCTTGTGGGACGTCCCAGGTTTGTCTTGTGTCAATAGCACTGATACTCAATCTCCTACTCCCATCTGTGAGCATGCAGACCCTACTTGCCTTCCCACAGCCTCCCTTTTCATATTTTTCATGTTTCTTTAGCTCTGTCTTCAAGCCTTGTTGCTCCCGCAAAAAAACCTGCCTCTTCCTCCAGTCCTCCCAAGCAGGGGGAACAGTCCTGACACCTTTCCAAGCCCTGGTCCATGGACATTGTGCCCCCTTCTCCCTGCCCATGGTGACCTGCTCCAAAACCCTCAAGGAGAAGGGAGTGTATGTCATTTCCTCCCTGTAAAGTAAAGATAATTTTGCAGGGGACTGTGTGGATGAAATGACATGATGCATGGAAATCCCTTAGCGTGTGCCTGGCATGTAAACTGCAGGTGTCATCATTATTACTGAGGAATACTGAGTCCCGAACATGGCTGTCTCATTGGTGGACTGGGGTCTCCCCCAGGGCATTCATCTACTATGTGTTTATTGCACCCTTTTTCCATGTGAGGCACATGCCAGGGACTGGGCACATGGTATGAACAAGACACAGGTCATCGGTGTCCTCTTGAGCTCCCTGGCTTGGCAGCAGATGCATACCTGGGAAGGATGCTAGGTGAGTGTGGGCAGGAGAAGCATGCAGGGCTCTGAGTGCAGCCTGGTGAGGGTGGGGCTGGAGCAGGGGATGGTGGTGGGCTGAGCCAGGCCATGGTGGAGGTGGGAAAGAACAATGTGGCTCTTTGGTGACTCTGGATGTTTGGGGTGGGAGGACTTCAAGGAGATGTGGGATGATTTGAGGACTGGGGATGGAGGTACTGGGGGCTGAGGCACTAGGCCCACACTCACGAGTATGGACTGCTGTCACTCTTCCTGATATCTGGGGGCCGCAGTTTCTGAAGCAGGATTCGGATGATGCAAATAAACAGGATGAAGTTTACCTAGTGGGTGGGGACCCGAGTTCGGGCAGTCAGAGCGGGAAGGCTGAGGTGTTCAGGCCCCTTGACTGCTGGCCTGTCTTCTTTCCCAGGGTCCTGCTGCCCCTCTCTCTATCTTACCTCTCCTCTGGCATTTCCCCTTTGGGCAGGTCATCCGGGAACTCTACCTCCTTCAAATCCCTAAGGACTGTGCTCCCAATCCGCTTACGCTCAAGGAAGAACTGGTAGGACAGGGGTGGGGATGATCCTGCATTGGGCATTAGGAAGCTACGTTTCAGTTCTGACCTAGATACTAATTTCCCATGTGACCTTGGGCTAAGTTGCCTGCCCTTTGGGCCTGTTTCCCCATCTCTAGGTGGTGGGAGGGTATCTTACCAAGATGGAGGTGAGGATGGGGCCCTTTATGATCCACCACAGTGAGGAGTTGATGGTGTCCCAGCACCTGAGCAGACCGTGGGGAGGAATGAGAGGGATTGTCCTCAGCCAGAGAGAGACTCAGCAGCACCTCCCCCAGTTGTCCCCAGCTCTGCTCCTGAGCACTTTAGCAACCCCGGGCCCAGAGTCTGTTGCTCCCCAGGTCCTCCTCCAGCCTCCCCTCTGGCCCGAGAGCTGTGGTTTTTGTCCACTCACCAAGGCCAGATGGCATTATCATCCCACCCAGGGGGCCTGCCCAAGTGATGGCGGCCGGGGGAGTGTGTGGGGCAGCAGCTCACCCATAATCCTCAAAATGGATCCTGGCGATGGTCCACACCATGGTGAATGTGCTGGGTACCCCTGTCAGGCCCAGGGAGAGTGAAAGAGCAGAGAGGGCACAGGAAGCAGGGGTAGAGGGCATGAGGGAGAGATTTTGGAGAAAAGCAGGGAGAGGGAGGGAGAGAGAAAAGGGTGGGTTGTCAGTCTGCTGTCTTTGGTTGCATAGGTTGTTCACCACGGAGGGATGCTCCACTGAGGGGGTGAAGCTGTATGCCTGAAGGGCTGTGTCTACCTAGACGGACATTCTCTTTCTAATTGTGACAGAGGCCCTTTATAGATTAGCAGTGGCCCTGTGTATTTCGGGAACTAAAGGGAAATGGAAAGATGTTCACAAAATCTGTCCCACAGGTCAGCCCTAGGTGCAGCTGCAACCTGAGGGACTTGTCCTGGGATCAGACATTTTGAGGACTTTCTTGACCCTTGGCTGATATCCTTGCAGGCAGGACCTGCAGCTAAGCAAGACGTAGGACTGCAAGCTGGGTTGGCACCCTCCCCCTAGGGAGTTCTCCAGGCCTTGCCCCCTCTGTCCCCAGCCTGGAAGCCCTCCCTGGTACCATACCCCAGCCGATGAGTATGTACCCCCAGAAGTACTTCCGCTCAGAGAAGAAGGAGACGGCAAGCAGGGTGTACAGGTAGAGGCCCTCCACCAGCAGCCAGAAGAAGTTAGCCATGACACAATATTGGAAAAAGACCATGGCTGCCTTACAGCCCACCTGCAGGGGGAGGAGAAAAGACGGGGTTCACTGGGGCTGTCAAGGGTCCTTGACTGCCCACACTCGTGTCTGGGGGGACAAACACAGTTGCAGTGCAGCCAACTTAATCTCTTTGTTGTTTTGCATTATCCCCTTAAAAATGTACTCATTGGTTTTCCCATTTTCCCTAATTTTAGATCCTCTGATACTTCGGGATAAACTGGTGATTTTAATTATCCATCCATCAATTCATCTATTCACCTTCCCATCTATATATCTACCCATCTGCCCATTCAATCATCTACCCACCTATCCATGTATCCATTTATTTACCCACTCACCCACTAGACATTCACTATCAACTCACTCATTTATCCATTTTTTATCCATGTGTCCATCCATCATCTATCATCTTCCCATCTATCAATCCATCCACCCACACACCTATCTCTCCATTCTTCTACCAACCCACTCAGTCATCTACCCATCCATTCATCTCTGCACCCACCCATCAATCCACTTGTGCATCCACCCACATATCTACCTACCTGCCCCTCTGCCTATCATCTGTCCAATCTTCCTTACTTAACCCATTTATCCTGCTGCCTACTTAGCCATCCACCAACCTGCCCATCCACACTCCCACCCCACCCACTCATTCATCTAATGCCAATTTGTATTGAAGGTAGCTGGAAGGTATGAGGGAGAATTCTTGCTTGAGTTTCAAGAGTCTGCTCAATGTGGGGGAGTGGAGGGCTGTGGACTGTGGAGTGGGGCCCAGATGGAAGTGTGGAGGGAGACTGGGACTGAGAAGAGGGTGGAAGAGGGGGAAGTAGAAATGAAGAAGAAGAGAAGAGGGGAGGGGTGGCCATTCCTCCTGGGGTTCAGAGGACCGAGTGGAAGAATGGGTTTCTTAGGCAGACGAGGACCATGAAGGAGTTAGGGAGACCCATGAGTAGAGCAATCACAGGGCTCTGGGTGGCCCACTTGGCATGACTGGAAGGTATTCTGGGCCTTCTGTCCCCTCCCAGAAAGTCCCCCATTTCAGATCAAGCCTAGATGTCTGTCAGCCAGGGCTTAAAGCCACCCTCCACCAGGAAACTGTCTGGCTTCCACTTCCCCCTGTACCCAAAACATTGGTTCCCACCCTTCCTTCCTGTACCCTTGGTTTGCGACATCCTCAGAGAGAAGCCTCCCCCTGCCCCCACCACTCCCTTTGGTTGGAAAGTCCTTCCTCAGGTCTCGCTTCAGTCCCTCCAGTTACAGGAGTTCTTGCCTCCCCATCTTCCTCCCATTTGCTTTTGGAGAATAACTCTTTTTTTTTTTTTTTTTTTTGAGATGGAGTCTTGCTCTGTCACCTAGGCTGGAGTGCAATGGCATGATCTCGGCTCATTGCAACCTCTGCCTCCTTGGTTCAAACGATTATTCTGCCTCAGCCTTCTGAGTAGCTGGGATTACAGGTGCTGACCACCACACTCAGCTAATTTTTTTTATTTTTGTATTTTTAGTAGAGACTGGGTTTCACCATGTTGGTCAGGCTGGTCTTGAACTCCTGACCTCATGATCCGCCCAACTCAGCCTCCAGAAGTGCTGGGATTACAGGCGTGAGCCATAATCCGCGTCTGGCCATAACTCAGCTCTTTACCAGGACAGTTATCTGTGCTTCTTCCTAGTCTTAGAAAAGCTTCGCAGTAATGAATTGGGAAGCCAGTCTCCATAATTATCCGTAACATGTGCACAGGAGGCAGCAGGTTCCTCCACAGGTCCTGTGGCTCACAATGCTCATGTCTGACTTGGCCTCACAGCTCCTGGGACAGAACCTCTGAGAAGCTCTGGGAATGGCCAAAGTGGGTCCCCTAGGTTTTCTCTCCCCCTTGTTGAAATGCCTGAGATTCCAGTATGATCATTTCACTCTTTGGGGAGAAGGTACTGCTGACCCCTGATATAATGCACTGCCTCTGGGGTCATGCATGAAGCAATGAGTTACTGACCACAAGGAATGAGTGGGGGCTGGGGCTGATCTCAAGCTCTCTGTCAAAGCTTGGGGCACTCAGAGAGGGTCCCTAAGAATCCCTTGGAGATGGCCCCCTTAGTGACTGGCAATGAATTCCTTAGATGATCCCTTTACCTCTCTTCCCTAGGAAGGCCCAGAACCAGCCTGCTGTCAGGATCAGAACAAAAGAGGAGGACTGCATATGTATGGACCCACTCCAGATGGCACGGGGACGGGGGGAGTAGGAAAAGTGGCATGGTGAGCAGAGCCCTGGCTATGCAGGTGGCAGATGGCAGAGTTGGAAGGAATCTTGGAATTCCTTGCACAGATGGGGAAACTGAGGCTGTAAGTTCCCCAAGGCCACATAGGAAGTTAGCAACAGGTGGGACAGGTGCTCTGGGCTGTGGCCATGAAGTGTCCCATTTCCCATCTGCTTTTCTCACTGGCGGCGGCAGGTCTGTGAGCACCCAGATGGGTGAGCAACATCTCCTGTTGCCGGAGGGGAGTGTGATTTGAGTACTGCCAGGTGGGGTTGGGTGGGGGTTAGGCTATCCTTGGATTGAGGGGTGGGGTGGGAGGGAAGAGGGAGGAGGGAGAGGGAGAAGCAGGGGGAGAAGAGGAGATTACAGTGGTTAAAGATAACGGCGAGACTGAGGGAGGTGGGCCAGGGCCAGGATCCTCACCGAGCCCTCGGAGCACTGGTCCGACTCCCCGCTGTCGAAGAGGGCCAAGTCTTTGATGAAGACAGCGGCAGCCCTCAGGATGAAGGATATGAAGAGGTGCATGTGGATGTAGTTCCGCGTGCAGTGGAGCTTCCTGTGTGGGGTGGGCAGATCTGGGAGGCCAAAGGGGCCTTGGATCCCCACCCCAGCCAATGCTGTCCTATGTGCTGAGCAAGGGTGGGGCAGGGGAGCATGTGTCCTCCAGAGGGCAGGCCCCGCCTCAAAGGGGATCCCATCCTGAAATACGAGCCCCACCCCCAGGTACCCCATCCACCTGTGCAACTGGGCTCCCAAGGGCCTCAACCTCGTGTGTGGCCCCAGAAGCCTCATTCCTGTGTGCAGGCCCCACTCTCTGGTGCCCTGTCCCCAGGTGCAGGGCCATCCTAGGGGAGACTAGGCTGCAACACATGGAAGAGCTCAGCCACCTGCCTTCTCCAGGGGAAGCTGGCCTGGCAGGAGCTGGGGAGTATGTGCTGCTGGGGGGCAACAGTGGAGGGGTCGGGGCACGCCTGGGCCACGCTGGGCTCCACTGTGGGAGGGACACTTGCCAGGTTTGCTTTGAGGCCTGTGACTTGGGCTGGGCCTCACCTGAACAGGCTCAGGATAGCTGTGGCGACCAGAAGGGTGGCGAGGGACAGGCCGTAGCCAATGGTGTAGCCGGTCTTCACAGAACCGTAGAACATGGTCTGCTGCTGTTGGAGGGACAGGGAGAGGCTCTTGGGTGGTGGGGTGGGAGGCTCATCTAGGGGGTATTGGCAGGGGTGGGGTGCCCTACACACTCTGCCTGCCCAACCCTGCCTCAGCAAATGAGGAGGCTGAGGTCTGGGGCTCCCAAGAGCAGCTGAGCCCCTGACCCCTAACGCCCTGGTTTCTACAGACAGGGCAGGACTGTGTCTTAGGGTGGGGTGGGGGTTGAATGTACTTCCTGTCTTTGCTTCTTTACGAGGGACAAGTTGGTGAGGGAGAGAATGAAGACCTTGCACGTCCCTTTTGTTAATTTCATGTCTCCAGCCATGTGCCCGGCTTCCCTTCTGTGCCAGCTCTGAGCTGGGCACCCTAGGGGTGGGGTCTGCTTGCCCTTCAGACACCCCTCGAGGCCCTGTCTCTGTATAGGGAGGAGAGGTATGCGAGGTTGCGGGATGTCGAAGAAGACACTGGCACTAGTATGTCCCATTTTGGGCCCTTGGGAGTTGGGGTCGGTGGGATGAGGGCAGTCTGGCCTTTCCGGTGGAGGAGGGCAAAGCTAGGCCCCGAGGGTGTCTCGCTTGGTCCCCTCTCCTGATGCCCTCCCCATGGACACAGGTGCAGTGCAGCACGACAGCCACTAGGCAAGCCACTCCTTCCTGTCAGCCTCCCACGCTTGCCTGAGGAGAGGCAAGTGGTTAAGGGGGAATGAGGGCCTATAGCTCCAGTGGGCTTCAAAGGCCTCTGAAGAAATTGCTGTCCTCGGGGGTGGGTGGAGTGAAAGCCCGGTCTGAGAAGGGCGCCTGAGGGTGGGGCAGATGCCATCGCAGACAGACACACACACATGCATTTGCACCCCAAAGCAGTGAGGGGCTCCTAGCTGAGGACTCCAGCCTCCCCATCAATGTCCTTACCAGGCTCCCCAGTCTTTACAGAGACCATGTTTTAACTGCTCCGGGGAAGATATCTGTCCTGGGACTGAGAATGACAGGCTCTGTCCCTGTTCCTGACTGGCTATTTGGTAGCCAAGTCTGGTTCCTTCCAGGACCTGCAGCAACTCGGTTTCCCCTCTGGATGGGATGGGGTGCTGGTGTCTGCCTGCCCTGCCAACTCCCGGGCTGAAGTGAGGTTCCCATGAGGCAGTAGGGTGGCCCAGCCTGGGGGAGCTGCTTCAGCTTTTGCTGCTCTGGGGGCCCCTCCTGTGGGAAAGCCTCCTCCCATACCCTGTCAGGGGGAGCCAAGGGTTGGGACCCCAGAAAGGCAGGCCTGGAGGAGGCTAGAGGAGGGCAGACTCCAGGAGTCCTGTTCCCACACAGACAGCAACCACACCCCTCGGTGGGAGAGATCAAAGTCTCCTAGGTGGGCCCCGGCGCTCTGCAGGTGAGGTGGGGGTGCCCTGAGACCCACCTCATCCAAACTCGCTGCCTTGTCATCCAAACCACAGGCAATGGGGTACGGGCCAGGCTCCAGGTGCGTCCAGCCTTCGTCGGTGCAGCTGCGGCTTACATTGCGGCCTGGGTGGAGGGCAGGGGCAAGGACAAAGGCTGAGGCCGGGAGCATGGGGACCTGGCTGTCTCTGCTTGGAACAAGGCAGAGAATTCAGCCCTACTCCCACCAACCCTGGTGCTGTCAGGTTCCAGCTGCCCTGACCCAGTTACCCAGGGCACCGTGGGGGCACCTGGGGCAGGGAGAAGCCTCTTCAGGGCTCCCGCACCGATGATAGAATCAGAGCAGACATTCTTGGGCTCAGCCCTTTTGTTATGGTCTGAACCTGACCCCAAGTACAACATACACTCTTATCCTTGTCACAGACCCTGCCTGGATCCTTGTCACAGAATGATTCCTGACCCTTGCCGTGAGCAGAATGCTGACCCTTGTCACAAGGCCACGGCTGGGGGAAGGGGCCCAGGCCTGCCCGGTCCTCCTCAGTCAGCCTGCCTGGGCCTGTGGGGCTGGGTTTCTTCTCACACCTGGAAGGGCTTAGATGTGCTGCTGGAGGGGGAGCAGGAGTGTGGGGGTGAGGAGGGGTGGGGTTGGGGAACCTGTGCAGGCAAAGGCATGTGAGGGGGAATCAGGCAGCACAGCATGGCAGGAGCTTGGGGCTGAAACAAGCAGAGGCTGAGGCTCCAGGCAAGCTGCACTGTCCACTGTCCTCAGAGGCTTGAAGCTGCAGCAAAGAGACAGGACCGCTTAGGGGGTATGTGAGGTGAGGGGTACCACTGAGGCTCCCCACTCTCCAGCACTGGGGAGGTGTCCTCTCCCCAGAGAGGGAGAGGATGGGTTGAATAGAAATTAGATGAGCCAGAGAAGAATCACGCTTCCCCATCTCAGTACCCGTTCATCACCACCACCACCACCGCCATAGTCACCATGAGCAGCATCAGCAGCATCACTGTTGTCAGCCTCATCACAATGACAGGTTTTGAGTACTTTTCAAATGTCAGTGCTGGTCAAGCACTTTAGGCACATCCTGTTTAATTTCCTCAATCATCCAGTGAGGAAGTTAACTCCATTTCACAGTTAAGAAGTGGAGGCCCCAAGAGGTTGGTTACTTGCCCAAGGCTACATAGAGAGGACAGGATAGAGCTGATTTGGTCTCCAGAGTCTTCCCAGGTAAGCTTGGTTCTCACCTGCATGGAGGTGACCTGAGGACTTATTTCGGTGACCAGATAAAGAGCTGCAGGAGGGTCAAGCTGTTCTATGAGCTCAGGAAGTGTCACTGGGCACGTGTGTTTATTTCCAAACTTTGCCGTATGCCCGGAATATACCAGGTGATTCCATATTCACCATTTCTGTAAATCCTCCTGGCAACCCTTGGAAAGAGGTCTTGTCACCCTACTTCATGGATGAAGAACTGAGGGACAGCTAGGGGTGGGGATGGGACAGCCAGGAAAGAGCAGCCGTGGGCTGGGTCTATTTCCACCGCATGGCCCAGGGAGGGCAGGATGGATTTGGTTGAGGAGGGGGCATTGGACTGGGCCAGTTTCCTGCCTTGGCATCCCTTTTTCTGCCCTGGGCTCCCAACCTCACTGTTGCAAGAGGCTCCTAGGACAGCAGAAAAGCCTTCAGCTGTCCTTCTGCGCCCCTCTCAGCTTCCCATCATTGCAGCCAGAGGTGGGCCTGGCCCAGAGCCTTCAGCCCAGCCCCTCATCAAAGGGTAGGCTCTTCCTCAGCCCCAGTTCCAGGGAGCTAACTGCAGGCTCTGAGGCCCTGGATCCCACCCACAATCTGATTCATTTGAGGACTTCCCCCTACAAGGCTCAGGCAGGTAGAAAACAGGGTTAAGGGCTGGGTGCGGTGGCTCATGCCTGTAATCCCAGCAGTTTGGTAGGCCAAGGCAGGCAGATCACGAGGTCAGAGTTCAAGATCAGCCTGGCCAACATAGTGAAACCCTGTCTTTACTAAAAATACAAAAATTATCTGGGAGTGGTGGCACACACCTGTAGTCCCAGCTACTCAGGAGGCTGAGGCAGGAGAATCGCTTGAACCCAGGAGGTGGAGGTTGCAGTGAGCCGAGATCACACCACTGCACTCCCACCTGGGTGACAGAGTAAAACTCCGACTCAGGGAAAAAAAAAAGAGGATTAAGGCCAAAATCACCCAGCCTTGAAGCTGGGACACTGGAGCTTTGGGCTCCCTACTCACCAGAGGGACCGGGGCTTGAGGAGGCCAGGCCCAATGACATGGCAAGCATCTGGTATCATGAATTATGCCAGCAAACCTGGGTGACTCTGGCATGTACACAGCAGCTTCACATGCCGTGTGTGTGTGTGTGTGTGTGTGTGTGTGTGTGTGTAGTGGCGGAGGTGTTAGGGTAAACATTAATGTGTTAGGGCTAGGAATTGGTAGTTTTTGTTATCCCATCAAAAAATGGGGATCCCAAGGCTAAGAGAGGTTAAGTCATTTGCCCATGGTCACACAGCAAGGGAGCAGCAGGTGGGATGCAGACCAAGGTCTGCCTGACTCCAGATCTTTCTGGGCTCCCAGCAGCGGCCAAAGGGATACTCTGTTTTCTGGAGCCCTGGCTGCCATAGATGGTGAAGGAGAGGAGGGGAGGGGACAATGGGTCATCTCTGGGGCCAGGTGGTCTCTTTGAAGAGCCCTGGGATTGTGGTCAAGGCCTCATAGCAAGCTGCTCTCAAGGATATCAAAATGGCAGTCACCATGGGATCCCAAGAAGCAGCCAAGAGTCTCCCTCCAGTCTGGGCCTGGAAACCGGCAGGCCCAATATCTGTAGAGGGGGACATGAAGGGCAGGAGGGAGGTAGCAAGGGACTTTAACCCTGTGCTGGGAAGGACACTCCACTGGGGGCGGGGTCAGGGCATGCAACAGTGAAGGGGTCAGGGCATGCCTGGGCCAGGCTGGGCTCCACCGTGGGAGGGACACTTGCCAGGTCTGCTTTGAGGCCTGTCACTTGGGCTGGGCTTCACCTGAACAAGCTCAGGATAGCCATGACGACCAGAAGGGTGGCAAGGGCCACCTTTCTTCCAGTCTCCTCCCACTCACTATGTCTCAAAAAGCAGTCATGGCCCCCGCTTGTGCCTAGCTAGGATCCTCCACTCAGTGCCTGGAGCCAGGAATTGAGGAATAATCCTCTCCCTCCTCTCCCCCATCAGTCACCAGTCCTGTCCCAGCTTCTTCCCCAGCACCACCACCACCTCATCTCCCCTGGATTAGGTAGGAGCCCCCTGCTTTCCTGTCAGCTCCCCACCCTGAGACAGCTGGAAGGATCATGCTAACACCCAGACCTGACCATGGAACTCTCCTGCTGATTCCCTGCCGTGGTGTCCCATCCCAGCCAGCAAGTTTGAGCTTCCTAGGCTGGCAGCAAGGTTTTCTTATTTATAGCATCATGATGCAGGTGGTAGGGGAGGGGAGGTATCCCATAGACCCCACAGACATGGTTAACATAGACTGTATGTCGAATTTTCTCAGCCAGAATGGCTCTCCCATATTTATTTTAAAACAAATCTTTTCAAATATTTGAAAGTAGAGGCCAGGCATGGTGGTTCATGCCTATAATCCCAGCACTTTGGGAGGCCGAGGCAGGTGGATCACAAGGTCAGGAGATCGAGACCATCCTGGCTAACATGGTAAAACCCCATCTCTACTAAGAATACAAAAAATTAGGTGTGGTGGCGGGCGCCTGCAGTCCCAGCTACTGGGGAGGCTGAGGCAGGAGAATGGTGTGGACCCGGAAGGCGGAGGTTGCAGTGAGCAGAGATAGTGCCACTGCACTCCAGCCTGGGGGACAGAGCGAGACGCTGTCTAAAAAAAAAAAAAAAAAAAAAAAAAAAAATATATATATATATATATATATTCGAAGGTAGAAACACAGATGAAAGATATGCAGACTACAGATTAAAGAAGTATGCACCTGTAATCCCAGCACTTTGGGAGGCTGAGGTGGGAGGATCATGAGGTCAGGAGTTCAAGACCAGCCTGGCCAATACAGTGAAACCCTGTCTCTACTAAAAATACAAAAATTAGCCAGGTGTGGTGGCTGGTGCCTGCAATCTTAGCTTCTTGGGAGGCTGAGGCAGGAGAATTGCTTGAACCCAGGAGACGGAGGTTGCAGTGAGCCAAGATGGTGCCACTGCACTGCAGCCTGGGTGACAGAGCAAGACTCTATCTCAAAACATTAATAAAATAAAAATAAAGAAGTGAGCTACCATGAACATTTTGATGTCTTAATGAGCAATTCCTTGCCTGGCCAAACTCCCTCCTTCAGGTATTTTATCCAGTCTAGGTAGATGACTTTTTTCTAACTCTCCACAATTTTTATCTTCTATAAGGTTTATTTAGCTTTCCCTGTATAACCAGGTCCCTTCCCGTGGATATAATTCTTCCCAGGCCTGTTGTGTGAGTTGGTGATGCCATCATTCCTGCCTCACACTTGCAAACTTCCCTCTTTGGAATTTCAGGTCGGTTGCCCACAACTTCTTCATCTACTTGCTCAGGAGAACACTGTCTTTTTTCTGTTTTCAGTCCCTAATCGCAGTCTCTTATTTCTCTCCACCATTTTCAGAGACCAGGCCCACAGAGTATGGCTGTGCAAGTTGTTCACTCTACAAGGGCACCTGGCCGGTAGGCATATTCTGCTTGTCACTAGGTGGGCTCTAGTGAGAGGTCATCTCTGCCCGAGGAAGGACTGCCTTTTTCTTGTCAGTCCAAAGGCACCGTATGGGCCCCATTGATGGCGGCAGCCTCAGGGTTAGCTAGATGGTGGGCTGGAGTCCAGGTTCTCAAGGGCAGGAGTTGCCTTGACACATTCCAGCAGGGACAGAAGGAAGAGCCATGGGGAGGAATGCAGTTAGCAGAGTCTCAGGGAGAAAGGCAATTAGCAGGTGCTTCCAGGGATCAGAGAGAAGGCTAGTTTCCAGGCTTGGTGATGGCGTGCACTGTGAAACCTGCCAGAGGAACTCATCTCTTATCTGCCCAGGCACTGGGTGTCCCTGGAGGAGGTGACCAGGCTAGGTGGGCACTGGCCTGGAATATGGCATGGCTGTGACCCTCCCAGACTCCTCAGGAGGGCTTCAAGTTCTATCTTTCACTACTGAGGTCACAACAGCAGGCACTGGGGGGCAAACTGGCTTACCCCAAAGAGACCCTGGGGTCTACCACCTATCCCCACTTTACAAACGGGGAAACTGGGGTCCAGGGAGGAAAAGGCCATCTGGAGTGAGAGATGCCTGAGTTCTGTTCGCTCTCTGAATAATTATATAAGTTCTGCTCCTCATGAGTCCTCCCCACTCTAGGCCTGCCCCTCCCTCCATGCTCCCCACCCAGTCCCACTCTCTTCCCTAAGGCTCATTAAACCTAAGCCTAGGGTGGGGCCTGCTTGATTCCTCCCTCGCCTCACTCACTCCCATTCCCTCCATAAACAACTCTCCCACTTCTCTCCCGCACTGAGCTCACTACCTGAATTCAAGCCATCATTTCCTGCCTGCCTTGTGATTGGGTTTTCCTGTTTACACTCCTAGAATTCTTCCTTCTCACAGAAACCAGTTAGACGTTAAAAATCTAAATTGGACTTTGTCAGTCCCCTGCTTAAAACCCCCCACTTCTAACTGGACTTAGGAAAAAACTCAAGTCTTCGCTTCTGTCCTCAAGGCCCTGCATGGTCTGGCCTCGGCGCACCTGTCCCTCCCCTCCCTTCATCCCTGGTGCTTTCCCTGCTCCAGCCACACTGGCCTTCACGGAACTTCCTTGGATGCTTGTTCCACGGGCTGTTGATTCTCTCTCTCAGTTGTCCCCAATCTGGGATCTTTGCCTGGTGGTTCTTTCTCACCTCCAGGTCTTCAGATTGCAGATGAAGTGTCACCTCCTCAGAGAGGGGCTGTTTGTGAACCTCTGCCTTAAGTTAGTCCCCACTCTCCTTATTCTCTCGTCCAGCACTTTTTATTATTGATGATACATCTGTTTATTTCCTTACTAAATGTCTCTCCAATGAGAATGCTAGCTCTGGGAGAGCAGCCCCGGGGGCTGTTTTATCCTCTCTCCACTGTGTTTGTCCAGCTCAGTGCCTGGCACACTGGTAAGTGCTTCATTCACTGCACAAAAGAATGACTGAATCTATATTGTGAATCTCTTTAATGACTCACTAGCTAGAAAGCCACCTCCTAAAGGGGCTCCCCCTTTTCTTTTCTGCCTCATTCTGTGGACATTCATTTAAGTGGAACATGACAAGGTGTGTAAGCAAAGTCATGTGGTGGCTTCATGGAGCCCAAGAGGTCATAGGCTCCAGGCATCGAAAGACTGAATCAAGACCAGCCCAAGACAACAGGACTATGGGAGTCATAATTTAATCAAGTACCTGTCAGTCAATCAGTTATCAATTGTTGAGCAAATATTTAGTGAGCCTTTCCCACATGCTTATCTTTATGTGAAGAGCTAATCAAATCCTGTGAGTTCTTTAAAGACCCAGCACCATTGCCTCCTCTGCCAGGGAGTCCCTCGGATTGCTCCAGCCTCTTTGACCACTTTCCTTTGCCTTTCCACTTCCTTGAGAGGTGAGTCCCCACTCCAGCCGGCCCCACTCACATCACCTCTTCAACCCAGGGGTCTTACCTTGAATGGAGGAGAAGAGCTTGAAGATGAGGGGACAGGCCAAGACAACTACCTGGCCCCGAGGGGTGGCTGGCCAGCAGGTGAGGTTGTCCCACATCTTGCTGCAG
Source organism: Homo sapiens (assembly GCF_000001405.40). Taxonomy (NCBI): domain Eukaryota; kingdom Metazoa; phylum Chordata; class Mammalia; order Primates; family Hominidae; genus Homo; species Homo sapiens. Next base: position 42,519,223 of record NC_000003.12, on the reverse strand, counting down.
CCTATGGGGGTAAGGCAGAAGACACATGGGTGAGCACAGTGCAGGTGCCTCCAGCCCTGGGGCCTGAGGCCATAGGCACCCACTCTCTTCCTCCCTCTGCCAGGCTCCCACCTCAAGGAGCCTCCAGTCTGAGAGGGGAGGCACAGCCCTGCGGAGGTTGCACGGGGCTGTCCTGACAGGGAGGCAGGAAGGAGGCCTGACTACAGTTCCTTGGTCCTTAGTGAGGGATGGAGCGCCCCCTGGGGATGTTTCCAATGCCAGTGGTGGTTTTGACTGTTGCAGCAATAGGGGGGCCTCACTGGCATTTGATGGGCAGTCACCAGGGATGCCAGACAGACAACTCCTGCACAATGATGAATTGTCTCACATTCTGCATGGCTTCCAGATGAGCCACTGGGCATATGTATAGGTGAAAACCTTTCATAATGACCAGAGCCTAGACTCTTACACCATTTTATGTATAAACACACGCCATTTACTTACTTATTTTTTGAGATGGAGTCTCACTCTGTCACCCAGGCTAGAGTGCAGTGGTGCAACCTTGGCAACCTCTGCCTCCTGGGTTCAAGCAATTCTCCTGCCTCAGCCTCCCGAGTAGCTGGGACTATAGGCCCATGCCGCCACGCCCGGCTAATTTTTGTATTTTTAGTAGAGACAGGGTTTCACCATGTTGGCCAGGCTGATCTCGAACTCCTGACCTCAAGTGATCCTCCCACCTTGGCCTCCCAAAGTGCTGGGATTACAGGTATGAGCCACCGCGCCCGGCCAACACAAGCTGTTTATTGCACAAGTTTAACATACATGGAGTTTTCCAGGAATGCAGCCACTGAGAAAAGGGAGGGAAGATTGTATTTTGTTTTGTTCTGAACTTCACTAAGAGTTGTTCAATGTTTTGGAAAATCATGATACCCATAGCAGTGCTGCCTGTGATACTTGAGTCACCGATACAACTACCTGTGTCCATCAGTCTGCATTTGTAGGCCTCACATTCCCAGGATTTATATTTGTAGGTACAACCTTCAGACTACATCTAGTGTGGTTATGCTTGAATATGTACATGGTACTTTATTGTAAATTACTTTCCTTTTAATATTTATTTTACAGTATAGCTAGAACATTATTTTTTATAAAGTGGATGGGTACGTGTCCTGAATTTCATATTATGATAGTGAAGGAGGCATTAGAAAATGTTTTGAGACTCTGTCTCAAAAAAAAAAGAACTAGATGCATCCCAATATACTCATCACCCCATCATAGTCTTGCTCTGTCGCCCAGGCTGGAGTACAATGGCATGATCTCGGCTCACTGCAACCTCCACCTCCCAGGTTAAAGTGATTCTCCTGCCTCAGCCTTCTGAGTAGCTGGGATTACAGGAGCCCACCACCACACCCGGCTAATTTTTGTATTTTTAGTAGAGACGGGGTTTCGCCATGTTGGCCAGGCTGGTCTCGAACTCCTGACCCCAGGTGATTCACCTGCCTCTCAGCCTCCCAAAGTGCTGGGATTACAGGCATGAGCCACCGTGCCCAGCCCGCACCTAGTTCTTGAACAACACAGATTCCCCCAACGTGGTCGGATTGTGAATTGTGATGGAGGGGAATAGTTAGGGAACAAGTGCAGCGAAAACCCTGCATTGTGGCTGCATTCTCCGCCACAGCCTTGCAGAGCCTGGCCAGTGAAAGATGCACAGTGTGGTCTCTAGGGGTCTGCTTGAATAGGCACATGCAAATGCCATCATTTAGTCTGTTCAGAAGCTTCATGCCCGTGAGGGACTAGGACTGCTCTGGACCCATCCCATGCAGGAGGCTTAATTGTCTCTTTGCAATCCTGCCAGTCCCATAGATTTGCTCAGAAAACCCAACCCCTGAGCCAAAGTCAACGCCAGCTGGGCCAAGCCCAGCCCAGCCCAGCTCAGGTCCGAAGGTTCACAAGTTCCCAAGAAGGGGGTCTGGGAAGAGGAGGTGGAGGGATGTGTTTACTTGGGGAAGAGCCTCGGGACTGTGTGCATTGGAGTGGGCTGGCAGCAGCAAGGGGCACTTTCTGGGGCTGCAGCAGTCAGGCCACATCTATAGCTGAAGGCTGAGGAGGACACCTGGATCCCTAGGGCTTGGCCAGAGATTGCAGCCTTCCTTGGTCATGGACCCTGACCACTTTTCCCCCAACCTGTCTTGAGGGCTCTTGTGGCCTCATGTTGGCTGTCAGTCCCTCTTCCATTCTGGGCCAGCTTCTCTGAAAGCTGAGTAGGGGCACTTCAGGTCAGTCAAACCCTGCTGGGGGTTCAAGACCCTGTTAAGAATATCAGCAAACATTCATATAACATTTGCATGTGCCAGGCACTGTTCTAACCTCTTTGGATGAATAACTTATTTAATGCTTCCATTTCACAGATGAGGAAATGGAGGCACAGACTGATTAGAAAACCAGCTCAAGGTCATGTTGCTGGTAAGCGGTACAGTCTATTCCCACTCCTCTTGGTTGGAAGGCCTGTCATTTCTCTGGGAATTTTGCTGCTGCTGGACTTTGTTTACCCCTCTCTGACAGCACTGGGCACGCCCTGTTTTGTAGGCCGGCTATTGTGTCTGAGTCCCTGCCAGACTTTGGGCTCTCTAAACCTCCGGCTGCCAGCACAGGCCAGGGAGTGAATCCGGGGCTGGGTCTCTGGCCCTGAGCTCTGCTTCACTGCAGTGGGACAGAAGAGAGGAAACCAGGCCCTGCCCTTGGGAGGCCACACTTGGCCTCAAGGAATCTCAGCATAACCAAGGCTGGGCTGTGAACTGGTGCTGGGGTGTAGGGCAGCCAGCAGGGCAGGGGAGCAGGATGAGAGGCCAATATGAGGGACATGGTCAGGGAAGCAGGGGACGGGGTGACAGCCATGAATATACTTGGTACCTGGAATGGCCTGTTGTCCTGGGCTAGGCAACGGGAGTATTTCCTGTGTGCCTGCCCTAATGAGGCCCCATAGGTCCCATCACACATGTCACCAGGCCTACAGAAATACAGGGCCCAGGCTGGCTGTGTGTGCCCACAGGTGGGGCTGTGCCCTCAGCAGGAAAGCCCAACCCAGAGCTTGGGGTAAGGGATGGTGAGGCAAGATGAGGTGGGGCCTCTGCTGTGTCATTTTGTAGACTTGTGTGCACACAGAGATACACACACTGACATGTACATGCCAGTACACAGAACACCAGGCACACATGCAAACATGCACACATGTACACTTACCTGAACACAGACCACAGACACAAGCAAATGGGCACAGAGAGACACACAACTCACAGAGACATACATTCAGAGAGACAGACATGTCTGGGTGTATCACTGACATTCACACTGATAGACATACAAGCCAACACACAGAGACACAGCACACTGGGCAGACACATCTAGGCATGTCGAGATGGCATGTGCCCAAGCTTAAATAGACACACACTTCTGACTCACAAAGATACTCAGAGTCAGACACAGAGCTATAGACCCCAGAGGCACAGACGCAGCTCCAGACAGACATGGGCCAGGAGCGCATACCTAGATGTGCATGAACACGCACAGAGCCCTACAGAAGGTCACGGGCAGACCCATGGCCACAACCTATGCTGGCCCTTCTCTGCATCCCAGCCTGGCTGCTGGTGACAGGGTGTTGGCACCCGACGGGAACGCTGTGCCAGCAGTGACCTCATTGGAATCACGAGGGTGGCCTGTCCCCAGGCGTGGGAGGTGCGCAGTGGAGTCTAGAGTCTGGGCCTCTTGGGGCTGCCTATGATCCCACCGCTGGGGCCTGCCAAAGCCTGTCTGCACCTGGTCCTGGCTCCCTGCACTGGTGGAGTGGGGTGGGGCCTGTAGGTAGTGGGCAGGCCCAGCCACCCCGTGACCCATGCCTCAGTCTCTGGGCCCTAGAGTCAAGGGGTTGTCCTGCTTTGAGACAAGGGTAGGCAAAGCCCATCTGTGAGGCTACACATACTCACTTACAGAACAGGAGGCAGACAGCCTGGGCACCAGGGCCAAGAAGAGGGACCCAGAAGGGGTTACATAACTGTCAGCTTTAGAGAGGTGGAAGGGGAACTAGGGAGCCAGGAAGACGTAAAGATGCTCCCTGCTCCTGAGCAAGGCTGTTACATAACTGTAAGCTCAGCCGCGGGGAGATGGCCTGGGATGGAGGCCCAGAACGGGCCCAGCCATCTCATGCCTCCAGCCCAGACATGCCAGGCTGGTGTCCCTGGCAGTAAGACTTGAACCTGCCAACCATGCCCCACTCCCCATGGGAAGTCTGCCTCAGTGCCTCCCACCTTCCCAGACTCTCTGTTTCTCCAAACCTGCTCACCCCTCCAAGTCTGGTTCAAGTGGTACCAAAGAATTCCATCCATTCTTACCTGGGGCTGCTGAGTCAAAAGGAGGGTGCTGTCATCTGTCCTGATAGCCCTGCTGTCCAGTCTTGGTAGCTGGGCACTACCCTTCACACTGCCAGGTGGGGCTCTCCCAGCCCCCTGAGGAGGAGTGGCTGGGGCCCTCATGTGCTCAGCCCCTGGGGCTGACCTTGACTTGTCTCATCAGCCGAATAATGAGCTGATGGTTCATCTGGCCACTAAGGGTGGGTTGGGATGGAGAGGCCAGTGTGTTTGCCTGTATGTGTATGCTTAGGGGCTGGGCGTGTGTGTATGTGTGTGTGTGTGTGTGTGTGTGTGTGTGTGGTGTCACTATCGGTCCTCTGGATGTAGCAGAGGCAGAGCCTGGGGTTGAGAGGGAGGAGTGGGCCTCAGTTTCCAGGCTGAATATTGGCTGTGGTGAGTATTCCACATCTTTCCAGACAAAACTTGTGCCCCTTCTTGCTCGGGACCACTAAGATGGCTTTGAGCTTCCATGTGGTCCCTGTGGGGGTCACATATTGTGACTGAATGTGCCTCTTCTTCCTCTGGAGATGCTAACAGTACAATGTTCTAATCCTGGAGTGTGGTGTTATGGGGCTAATTCTCCCATGCCAGCTCCAGGGGGTCCTGGAACCTGCCTGCCCTCATTGGTCACAGATCCCCCACCACATAGCACCCTGGGCCTTGTGTCCTGGGTGGGCTGGCCGCCATGGAGATCTTCACTTTTCCTGGAGAAGAGGGATAGGGACCCCCAGAGGCAGAGTTGGCTCCATGTACTTTTCAGAACCCCAATTTAGTATGTCCTCCTTAGCTGCGGCTGGGAGCTCCCCAGACCTGGGGTGGGAATGTGGAAGCCTGTTAGCCCCTTTCTTCTTCCATCTGGCTCCCCAGCCGCTCCTCACCATCATCCAATAAATGTGGAACGAACGTGACTTGGATCTCAGCTTGAGACATGAGGAATCTTGGGCTCCCTGGGGGCATGCAGCCCCTCTCTGCCCATGGGGGCCTCACCTATTGTCTCATTCTCCAGCTGGGCCTCCTCCAGGCACTGCTTGTGCTGCACCTCGATCATCTGCACATAGTCACACTCCTCCTGCAGCCTGGCCGCCTGGCCGCCCTGAGAACAAAGACAGGGAGGGCCCATCAGCCTCGTCCATAGACTCAGGAGCACCAGGCCCAGTCTCTGGACTGCACCTGCCCTCTCCCTGGAAGAGATCCAAGTTCCAGATGGAACCCCAATACCAACCCAAGACTGAAACCTGAACCTGACCCCAACCTGTTGTCCATTGCCCCCAAACCTGGGTCGGCCCCGAGGACCCTGCCACAGCTTCTTGATGGCTCCCCCATTAGTGCTGCAGCTGTAACTGCTTTGTCTCTTTGCGGGTGGCACAACTCCAGATGGCGGCAAGAGGGCCTCCCCTTAGAGGCCTGAGCTGGCCCTCTGGACTCTGCCACTCTCCAGCTTGGTTTGAGAGTCTGTCCCTGTCTTGATCTCCCTGATGAGTGGGGCCAGCTCGTGCTACTACTCTGTTATGTGGAGTTGGATCCTGGCCTCTGGTTCCCAGGGCCAGCCCTGGGAAGAATCCAGGAGTCTAGCTGTATTTTCCAGCTTCTGTCATTCCAGGATTCTGTGCTCAGTCCCCTGGGTCACCAGGCTAGGGAGGGGACTCTGGCCTTCCTTGCCCAGACCTCACCTGCCTCCTTTTTAGTTTCTAAATAATTCAAGCTATACCAGATCTACTGAGGGTGGGGAGGTTTAAGGAAGTAAGAGAGCCCCTCTAGGATCCCACCAGGCCTCCCCTGCTTCTGGAAGGTGAAGAGAAGGGATGGAAAAGTCCAAGCTTCTCCTCTTCCCCTCCCTGTACCCTGGCCAGGGATCAGGGGTGGGCCAGACCAGTGTGACTGGGGTCACTGACCTTGTGGAAGACATGTGAGTGGGGGTGATGGCTGTCTAGGAATAGCCAGAAAAAACAGGTCTTGGGAACTCTTAGATGGGTGTGGGTGGGTGAAGGCCTCCATGGAGGAAGCGTTGGACTGGCAGCACCTTCTGCGTCTTTGGCTTTAGAAAAGTGGTTGCTGGCCCCGGCAACCCCACACCAGTTTCCTCATCTCTGCCTGGGAGAAGAATGTCAGTTTCCACCAGGGCCATAGAAGAGAGTCCAGCAAGACCACTCCAGAATCAGACATTCTCAGTGTCTCCTCCAGCTTGTCCCTCCCACCCTGGGACAGGGTCCTTACCTCCCTGGGCCTCAGTTTCTCTGTAGGCTACGTGGGCCTCAACCACCTCCCCTGCCGACTTAGAGATTCTTGAAGTGGGTCCGTGGGAAGAACATAGGTGGGGGACCTTCCTTTAAGGGGGTCCCTCCTGGCCTGCAGGCACCAAAGTGCTTAGTACTTTGACCATTGTTTTAAGTAAATCAGCTCCATTTACTGGGATGTGCATCCCAGCTGGCAGCCAGCAATCCATTGCTGCGGAGGGAGAGGGGTCCAAGCTGAAGCTGAACAACTCAGTGCCTAAGAAGCTGCACAGCCAAGTCCTTTCCACCCCAAACAGCTCTCTCATTCCTGTTGAGGGCTCTCTGGTGGAGCCTCTGTCTCACAGGTCACCTGCAGGCCAACACTCCCAGAAGCAGCTAGCACCATGGTTGACCTCGTCCAGGTCCAGGGAAGGCCTCCCTCTCCAGGACTCCTTTAGATTTCCCCAGCATCCAGACCTCACCTGCCTAAGTGCTGTTGCCCTGGAAGCCACAGTGAGCACGAGCTCCATCTTGCACCTTTACCAGCCAATGGGGGTAAAGACATTAGCTGGTAAGTCATTTAAAACTTATTGAAAGTAACACAGTTGTGTGATGGAGCATGATACAGTTACTCGTATAACTGTTAAAAGATAGGAGACTTCAAGGAAACTGTCTGTGGTTCCTCTTTGGGGTCATGTGCTTTCTCTCCTTCCCATAAGGGTTACTCAGGCTGAAATGCTCAAGACACTCTGTCTCAAGGGATTTGTGGCTGTTTCATCCTCAAGTATAGGGGGAATAGTGGCCAGGAAGATCTCAGAGGTGGCTTCTGGAAGAGGAATCTGGGTACTGGCTACCCTGCCTTGTGTCCCATCATTGGTCTGTCTTGCCTGTCTTGGAGCACATTTCTCACCAAGGTACCATCCCAACCCCATCTCCCACCAGCAACAGGGTTCTTTCTGCTTTCTGGCCCCTTCCCAGCGTCTCCTGATTCTCCTGTCCATTCTTATCTCTCATAACACTGTAACGTCAAAACAGGATGGATGGTAGCAGATATCTCTTGTTTCTGCCTTCCACCATCCTTTACTCTCTTCTGGTGCCATGTCCTCATCTGTGTCTGGGAAACAACCTCCTTCCCTACCTCTAGTTCATGGAGTTCTGATGAACCCTCTTCCAGGGGATTGACATGTGACCAAGGCTTAAGTCCATCAGAGCATTCCTGGCCACAGTGCCTGACACATGGCCTGAGTCAGGCTACTCAGAGCCAGGAGGCTCACTCCTGGGACTTTGGATTAAGTGATTAAGAAAGTGAATTTGGTTTTTCCCCACTGGACTGGAAACCTTAAAGGAAGCAAGGGCTCAAGCTTCTGCTGTCTTCTTGTTGACAAGTGGAACACACGGATAAAAACTATACAGCTGAAGGCAGAATAGAGAGATGGAGAAAAATCAGGTTCTCTTAATATTGTCTGGGTCTGTGAATGCAGCCATGCCTGAAACCAGCTCTACTGCTAGCAACATGAGCTGATGCCTTTCCTTTATGGCTTGGATCAGTTGAGTTTTCTGTTGGTCGCTGTAAACAAAAGTGTCCAGCCTTGCCCTCTGAGGACAAGATAATGGACGCCCTCACTTTCTGGGCCTTCTTAAGCCAGGACTGTGGCCATATAGTTTGCCAAGAAATATTTGTTTCCCAATCACCATGGGCGCCTAGGATTTCTGGCAGCTTCTGCTTGCGACTCTCTGAGGGTAGAAGAGTGTTGGGTCAACTTCTCCAGCCAACTCTGCCCCCTCAGCAGCACAGACACACAGCCCTTCCTTAGAGGCAGTTTGGAGAGAAAGGAGGGGTGGGTACCGAAGCCTGTGGTGTTTATGAAACAGTGGGTGTGGTCTGGAAGATGAGCTCTCTCTTTGTCACAATTTAGTTTAGTGTTGAGCCCTATCTGGGGAGGGGTAGAGGAAATGGAGACCCAAAGAGGGACCTGAGGTCACCCAGCAAATGCGCATTCCCAGATGGGACCTAAGTCTCTGACCGCTGGTCTGGACTGCATCAATCCTTCAACACAGCCTCGCCTTGGACCCTCTGGTCAACCATTGCCCTTTGAGGGACCGGGCCAGGGCAGCTCCCTCTAGTCCTTATCACTAAGGAATTCAGGCAGACTTTGGACTTCCTCTCCCACTTATTTATTTCCCTATTCTAAACATCCTCATTATCCCTCTGGACTTCAGGAACACAGAGAGAGTTGAAAAATTCCCTGGCTGAATATAGCCAAGTCTACTGATGTCAGGGAAGTGTTCCAGGGTGGGATATAGCTGGAGTCTGGGCTTCCTACAGAATGGGTATGCTGTACTCATTCTGTAGAGGTAGGTCATGGAGGATGTGCAAGTTAGACAATTAGAAGTGGAGTAAGAGCACCCCAGAAAGTAGAGCAGCGTGTGCACAGGCATGGAGGCATGAAAATGCCTAATACATGCAAGGCTGTGAGAAGCCTGGTGTAGCTGCAGCAAGGAGTTCTGGGGGCATCAGGAGACAAGTTGAGAGATGTAGACTGGGGTAGGATTGGGAAGGGCCTGGAATGCCAGTTTTCAAGTGTGAGCTTTCACTCCTAGGCCATGGGGGCCAACAGAGACTTGAAGCAGGAGACTGAGGATGGGGGATACACATTTTACAAAGATCCCTCAGGTTGCAGGTGGTGGGGCTGAAAGCTACTGCACCAGTCCAGGCAGGAACTGATGAAGCCTGGGCAGGACAGTGGGTATAAAGAGAGGGCACAGAGAGGAGGGGGCAGGTGGAATGAACAAGACTTGGTTAGTCCCTGTCTCCAACTAGACTCAGGATTCTCCTGCCAACTCCCTGTCATTCACCTCCCACATCCCGCTAGCCCCATGGCAGAGGACAGAAGAAGACCAGGATGGAGAAGATGCTGTGGACTTCTTCAGTCTTCTTCAGCCTGGGTCCCTTCTGGGCTTAGGAACTCCTGCCCCAAAGAAGGTGCTGAGAGCCCAGCCTGGACCAAAACTCTCTAGCCTCAGCTCAACGGCAGGGTCAGGCTGCCTTTAAGCTTACTTTTTGGAGCTCAGTCAAGCATAGGAATTGGTGAGGGGCTAGAGAGAAAGCCCTGCTTTTTCCTGTCCATGTGGGGTTCTCTGAGATCTGGAGCAAAGGCTAGGTGTGGTGATGGGGGTATGGGTGAAGATGCTGGGAGTTGTAGCTGTTAGATGCAAGGGGCTCTGAAAGACAGGGTGGGCCATGCTCAGGTTCGTAGGCCATGTTCAATCCCCTCAAGGGAAGCCTGAGACCACAGCTACTGCCTCGAATCAGAAGCCCCAGCCTCATCATCTGGGGCCAGAGAACTAGGGCAGGAGGAGCCAAGTAGCACAGCAGGAAGCATGAGTCCCTCCGAGGAGAAGCTGGTCTCTGAGAGGAGCACAGAATGCAGCAGGCTGGATAAGGTGAGGCAGGAGAAAGAACTGTCTGCAAATTGCCAAGCATGCAGAGCCTCCATGGATGATTTGTGCTTCTGAGGTTTGTCAAGAGGGCTATTTTATTTTTTTCCAGCCTGCAACTGTTAATGGAGGCAGGGGAATGGGGAGTAGAGGACAGGGGGCTCAGGAGTGGTTTCATTTACCCTCTCCCACATGACCCTAGCCCTTTACAGAAACCATCTCATATCTCACGACTTATTTACTCTACTCTGCCAGCCCCCTGCTGAAATCATGGGGTAAAAAAGAGACACAGGGGGAATGGAGGAGCCAGAGAGAAAGCAGTGTGATCACAGGCACACAGGACAGCAGCTCACCTTCCCATCCTTGCTGGCTTTTGCACGTGAGTGGGCGAGAACGTGCAGCCCTTGTAGTTGGGAGGCAAGAGGGGAGAGAGGAGAGAAAAGGTGGGAGGAGGAAGGGCAGAAAAGGAGTGGGTAAAGGACATAAGTTGGATCATGGGATCCAGGAGTCACAAAAGAAAGGAGAAACATGCTCCCAGCTTTGCAGAGAGCACTAAAGGAAATCAAAATAAGACTTCCCCTCATTGCAGGGCAGCCTGCTAGGGTGATGGGAATGTATAATAGTTTGACCTGGGCAGTGGTGACACAGGTGTACACATATGTGACAATTCACTGAGCTGTCAATTCAGATTTCTATATTTTACTAATTTTAAAAATATCTAAAGTCCCAGCGCAGCATGTGACACGCCGTCGCCCACCCTGGAAGTAGTAGCCCCTCTTCACGAGGTGGCAGAGCCTAGTTCAGACCACAGGTTCCAGAATGAGACTGTCTGCTGCTTCCTGGCTGGATGACTTGGGCAATTTACTCAACTTCATCTATAAAATGGGGACAATAACAATACCACCTACTTCTAGAATTGGGGTTGAGGGTCACATGTAAAAGACACCAGCCAGGCACCAGGGGGGTTAGCAGCGACTGCCAAAGCTCTAGTCCAGTCCTCATGCCAGGCTGCCCCTGCTGTCCACATCCAAGCCTAGCCACAGCCGTAGTGCCTTGCATAACCCCAGGTAGGCTGAAGGTCCTACCCACTGACAAGTGCCAGCCGTACCCACCAGAGGTCTCAAGTCTGCCAGTTACCTTCGCCCCGTACTGATTTCTCTTCCTTGTATTTTTACATCCCTTAGCCAACAGCCCAAAGCCTCCCCGCTGCAAATTCTTTTTTTTTTTTTTTTTTGCCAGCCTCACTTCCTCTTGGGGAAGGCTGAGCTCTGGTAGAAGAAGAGAATGAGAACTGCTGTGTGAGTGTTGATGGGGATGGGGAGGAAGAGGGGGAGACATAAGGATACAGGATTGTGCTTTGGGTAAGAAGAACTTTCCACATCTCAGAGTGATATCAGGACAAGGGCTCTCATAATTAGCAGAACCCAAGCACAGACACTTAGCTTGTTCCCATCTAAGGGTTCTTCTTGGAAGGTTTCTTTTGGGGGCATGAAGCCTTTATTTGCAGAGGAACACAGGCTAAGCATTTAGTTTAAATCCTCTGCTGCTTGTTCACGATCCTGGCCACACCTAGGGAACTGGAGTTTGCAGGACTCAGCTTATAAACACAGTGCCTGTGGGTGACGTTGGTGTTGGAGCCACCTGCAGAGGGCTGGACTCCAGCACAGGCAGCCACAAGGCTATGAGTCCTTAGTACATGGAGATTGGTTGGTGGCCTCTTCCCCCTCCTCTGGTGACCTGCTGTGCAGGAAGAACTTGTTTTGAAGTTAGGTAGTAGGAGGCACTTCCTGAGAGATAATGGGCCGCATGAGAGGGGCTGCACGAAAAGACTGGGTCCTCCCAGTGGAGGCTAGCCTGAGGCTCACTGCCAAGGCACCCTGCTTTCTCCCTGCCAGCTCGCTGGACAGTCCCGTCAGACACAGACATGAAACTCCTGCGAGAAGACCAAGCCCTGGATAATATCACCACTCATCCTGTGGCACTTCATTACATTCCGGCTGGGGATATTTGAATATTAGATATTAAGCAATTCCTGTCAATTTTGTTAGGTGTGTAATGACAGTATCATAGTTATATAGAAGAGTGTCCTTTGGTTTTAGAGATGCATTCTGAAATGATTTGGGGTAAAAGGTCAGGAGGTTTATAATTTACTTTAAAATACTTCAGCCCAAAAGCAAATGAAGCATATATTAATTGTTAGATGTTAACAATTGTCAAACCTCGGAATTGGGTATTTGCACGTTCATTATAATGTTGTCTCTGCTTGTTTAAAAATTTTCACAAAAAAAGTAAAAATTTAAAACACTATACACGTGGTGGAGAGATTAAACTGTTTTTTTCTTCTTCAGAAATACTTCTAAGGGGCCAGGCGTGGTGACTCATGCTTGTAATTCCAAGCACTTTGGGAGGCTGAGGCAGGTGGATCACCTGAAGCCAGGAGTTCAAGAGCAGCCTGGCCAACATGGCGAAACCCTGTCTCTACTAAAAATACAAAATTTAGCCAGGCATGGTGGCGGGAGCCTGTAATCTCAGCTCCTAGGGAGGCTGAGCCAGAAGAATCGCTTAAACCTGGAAGCTGGAGGTTGCAGTGAGCCAAGATCACACCACCACACTCCAGCCTGGGTGACAGAGCAAGACTCCATCTCAAAAAGAAAAAAAAGAAAAAAAGGAAATACTTCTAAGTTATGTGAGAGAGTACATACTGACATTTTCAATGGGTACAATAAAAATCATTTTGTGTTAAGAAGTCAGAGAGGGGAAGGCAGAATCTGGGGGTTGAACAGAAGGATTTAAGAAAGGGACTAGGCTTTACATAGTCCCCAGGCCCCATTCCCTGCTCCATGGCCAAAGGAGCCACAGTGAAGGGCCCAGCAATGGCAGAGTTGTGGCACGTGGCAGGTTAGAGCCCCTACCCTGGTCTCATGGCCCATGTTGGATTTCCACTGAGGCTGCCCACGTTGTGAAGGCCCATCTGCTCTGAGAGGCCCCATTGCCTACCTAGGCCTGGAGCCTTACCCCCAAAATGTTTTGGCCACCTAATGAGGAAACGTCCCCCATTCCCCAGGACTCCTGCTGCCCTGGGAACCTGTGGGAAGATGGGGGCCAGAAATAGCTGTATAAGTTTGCACAGGGCTCCCAAGCTGGGGACGTAGGAGAAGGGATGACAGTCACACAGTTCACATAGCCACCTTCACAACCTTTACCTCCTTCAAAGCTCACAGAAGTCCTGCTTGAAAGACAAACCCCCTTTCACAGAGACCCTGGTGCTCCAGGGGTAGATTATGTCCCACTCAGGAGGCAGAGTTGGCTCCAGCCTAACCCTCTCCTCCCACTTCTCCTGCACACTGGGCGGAGGCCTCTCACCTTCCCTTTTGTGGTGAGGAACCCGAGGCCCTTCCACAAAAGTTAAAGATGTTCCCAAGGTCAAGCCATTGCCATGGAGTGGAGTGAGGACCAGCTCTCCTGTTTCCAGCCTGGGCTCCCCAAGGATGTCCCACAAACCTCAGAGAAGGCATAGTCTTAGTGCACCAGGACAGGAGGGTAGAAACTTCCAAAAGGGCTCGCTTTTCCAGCATGGTACCCTGGGAGCCCTGGCCAGGCCTAACTGAGGTGGTAACCTCACTTGAGGAGGAGGCCTGACCCAGATGCAGCCATGTTTCCCAAAGCTCACAGGGTGGCCTGCTGGGGGCCAAGAGGGCCTGGGCAGCTGTGGTCCGCCTCTGGAGAGGCTAGAGGCAGGTGGCAGGGGCAGCAGGATGCCGGTGGCAAGGCAAGGCCTTCAGGAGCTTGTGGCCACTGATCAACCTCAGAGTTGGGGAGAAGTCGAGCCTCTCCCAGTCCCTGGGACTCCTCCTTCTGGGGGCAGGCCCATTGGTCCTGTCAACAGAGGCTGTTTTATGGTTTAGGGTGAAAGATTGGCCCATCTGGTCAAACTCTTTAGGGCACAGTCCTGCTTCTTCCAGGAGCCTCCCCTGACTGTTCCTCTCAGCAACCCCTGCCCCAGTTCTAGGAGGCTGTACCCCACATCCACCTGGACTCTTTCTCCTAAGTCACTGGGTCTGGTCTCCCACACCAGATAGAGAATTTCCCACGAGGAGGCCTGTGACCCTCCTCCCCCAGCCTCGTACTGGGCATTGCCCTGAGCAGCTCTGCTTCTGGATGAGGAGTCCCTGTGCCTGCTGTCCGGGGGGCAGGGGCAGTGGAAGGCTTGACAGGTGGCCTTGGGGCAGACTTCCTCCTCTGAGACACTGGAGGTTTTCTTTCCTTTTTTTTTTTTTTTTTTTTTTTTGCCTCCCTTTTCAGAGATTTCTCCTTCCCAGGCTGAAGTCAGGGCACCATAAACAGGAGTGATAAGGCCTTGGGCCTTCAACTTGAACTTTGCAGCTGCCATTTTATGACTCTGATAACTCCTGTCACCCCGCCCCCCCACCCCGCCGTCACACCGAGTCCGGCTAGAGCAGGTTTGCCCCATTCCATGAGGGAGCGATTGGTAGCTGGTGGGGAGGAGGGAGAATCAGGGAGGGAAATAGGGACCCCTCACTCCAGCCTGCCCTCACCCAGTCCTGGTTGAGTCCCTTCTCCTCTCTCTGTGGACCCAGCCCCTGCACTGGGCTGTAAGAAACATGGGGATGTAAGAGACCCCAGCCCCTGACCTTATAGGATGGCCAGAATAGCCCAGCCTGGGAGGTGGGTAGGGCTGAAGGGTGGGGTTAGAGGGGGAAGGGTTGAGTTGGCTGGAGCAATCAGGGAAGGCTGTCTGGAGGAGGAGATAGAGTTGGGCACTAAACGAATAAGATGTGGAAAGACAGGGGGAGGGTAGGCATTGGAGGGAGGAGACAGATTTGGGCTGTCTCAGGAAGTGTGAAGTAGAAGTGGCCTGGTGTGAAAGGAGACCTCTCTGAATCCACTCTGCCCCTGGGCTCAGAAGCTTCTCGGGATGGAGGAATGGGGTGACAACAGTGGTCCCAAGATCCCCGGTTCATCCAAGAAGAGTTTGAGTGGCTTGAACCTGGGGTTGGGAGGGCCAGATGGTGGTTGGAGAGGCCTGAAGGCTTCATGCAAGTTGTGCCAGAGCTGTGGCCTCTGGGACAGAGCTTGGTAAGATTTTGAGTGCTCAGGAGGTGGGTCTCATGGCTGTCATGGGTGGAGGTGAGGCTCCTGCCAATTGTCAGAGGTCCGCTCCTAGGACAGGCAATGAGCTTCCCATTCCCAGGGTGCTCAAGACATCCGCTAGATGGAAACACAGAGATACCTGCTCTGGTGGAGGTGATGGTAAGGGAAGTGACCATGGGAGAGAATGAACTAGATAATCAAGATTCCTCACCCTCCCCCAGCCAACTTGGAGTGGGCATTTAAGGCCCTGCCTAAGCAGCAACTCTAGATTACTCAAAGTCTGGGGTAGGGAGAAAATCAACCTTTGTCTAGGTCTAACTGGTGGGAGACAGATGTGGCTCTTGTGTCTCTGGACCTCGCTTTGCCCATCTGTAAAATGGGCTTCAGTAGACTCAATGAGTGCTGAGGTCTCCCCTGTTCTAGAGTGAGATGATCCATGCATCTCCTGCCTCAATCAGCATCTGCCTCCCAGCCCAGGTAAGCCATCCACAGGAACACATATCACACCCACACATGGGGCACACGAGTACACATGTATCAAGGGCATACACATACCCACGTTGAGAGGAAGCAGAAGTGGGAGGAAGAGGGAGGCCACTGCTTGTTGGCATTGGCTCCCTGCTCAGCTCTCTCCATGTACAGGCCTGGCCCCTCCTGTTAACCACCACCCTTAGCCCCTCACTGCCCACCAGCTTCCACCTTGGGGTCTGGTACCTTTTTGCTTTGCTCAGTGGGAGGGCACACGGAGGGATGTGCCTGTCACTCACCTGATCCCAAGAACCCCTTCTCAAGTCCTGGGGCCCCCAGCACTGGTTCTGATGCTGACAGCCCACAGGCACCTCCAGACGGTCACAGCACACAAGAACGGCCCCTCACATCCTCCCTCTCACCTACGGTGTACCAAACCTTCCATCTCAATCGGCCGCAGTACCTGACTCTGCACCCACTGGCCGCCCCACCCCGCTGCGCACCCACAACCACGACAAGGAAGGCAAGTCTGGGGCCCACTCTTCCCCGCTGCCCCTCCACTGATGCTGTGCCTGCTCCGGGCTGCGCTGGGAGGGACTGGGCACGACCAATATCCCAGCCCTCGCGTCTAGGTTCGGTCTGGAGCGGTGGGAGGAGGCGAGTCGAGATGCTTGATGTCCCCTATTCCTCTTACACAGACACGCGCACAGACGGCCCGGCTCCCGCCATCCCCCACCTCCCCCGCCCTCCGCAACCCCCAGGCTGCCGGGACTCTGGGCGGCCGGGCGAACACTCACCGCCGGCCCAAGGGCCCAGGCGAGGGCGCCTGCCAGCACGCATAGCCAGCGGGCGGGCAGCGGACTTGGCGGGCGCATGGTCTGCCCTGAGCCCGCGGCGGGCGGCCCCGCGCGGGCAAAGAGCTGGCGGGCGGCGCACCAGGCGGGCGATGGCCGGGAGCCTGGCAGAGTGGCGCTGGCGCTGTGGCCCCAGAGCTAAGAGGCGCAGCTCAGGGCTGGGGGCGGGCCCCGGGGGCTCGTCTGACGGGCGGCGGATCTAGCCAATGGATGGGTGGAGGCGGGGCCGCCGCGCAGGTATGGGGCGGGGCTGGGGAGCCCCTGCCAGTGAGGAAGCTCTGCTCTCTCTTTGCCAATCCCACACCTTGGTCTTCCGTCGTGAGACATTTATAGGCCTTCGCCCCTCCGGGCTCATCACCCGGGAATCTCGAGACCCGAACACATTCCATCCTTCCATGCTTAGCTCACGACCTTCGCAAGCTCCCACCTCTGTATCCACCCTCAGCCCCATCCCAGGGCGCTCCTCATGTCTACCCTCGGAGCCACCTCCTCCAGGAGGCCTCCCCGCCAGCCTCCCCATTTCCCACCTGTGCGTCTCCGAGGGTTCGTGCGCGCAAATCCGATTACGAGACAGGAAGTGCCACTTATCTTCCCAGGCTGCGAGCTGGGGCCCAGCAAGTGTCCAGGCGCTGACAGAGATCGGGTTGTTTGATCAATTTTCAACAACCCCAATTCATCCTTCGCGCCGAAGAAGCCAGGCGAGAGGAAGCGAGGGCTCGAAAGAGGCCCGACTCTGGGTTCCTTGGTGTTCCCTGCTCCCGGGTGACCTGGTGGGGCGCGCTCAGCACCTGTTGGGTGCCCTGGCCCTTCAAGCCTCGGGAGACCTGCTCCAGGGAGGATGAGGTGTCCGCACCCTCGCGGGTCTCGTCCAGGGCACCTCCCCAGGGAGGCTGGGCTGAAGTGCCAGCGCCCTCGCGTGGGGAGCGAGGTCTGCTCCCAGCCCGCAGGCCGACTCCGCAGCTGACCTAAAACGATCCACAGACGTCGTCCTCCTCCTGCATTCCCTATTTTACAGCTGGGGATACTGGGGTCCAGAGAGGGGCCAGGACCCTGGCCGCCTGCCTTTGGTGCTGAGCTTCCAAGGGGCGGCTGCTCGGCCGCTGGGTGACACCGGGTCAGCCCCTTTTCTCGTTTATTCGTCCCTGGCATGGGGAGCGGGGTCACCAGCTCTGCGCCCTGGGAGCGCGTCTTCTTGTGGACCAAGCGCAGGTGGCTGCTAGCCCTCTTTCTACGGGCTCGAGCCTGCACAATCGAGGCTGGAGATGTGGTCGCGGCGGCAGGATAGAGTGGCTGGCGGAGCCGTGTGACAGAAGGAGAGGCGGAGTTCAGTGGAGAGGCGGAGAGGGCAGCGGGTCCCAGAGCCCTGAGCAGAATGTGCGGCTACCTGAAGGAGGTCCCGCGCTAGGCTTTGGCTGAACAGCAGGCGCGCAGGAGCTCCCTGAGGACCCACCAGGGCTTCCCTCCCTACAGAGAGGGAACGTTGGGATGCTGCCATGGGGTGGGCTTGAGGGGAGTGGGGGAAAGCCGGGAAGGGATGAGTGCCCTGGCCCTTTCTTCAGGGCGTACTTACACTTTCTTTCCACTCTCTCTTCTTTCTCTTCTTTCTTCCTCCCTTCCAGCATTCCATCCCCTGCACTTGCTCTTTTTCCCTTTCCTCCCTCTCCTCCTTCCCTTCATTAAAGGGAACCTCGCCACCATGGAGCCCCTCCCTCCTTTCTTCCATGCACATTTATTAATCTCTTTCTGTGTGCCAGGCCCTGTGCTGTGCACTGGGGGCACAGAGGTGGATGGGCAGCATCCCCTTGCCATGAGGGGAACTTGGGGAGCTACTGTACTCCCTGCAATTTCTACCTCCTTCCCGATATAATCAGTGAGGCTGGACACAGGCCTTTCCTTAGATTTGGGAGCTGTGGAGATGCCTCTGTCCTAGCCTTTCTTGGGTTTGTACTCGATCTCCCAATGGCGGGAGTGTTTGAATCATCCTCAGCCATCTCCTCAGCTATCCACACCCCTGACGGCTGCTGTTAGCTCAGAAATCAGGGGTCTTTGTCTCTCCTTATGACCCTGTGTACCCCGTCTCGGGTCTCAGTTCCCTGGCAGGACAGTGGAATTGTGTCTTTTTCCTGGGAAGTTACTTGTGCTGGCATGGTGTCCTAGGAGCCCTAGATGTGAAGAGCAAACCTGTGGGTTTGGGGTGTCATGAATCCTCAGCCCTCACTCCTCAACACATACATACACACACAGCACCTAGCCAGCTGCAGGATGCTGAAATCCTATCATTAATGTGTCATGCCCCCAGGGTTGTTGAAGTTCTCCTGCTCTCCTGGAGGACAAGGTTCTTGGACACTTGAGGGTATATGATGGGTGTGAGGATTGGAGAGGCAGACCTCACTTTGCCATGTGACCCACCAGTGAATGGCTGGTGGGCAGGGTGGGGAGGGAGGGAGAGGGACTGGCTACCAGTGGGGATGGGTTGCCTTCCCCTGGCTCTGGAGGGGGGCCCACACTACCCTTCCTCTCCTCTGTTGGAGGGCTGGATGGCCAGGTTGGAGGCAGTGAGTGGCTGGGAAGGCATCTGATGCCTTTGCAGGCCTTGCTCCCCGGAAGGGAGTAGGTGAATCAGAAATAATTGTTTCCTTGCAGATTCTTCGGAATAAACATCACTTCTTTGTTCTTTCAGAATTGTTCTCCTGGGGGATCCACCCTTCCTTACCTATCAAAGGGCACAAAACATATTCAGAAATGAAAAGAGCAGAAAGAAAATAGCAAAACCAAACAAAAACCTAAAAAATTCAACCAACATTAAATGTGACTGTGTTTCAACTAATTGCTCCCGAATGTCCTGTCCTGTGTTCTGAAGCACTGGGGGGAAGGGGGTCAACCGTGGGCCCACTCTTGGGGAGTCCTGTAGAATCTGCTGAGGAAGCCATCCTTTTGTGCACCCAGTTGATCTGGGAAGGCTTCTTGGAGGAAGAGGGATGTCAGAAGCAGAGGGGGGGCCGACGGACTACCTGAGGGAGTGGGAAGCCTGTGGTCCCAATCTCCCCACCCTGTCCAAAGCCTAAGCCCCTCTGGAGTCTGCCTTGCCTTCCCAGTCCAGGCTTGAGGAGGAGAGCCATAGTCGCCTCCTACTCTCTGTTCCCCCATGTCCTTCTTGCATGGATTCCTCCCTGGGGGGGTCTGTTCTGAAGTCTCCCCTCTGGGATCCCTAAAACCTGTCCCTAGTCTCTAGCACCATCTCATATCCCTTCTGGATGTCAGAATCACATGGGTGCCAAGGACACGGGAGGTGGCGGGAAAGAGAGAGAAGTGGAGTCACTTGCCATCCCCCGTGACAACAGGCATGGCACAAAGAGAATCTGCAGTTACTCATTCTGAGCCTGCCTGGCTTCCTGCCTGTCTCATCCATGCGCTGTGTGCCGCCCTCGCCTCCTCTCAGAATCGTGCACTCACTGCCTTCAAGGCTTCCAGCTCAGGGGCTCCATGGTGGTGAGGTTCTGTGGTGGAGTGGGAAGGGGGCTGGGGGGGCCACAGAGTGGCCTTGACCTGTACGCTGGAGGCCAGGCTAGGAGATGGTGAGGAAACCACCTGGCTGGGGGAGTCACTGCTCTAGGATTCCCCTGCCAGAGCCACCCACGTTGCTGTCTGGATGCAGGCAACATTTGCTTTCTCCGGGCTTCTGAGTTGAAGGGACCTACACTTTTGGTCTTTATCCATAGAGCGGGGCTGGTAGCTCTGGCAACATGGAGTGATCACCACCTCCCCAGGGTGCACCTTCTTTTGGGGCCAGTTCTTCCTGTGAGAAGATGCACCTTAACTCCAGGCTGTAATTTGGTGGAGGGCAGGAGAGGCCTGGGCAGGCATTTAAAGAAGAAATATTCCCTTCCTCCCTTCCATAACAGCATGCAGTGAATATCATTCATTCATCCTTCACGTCTCAACACCCGCACTCATCTGGGGATTGGGGACGTGACTGTGTCTTAGACATGGGCTGTCCTCTGCAGGGAAGCCTAGCACTGCTTGGGTGTGGGATTGTGGGGGATCTTCTGTTGGTGCTACACCTGCATCTAGGAAGAAAACCAAGTTCACGGGAGAGCAGGTGATGGAGAAAGAATCATCCTGACATAACAGATTTGGAAATGAAGCTCAAGGACAAGTTCTGAAATGGCTATTCCTGGTCCTGGAGGCTGGGGCTTAGAGCTCTGTTGCGGGGAAGGGTGGTGCTAACTATAGGTGTGTCAGTTCAGGTCCTCTAGTGAGCAAATGCTAAGGTGGAGTTAGGAGTGTGAATGTTTATTGGATGGCAGGGGGACCTGTGAGAGACAAAAGAGGAGAAAGTAGGATTGGGCAGAGAGAAACTCAGACTGCATTGCAGATCTGAAAAAGTCTTTGCCAATTTGATAACGAGTTCCAGGGCAAAGGCTGGAATAGAAGCCTTAGTAACCCTACTGTGCTTTGTCAATGTCTGGGGCTGTCTGGGAAGAGCATTGACAGGCCCAGTCATAGACCTATTGACAAGAGCCTGAAGGCAATGTGGCTAGAGGCTCCAACTCATTGCCCTCCTCACAGTTGAGTGGCAAGCTCTTTCTAGAGGTGGATCCAAGTGATGCCCCTTTGCAGCTGCCACAGAGGGGAAACTGAGGCATGGAGAATGAAGTATGTGAGAGAGCTCCTGCTCCAGGGGATAGAGGAAGAGGGGACCTAGGTCCTACCCTTGGAGCTCCTGCTCTGGGCAGAGAGGAAAAACCTGAGAACTCCTTCCCTCAAAACCCCAGGACTCAGTTTTGTCCAGGGGGTCAGCAGTCTGTCACCAGACAGCTTAGCAAGGGGGTTGTATTATTCTGTTTGCACACTGATGATAAAGAGATACCTGAGACTGGGAAGTTTATAAAGAAAAAGAGGTTTAGTGGACTCATAGTTCCATGTGGCTGGAGAGGCCTCACAATCATGGCAGAAGGCGAAAGGCAGAAGGCAGGCAAAAAGGGGTTGTGCAGAGGAACTCCCATTTATAAAACCATCAGATCTCATGAGAGTTATTCACTACCACAAGAACGGTATCGGGGAAACCGCCCCCATGATTCAATTATCTCCCACCAGGTCCCTCCCACAACACATGGGAATTATGAGAGCTACAATTCAAGATGACATTTGGGTGGCGACACAGCCAAACCGTATCAGGGGTCATGGTGTTGGGAGTGTGGGAGACTCTAAAGGGGAGGACTGCTCCACCCTGTTTTCAAAAGCAGCCACAGCTTCTGGTCAAATGCTTGCTGCAGTGTGCGTGTGTGTGTGCGTGTGTGTGTGTGCATGTATGTCCGCGTGTAAGAGCATGTGAGTGTGTGCCCTTGTGTGTGGGCATGAGTTCATACAGACACATCTACTTCCAGCCAGGGGTCTGAGAGCAGGGCTTGGCCAGCGTGTGCAGGGAGGAAGTAGAGTTAGGGACAAGGTTCAAGGTAGGAAGGGCAGAGAGGGGCTGAGTTTCAGAGGGTGCCCATAACCACAGACAGCACTGCATCCTCTCTCAGAGCTCATTTCTGAGGCAGTGAATTCCTGAGGGGGGTGAGGCCACTTAGCCCAGGGAGAACTCAGACTAACTCCACAGGGGATCTCAAAGTTCTCACGCTAACCTCCCTCTTCCCAGTCCTGCGTTCCTGTGTGTAGCTGACCTTCGGCAGAGATTCTGGAAAAGGGAGATACTGTAGGCAGGACAAAACACAACATGGAGTTTAACATAATTGATGCCACCAGAGATTAGTGTGTGTGTTAAAAATGTGAGGGTATCCACTGGGGAAAAAAGAAAGTATGTAACTCCCAAATAACCAGAAAAAAGAAAAATGAAACTAAGAAAACTCCATGTATCCAATAAAAGATTGTTTGTTTGGGAGGATTAAAAATAAAGATTGTTTGTTTGGGAAGATTAAAAATAAAGATTGCTCGTATGAGAGGATTAAAAATAAAATATATGATAAATAGAAGCATCAAATCATGTATTAGAAATAATTACAAAAATGAATCATCATAGTCAATGGGAATGGGTGAGAATTTAAGATAGAAAACAAAAGGCACAAAGAGGATAATTCATATTGTTAGACCACTCAGTCTTTCAAGAAGATATAAAAATGCCAAACGTCTATGCCTCTAATGCTATAGCCTCAAGTTATGTAGAAAAGGGAGGGACTGTCAAATCTACAGTCCTAGTGGAAGAGTTTAACACCCTTCTCTCAGAAATTCTTTTCAGTTCTCAGAATAAGGAGAGCCACATCTCCCTCTATGTGTATATGTAACTAAAAATATGGTGTCCAGCAACCAAAGCAAGTTGCAGAATGATATGTATGATACAATGTTACTTTTATAGAGTTAACAATACTATCTGCAAACAATACTATGTAACTTTTATGGATACTAATTATGCAGTAAAAGTGTAAATCATGTCCAGGAATGATAAACACAAAGACATGTTATTAGTTACCTCTGCAAAGAGAGGGAGGGGAATGGAATAAGGGAGATGTATTAGCTTTTTTTTTGAGACGGAGTCTTGCCCCAGGCTGGAGTACAGTGGCACAATCTTGGCTCACTGCAACCTCCGCCTCCCGGGTTCAAGCCATTCTCCTGCTTCAGCCTCCCGAGTAGCTGGGATTACAGGCACACGCCACCACGCCTGGCTAATTTTTGTATTTTTAGTAGAGACGGGATTTCGCCATGTTGGCCAGGCTGGTCTCGAACTCCTACCACAAATGTGGCTGCTTGAAACAGCACTCATTATTATCTCACATTTTCTAGAGTCAGAAGTCCATATAAAGGTTAGCTGGGTCTTCTGCTTGAAATCAAAGTGTCAGCCAGGACTGTGTTTTCATATGAAGCTCAGGGTCTTCTTCCAAGTTCAGTCAGGTTGTTCAGTTTTCATTGTTATTCCAAGTTCTTTCAGGTGGTTCAATTTTTTGCAGCTATAAGATTCCCTACTTTTTTGCTGGCCATTGACTTGGGTGTCATTCTCAGCTGCTAGAGGTTGACCTCAGGTTCTAGCCATGTGACTCTCTCTGTAGGCAGTTCACAACATAGAGGTTTGCTTTTTTTGACAGGCCAGCAAGAGAGTATCTGCTGCAGCTTTGAAGCTGTCTGACTTATGTCTCTGAACTCTAGAACCTCCTTTTAAAGGGCTCACCTGATTAAGTCAGGCCCACCCACACTCACAGGGAGGGGATTATACAGGGTGTGCACACCAGGAGGCAGGAATCTTGGGTGCCATCTTAGAATTCTGCCAACCACAGGAGGGATACACAGGGGATTCTCAACTGCACTGAATATTTTATTTCTTTAAAAAATGTCTACAGCAGGCCAGGCACAGTGGCTCATGCCTGTAATCCCAGCACTTTGGGAGGCCAAGGAGGGCAGATCACAAGGTCAGGAGATGGAAACCATCCTGGCTAACATGGTGAAACCCCGTCTCTACTAAAAATAAAAAAATTTAGCCGGGAGTGGTGGTGGGCGCCTATAGTCCCAGCTACTTGGGAGGCTGAGGCAGGAGAATCGCTTGAACCCGGGAGGCAGAGGTTGCAGTGAGCCGAGATCATGCCACTGCACTCCAGCCTGGGTGACAGAGTGAGACTCTGTCTCAAAAAAATAAAAAATATGTTAAAAAACTACAGCAAATATGACATTATATTAAGGTCTAATAAAACTGGGTGACGGATATTTGGGTTTGATTTTCTTATTCTTTTCTCCTGTATGTTTGGAAATATTTCACGCATAGACAATTAATAAATTTTAAAACACCAGAAATCACCCTTTTAAGTAATTATTATGGTAAGGAAGTAAAAATTGGAATTATACATTATTTAGAAGTGAATAACAATGAATATTAAAATAAGAGATATGAACATTCTAGTAACTGGAGGAAAATTTGTAGCCTTAATTGCACTGATAATAAACAAGAAAGATAAAATTAGTGAAATAAGTTAACAGCTAAATATACTAGAAAAAAATAATAAATTAAATCCAAAGAAAGAAGGAATTAGTAACTATAAAAACAGAAAACAATGAAATCAAAATAAAATATCAAAGTGATTAATAAAGTAAACTTTCCTCTTGAGCAGACCAGTAAATAGACAAAGGTTTAGCAAGGCTGATCACAAGTGAAAGTGGAAATATACAAGAGAAAGGACATAGTTCCAAGAATAGAGTATATTTGAAAGCTATGAGGGAATACTATCTTAATGCCAATATATTTGAACATCTAGGTGAAATGGGTGCTTTTCTAGAGAAATATAAACCATTAAATTTACCCCTAAAAAATACCAAGCTCAGATAGTTTTATAAGAGAGTTACATAAACCTTTAAGGCACAGATAACTCCTATGTAATCAAACTGTTTGAAAGCAGTGAAGAAGATGAAATGTTTTCCAACATATTCTACGAGGTATCATAATGCTGATATTAAAACAAAGCAAATATATGGTAAGTAAAAAAAAACTGCATTTCCATTTTATAATTTCATGGATATCAATAAATATATAAATCTATGAATTAATTTAATACATATTTAACGTCTAATGTTTAATTCATGTTCATACATAAACATAGAAGCAAAAATTAAACAGCAGCGTCAATAAAGTACAAAGTTGTCTAGTTCCTGAGCTAAGACAAGGGAGACAAACCACGGCTGCCCCACTGGGGAAGGTTTGAGGCAGGTCTGTTGTCAGCTGCTGTGCCTTAGGCAGGATGCTGCTGGCTGCTGCCTGGTGAGGTGAGGGGACCTGGGCCCAGGACGGGTGTGGGCAGAGGCAGCCTCACCTGCCAGGTGGGAGTTGAGACTGGAGGAGAGGACCCTGGCTGGTCACAGAGTGGCTGCCCTTGATAAACCAGATGTTTCCAGAAAGGGATGGGCCCAGAGTCTGGGCTCCCATTGGCTGAGAAGGTAGAGCACAGCCCAGGTCTGTGCCTCTCTGACGAGGACCTCAGGACCCTGAAGAAACGCCCAGAGAAACCCAGGTACAGCCATATCCTGATCCTTGCAGAGCAGGGGTGGGAGTATCTATTTAACTTTCTTTTGACCCATCAGCCAGACCTGGGTTCTGACCTGGGGCCTTTGCAACAGCCACTGTGTCATTCCCCTGACTGAAGGATGGGTTCTAGGACTGGGGCCAAGCTTGTGGCTTGAAGACCAGGCAGAGAGAGCAAGAGATCTGAGTTAGGTTGGGGAAGCCCAGCTCTAATCCCTCCTCTGTCCCCCACTGCAGCCACAGGTATCCAGCATAAAGGCCTCTAGGGACCCTAGGCCCAACTGTGCCCACAGGCAAGCAGCCATGCTCACTAAATGCTTCTTCTTATCATCTTTATTACTTTGATGATTACCAGAGTGCCAGCCCCATGCTCGGCCGTGGGAGTGTGTGTCTACTCTCCCTGGGGAGACAAGGCTATTTTAGGGTCCCAAGGCCCTCTCGAGAGTGGCTGCCCTCTCCCTGATGGCTGCCCACAGTGGCAAGGTAGGCTGGTGCCCTGCCACTGGACAGGGACCGTGGCCTGCAATCTGGGGTCTGCAGCAGATAGCCTCGGGTCTCACTGGAGCCAGAAGCCACCCGTCTCCCTCCTAGCCTTTCCTTTATTTGGATGGAATCTCAGTCCATTGACTCAGGTTCAGGAAATATGGCTTGTCTTTATTTTCTAGAATTCAAGTTAATTTTGGCTTTATACTCTCATTACACCGGATTGGCAAAAAATAGAACTTCAGCCTTTCTTGGGTTCCTGCGTGGTTTGTTCTGGGAAAATGTTAGAGATCTCCTTCCTTCTCGCCCTCCATTGGTTGCTGGTTCTGCCAAGACCCACAGTAGCCCAGCCTGCATGGTCCTGGCAAGTTCAGGGTCTGGGGCTTTGGGGACTGAGGGTTTGGTGGGGCTGGGGCCTGGTGTCCAGGGCGCAGCCTCCTGTGTACCCTGCAGTCCCCTTCCTGAGGTGGGAGGTGGGGAGCAGGTAGTGAGTCTAGTGCTGCTCAAGGGAGACAGTTTGGAGGAATCCCAGGGAAGTCCTTCCCTTCTCCTCCTGGGTCCCCAGGCTTGGCACTTGAAAACAAATGCCTGGACAGGAAGTGTCTTAGGGTCACTTCTGCTTTTCTTCCAGCCTCCACCCTCCTCTGCAGTGAGGGGAATCATTTCCGGGAGAAGAACAACAAAGACCATCTCATGCTGTCAATGCCAGGTTGGGTCCCTAACGCTTTCCCCAGGTCCTCACCTCCATTCCCTTCCAAGCTGGGCCAGGACAACCTCAGGCTGTGGTGGTGCTTCCTCTGTGGAGGGAGGAGAGGCCCCAGGAGCACTCTCTTTTCTCCTTTTGAGGAAACTTGGTGAAGGCAGCACTCAGCAAGGAGAGCAGGCCTGGGAAGCTGGGGGTGGTGGTGACCAGGGGAACCAAACTGGAGCTGCCTGGCAACCTAGCTGCAGAGAAAAACCAGCTGGGTAGGACCACCTGCGCAGGGCTGGGAAGGAGGCCAGGAAGATGTTTGCTGAAGATAGAGAGGCAGGAGGAAGAGAAAAGAGGAAGGAGAGATAGGGGAGGAGGGATGAGGAAGGAAGGAAGGATGAGGAGGGTGGGCAGAGGATGGAAAGTTGGGAGAGAAGAAAAAAATGAGAGGGGAGGAGGGAGTTGGGAGGGAAGAGGAAGCCAAATGCTGGAGCCAGGGGAGGAAGGGGAAGTCTTTTCTTGCAAGCGCATCCCTGACTGCTTTCTCTCACCCTTTGCTTGCAGTCTCAGGTCATCTTTAACTTATCCCTCACCTGCTCACCTGTTCACCTGTTCACCACAATTGCTTCCTCAGAATCTCTGGAACCCCATTCTCCAATCTCAGTATCCGGATTGAGTAGTATTATTGTTTGTTAAGAAGAGCTTCAGGCCAGGTGCGGTGGCTCACACCTATAATCCTAGCACTTTGGGAAGTCAATGTCAGTGGATCACTTGAGGTCAGGAGTTCGAGACCAGCCTGGCCAACATGGCGAAAGCCCAGCTCTACTAAAAATACTAAAATTAGCCAGGTGTAGTGGTGCACGCCTGTAGCCCCAGCTACTTGGGAGGCTGAAGCAGGAGAATCACTTGAACCCAGGAGGTAGAGGTTTCAGTGAGCTGAGATCACCCCACTACACTCCAGCCTGGGTGACACAGTGAGACTCCATGTCAAACAAACAAAAAACAAACAAACAAACAAAAAATAAAGAAAGAAAGCTTCAAAATACATGAAGTGAATAAAGTATTATAATGATCTTCCATGCACCCATCACTTAATTTATTTCCTCTGTCCCTCTACCTCAACCATGATCATTTTGAATCCAATTACAGATCTACCATTTTATCTGTAAATATTTGAGTGTGTACATCTAAAGGATAAGGACTCTAAAAAATAACCACAATACCATTATACACAACACAATTTTCACACTAAGAAATACCAAAATTCCTTAATAGCATTCAATATCCAATCATTATTTAATTTTCATTCCTTGCCTTGTAAGTGCTTTGATTGATAATTTATTTATTTTTACCAGTTGTTTGCTTAAATACAGAGATTCACACATTCAAATTTCATACAGAGACTCCCCTCAATCTCTCTGCCTGTGCTTCTCTTTTCCTTGCAGGCTCTCTTTTGAAGAAACTGGGTTGTGGGTTCTGCGCACGGGCATCCTCCTGTCAAAGTTTGCTGCTTGTGCCCCTGTGGTGTTATTTAACACATTTCTCTCAGACTGACTATTGTGGAACACATTTTAAAACATCAGCGAGATCCTGTGGCTCCTTAGTTCCGAGCGCTTACCAGGCCCTGAGTGATGCCTCCATCACAATCCTTCACCTCTCTTCTGGTCTTCTGCTCTCCCTGAAGGCATACCAGCCTCCCTGCTATTTTAAAAATTTATTCCTAGACCCCTGCTGCTTTTCAGTCTGTACTGGCAGCTCCCTCTACTTGGAATGCTCTTCCCCGGTATTCCCATGGCTCCCCACCTCTCTTCTCAATGCCAGTCCCCCTCCTTAATACTGCAAACTGCTCCCTTCCCCCCAACTCCTAAACCTCTTTACTCTCTACTCTTCTTCATAACACTTATCACCTTCCAAGGTATTGTGTCTCTAGGGTACCTGGAGGCAGTTCTTACATCTGCCCTTTCTCTACCCACCCATTCCTCCCCTCTGGCTCCCAACCCAGTGGGTACTGCTTACTTGGTAAGGGACTTCCAGGCCAGGTGCCAAGGAAGGGGAGGAACTGGCCAGACCAGCTCATGCCTCTGTTTGCACAGGTCTGGGTAAAAATAGCCTCAGCTATGCACGCCTCTCTCGCCTCCTCTTTATTCTAGATCCTGCCCAGGCCTGAGTCACTTGCCAGCTGTGCTTGCCCCTAGGCCTATTCTTGCCTGAGATGGGATAAGGCCCAGAGGAATAAGGATAGGGACCCTGACAGCATTAGCAGCTCTGCTGCAGCTCGTGTGAACCTTGACGCCTGCTGCCACTCTGGGAAGCCACCCTGAATTGACCGCTGGCTTCTTTTGCTTTGTGGTGACCCTAACTTTCAGATTATTTAACCCCTTCTTTGGGGGTAGGCCTGTCTGTCCTCTGTCTTGCATGGGGAGGAATTGGGGTGGGGAAGGAGCAAGGAGGAAGCTGAACTCCTGCCCTGGGAGCTCCCAGGCTAAGTAGGGAGACCAGAGTCTCTTGTAGGAATGAGGTAGGGTGTGAGTGGAGACTGCAGGCAGAGCTTAGCCTCTCTGGGTGGTGCAGATCAGAGGAAGGGCTTCGCGGGAACTGTGCTCTGAAGAAATGGAGGGTCGGAGGAGAGGTCTTGGACTGGTGGTGGAAGAATGAGTGTGTGTGTGTAACCTATGGTGGGAGAGTGGAGAGAAGGTAGAAAGCAGAAGGCTTGCTGGAGCTAAGACCACATTTGAGGGTAACTGGCCACCAGCGGAGGGCCATACTGCGGAGTAAGAAAGTACAGAACTGTGCGTAACAAAGAAATGTCTTACTCCTGGTCTGGAGGAGTGCCAATGCATGGGGAAGCCTGGGGATGAGGAGCCCTTAGTCTGAGGCCAGACTAGGGCTGGGTCTTACCCTACCGTCCACACGGTGGGGCTGGATGTTCTGCCATAGCCAAGCTGCTCTAGCCTGGCACATGCCAGCCACTCAGCTGAGGGAGTCACTTCCTTATCCTCCTGGTGTCAGTGTGAAGACGCACCACACAGAGTTCATCCATCATCCAGTGCCCTTCTGATTGGGGGGAAGCCACAGCTCCTTTACTCTTGACCCACGTAGTTCAGTGATTGGGTAGGGCTTATACTCCGCTCTGGCTCCAGTAGTGAGCACCTGCCCCAGGCCTGGCCAATGGGAGTCTTGCCAATGGTCACATGCCCCAACCTGGGCCAATGAGCATCAGCCCTGGGGCTTTTGCTGGAACTGTGGGAAAGAAGCTGCTTTTCCACTAGTAAGCTGGGAAAATGCAAGCTTGCTGCTGCTGTGGCATATTTACCTGCTTGAGATTTGAGCAAACACAAGGAAATCAGATCCAAGCGATAGAGATAGACAGATTTCTGATGACATTGTTTGAGTTCCTGAATCCAGTTGCACCGGAAGCCCTGTGAACTTTTCTGTTTCTGTTATATAAATCTCTTCTTTGCTTAGGCCAGTATACGTTGGCTTCATGTTAAGTGAAACAGAAAGAGTTTTAATACTGCAAGTTCCAACTCCAACTCCCCAGTCCTCAAGTTGTTCAGGGACAGCAGAATGGAAGAGGCCATCTTGGGAAGGAATGGGAATGTACGTGTGGTTCGTTTTAGCCCAGGACAGAAAGAAGCACTTCTTTTGAATCTTTGTGTTGGCCTCCGCTCCTGGGCAGTCTCTCCTGGACCTGGTGCCCTTTCTTTTTCCTTAGAGAGATGTTCTGCTCTGTCTCCATAGAGTGAGTAGAGCCAGTGTGGTTCCTCCAGACCTCCCCCTCAGTCCTGCCAGGATGTGCTGCTCCTTCACAGTAAGGGCTTCCTGCATCCCCTTCCACCCAACCCCACCTGCTTTCCATCTGGAAGAAACACTCAGTGTCTGTGTGCGAAAGGAAGACAGTCTTTACAATCTTGATGACAGTGTTGATCTCAATTTATTTCTTTATTCTGGGGATTCATTTCCATGTGAAATCAGTCAGGACAGCACATGTCGAGAGGAAGTTTTAGATGCTGAATTTGTGAGGATATAGCTTCAGCTACGTGGGCTAGAGATGGGAAGAACAGCGGCTTAAATAAGACAGGGATTTATTTTTTTGCATAGAGAAGCCAGAGTTGGTGTGGAGGCTCTTGCTGTGACATGAAAGGCCCAGAGTTCTTCGGTCTTTCTACTCCACTATCCTTTGGATGTTGTCTGTATCAGTTATTGTACTGGTTTGCTCTGGCTGCCGTAGCCAAGTACCATAAGTTTGGGGGATTAAACAACAGAAACTTATTTTCTTGTAGTTCTGGAGGCCAGAAAGCCCAAGGATAGGGTGTTAGTAGGGTTGGTTTCTAAGGACTAGGAGAATCCCATGCCTCTCATCCAGCTTCTGGTAGTTGCTGGCAATCTTTGGCACTCCTTGGCTCGAAGAAGCATCATCCCAATCTCTGCTTTCATTTTCACGTTGGCATTCTCCCTGTGTGTCTCCAAATTTCCCCTTTTTATAAGGACATCAGTCATACTGGTCTAGGGCCCACTCTAATAAGTTTATTTTAACTGGATTACCTCTGTAAAGACATTTACTTCAAATAATGCTACATTTTGAGGTACTAGGGGTTAGGACTTCAACATGTAAATTTTTGACAGGAGAGCCACAATTCAACCCATAGCAGTTATTTAGTATTATATAAGAAATTGACCTAAAACTTAGTGGCTTTAATAAATTATTTATTATGTCTTATGGTTTCTGTCGATCAGGAATTTGTAAGAAACTTGGTTGGACAGGTTTGGCTTGAGACCTGTCATGAGTTTGCAGTCAGATGTCAGCTAGGGCTGTAGTCATCTAAAGGTTTATTTGGGGTACTATCTATTCCCAACCATTTTCTCTCTCACGTGGCTATTGGAAGGAGGCCTTGGTTCCTCCTCCATGTAGACCTTTCCACAGGGCTACTTGAGTGTCCTTATGTCATGGCGGCTGGTTCTCCTGAGTGACAGACCCCAGGGACTGAAATGGAAGATAGAGTGCCTTTTATGACTATCTGTGAGAGTCATACACTGTCACTTCTGCCGTATTCTATTGATCACAGAGGCCATTCTTGGTTGAATGTGGGAGGAGGCTACACAAGGGAGTGAATATCAGGAGGTAAAGACCTTTGTCCACATGGCCACTGCTGCTTCTGCTTTCCAGGCAGTGAAGAGAGGCAAAGGGGAAGAAGATGGCATGCCCCTTCCTAGCAACTGAGTGATTTGGAAGTTGCACAGTCACCTCTTCTCACATCCCATTGGCCAAAACTTAATCACATGGCCACCCATGGCTAAAATACACAGCTGAGCAATATAGCCTTTATAAGAGGCAGTCATGTGTCCAGCTTAAAAACTCTATTACTATATCTCAGTTTGGGTCTCCCTAGAAGCAGAACCTGGAGCAAAGTACTTGGGTCCAGGTAGTTTATTTGGGAGGTGACCCTAGCAGGCTGCAGGAAGGGAGCAGGGAGTGTGCCATCAAGCTCTCTGCTTCAGAAGATGGGGGCCCAACTCAGCGAGAACCTCAGAAGCCTCCCAGAGTGAGTGGGAAGCTGGGCCATTTATCTGTGGGTCCCACTCTGGGGAATTAACTCCCCTGCACTTCCTGGCTGCATCTCCCACTCATCCCCCAGCTGACTCTGTGACTTTTAAAAATAGCCCTGAGACAGGCAAAAGGAGAGACCTATGACTGTTGAGGTGGGATGTTGAGGGCTGGTATAGAGCTGGCCCCTGCAGCTGCAGCTGTTATCAGAGGAGGGGCCCCAAATATCTGCTACACTCTGGAAGAAGCAGAGGTCAGACAGGAACCAACCTAGCATCTCTCATATAGTTTGCCAGTTTTGCCTGCCCTGCTCCCTACTCAAAGTTTCTGAGGACAGGGGTCCAGGTTGTGCAGCTTAAAGACCTCCTGTCAGCCACTGACTCCCCAGGGCAGGTGCTGTGGACTCACTTCAGTTCGTGCCTGGGAGTTCACTTCTCGGCTCTGCCATACCAGCCTTCAGTGACAGCCCAACATGGTCCATCTCCAGGAAAGTCCTGGAATGTGGACTCTATCACTCCCGGACCCCCTACTGGGAAATTGAGGGCTGCCCTGTCAGTCCTTGGCCACCACCCAAAATCCCAATTCAAGGGGCTAAGTCTAGTGCCTGTCAGGCTCTTGTTTCTATTCCACCCTGCCAGGAACCCTCACCTGCTAAGCTCCTTGCTGGGCACAGTGGAAAAGTTCAGAATCCATAAGTACAAGTTAAAACAATAAGTAGAAAGAAGATAAGATGGAGTAAAGTCCTTTTCTGGGCAGTCTGGCTGCCAGCCCCTGCCCTAGAACATTGGTTTCTAAGATTTTCTGGCCCATCTCTGCAAGGATTGAATGAGGACCCCTCCCAACTGGAGGCCATCACTTCCCTCTTTCATGGGGGTCTGTCCACAGCAGGGGTTTGAACCTTTTTACTGCCATGGACCTTCTTTTGAAGCCTATGGACCCTCATTAGGACAATGTTTTAGTTATTTATTTTTTTCAATAGTTTTGGGGAATAGGTGGTTTTTTGTTACATGGATAAGTTTTTTAGTGGTAATTTCTGAGATTTTGGTGCATCTGTCTCCTGAACAGGTGTCTTTTTCATGTAATGACTTTTTTTTTCCTTTGGGTAGATACCCAGTAGTGGAATTGCTGGATCAAATGGGAGTTCTACTTTTAGTTCTTTAAGGAATCTTCTTACTGTTTTCCATAGTAGTTGTAGTAGTTTACATTCCCTCCAACAGGGTAAAAGTGTTCCCTTTTCACCACATCCACTCCAACATCTATTTTTTTTTTTATTTTTTAATTACAGTTATTCTTGAAGGAGTAAGGTGGTATCGTATTGTGATTTTGATTTGCATTTCCCTGATAATTAGTGATGTTGAGCATTTTTTCCATATGTTTGTTGGCCATTTGTATATCTTCTTTTGAGAGTTGTCTATACATGTCCTTTGCCCATTTTTTGTTGGGATTATTTGTTTATTTCTTGCTGATTTGTTTTGGTTCTTTGTAGATTCTGGATATTAGTCCCTTGTTGGATGCATAGTTTGTGAATATTTTCTCCCACTCTGTGGGTTGTCTGTTTACACAGCTGATTATTTCTTTTGTTGTGCAGAAGCTTTTCGGTTTAATTAAGTTCCATCTATTTGTTTTTGTTTTTGTTGCATTTGCTTTTAGGTTCTTGGTCATGAACTCTTTGCCTAAGCCAACGTTTAAAAGAGTTTTTCCAATGTTATCTTCTAGAATTTGTAGGTTTCAGGTCTAAGATTTAAGACTTTGATCCATCTTGAGTTGATTTGCATATAATGTGAGAGATGAGGATCCAGTTTCATTCTTCTACATGTGGCTTGTCAGTTATCTCAGCACCATTTGTTGAATAGGGTGTCCTTTCTCCACTTTATGTTTCATTGCTTTGTTGAAGATCAGTTGGCTGTCAGTATTTGGCTTTATTTCTGGGTTCTCTA
Source organism: Homo sapiens (assembly GCF_000001405.40). Classification (NCBI taxonomy): domain Eukaryota; kingdom Metazoa; phylum Chordata; class Mammalia; order Primates; family Hominidae; genus Homo; species Homo sapiens. Next base: position 42,485,099 of record NC_000003.12, on the reverse strand, counting down.
TTCTGTTGCATTGGTCTACATGCCTATATTTATACCAGTATTTTATGCCATTTCGATAACTATAGCCTTGTAGTTTAGTTTGAAGTTGGGTAATATGATGCCTCCAAATTTGGTCTTTTTGCTTAGTTTTGCTTTGGCTATGTGGGGTTTTTCTTGGTTCCATATGGACTTTAGGATTGCTTTTTTCTAGTTCTATGAAGAATAATGATGGTACTTTGATGGGAATTGCACTGAATCTGTAAATTGCTTTTGGCAGTGTGGTCATTTTCACAATATTGATTCTACCCATCCATGAGCATTAGTTATATTTCCAATTAGTTTGTGTCATTGGTGATTTCTTTCAGCAGTATTTTGTGGTTTTCCTTGTAGAGATCTTTCACCTCCTTGGTCAGGTATATTCTTAAGTATTTTATTTTTATTTTTATTTTTATTTTTGCAGCTGTCATAAAAGGGATTGAGTTCTTGATTTGCTTCTCAACTTGGTCGTTGTTGGTGTAGAGCAGTGCTATTGATTTGTGCACATCAATTTTGTATCCCAAAACTTTACTAAATTCATTTATCAGATCTAGGAGCTTTTTGAATTGGTTTTTAGGGTTTTCTAGGTATATGATCATATCATTGGTGAATAGTGACAGTTTAACTTCCTCTTTATTGTTTTGAATAAACAATAAAGCCTTTTATTTCTTTCTCTTGTCTGATTGCTCTGGCTATGACTTCTGATACTATGTTAAATAGAAGTGGTGAAAGTGGGCATTCTTGTCTTGTTCCAATTCTCAGAGGGAATGCTTTCAACTTTTCTCTGTTCAGTATAATGTTGACTGTGGGTTTGTCAGAGATGGCTTTTATTACCTTGAAGTTTGGCCCTTCTATGCCAGTTTTGCTGAGGGTTTTAATCATAAAGGGATGCTGAATTTTGTCAAATGCTTTTTCTGCATCTATTGAGATAATCATATGATTTTGCTTTAAATTCTGTTTATGTGGTGTATCACATTTATTGGCTTGCATATGTTAAATCATCTCTGTGTCCGTGGTGTGAAACCCACTCAATCATGGTGGGTTATCTTTTTGCGATGCTGTTGGATTCAGTTAGCTAGTATTTTGCTAAGAATTTTTGCATCTAAGTTAATCAGGGATATTTGTCTGTAGTTTTCTTTTTTTGCTATGTCTTTTCCTGGTTTTAGTATTAGGTGATACTGGCTTCACAGACTGATTTAGGGAGGATTCCCTCTTTCTCTGTCTTTTGGAATAGTTTCAGTAACATTGGTACCAATTCTTCTTTGAATGTCTGATAGAATTCAGCTGTGAGTCCATGTGGTCCTGGATTTTATTTTGGTAGCAATTTTTAAAATTACTGTTTCAATCTTGCTACTTGTTATTGGTCTATTCAGAGTTTCTATTTCTTCCTCATTTAATCTAGGAGGGTTGTATGTTTCCAGGAATTTATCCATCTCCTCTAGATTTTCTAGTTTGTGTGCATAAAGGTGTTCATTGTAGGCTTGAATGATCTTTCATATTTCTGTGGTATCTGTTGAAATATCTCCTATTTCATATCTAATTGAGCTTATTTGGATCTTCTCTCTTCTTTTCTTGGCTAATCTCACTAACGGTCCATCAATTTTGTTTATCTTTTCAAAGAACCAGCTTTTTGTTTCATTTATCTTTTGGGTTTTTTTGTTTGTTTCAATTTCGTTTAGTTCTTCTCTGATCTTTGTTATTTCTTTTCTTCGGCTGATTGGGTTGGTTTGTTCTTGTTTCTCTAGTTCCTTGAGTTGTGACCTTAGATTGTCTATTTGCACTCTTTCAGTCTTTTTGATGTAGGCGTTTAATGCTATAAACGTTCCTGTCAGCATCGCTTTTGCTGTATCCCAGAGTTTTTTTTTTTTTTTTGAGATGGAGTTTTGCTCTGCTGCCCAGGCTGGAATGCAGTGGCACAATCTTGGCTCACTGCAACCTCTGTCTCCCAGGTTCAAGTGATTCTCCTGCCTCAGCCCCCTGAGTAGCTGTGATTACAGGTGCACATCACTACGCCTTGTTAATTTTTGTATTTTTAGTAGAGACGGGGTTTCGTCATGTTGGCCAGGCTGGTCTTGAACTCCTGACCTCAAGTGATTTGCCTGCCTTGGCCTCCCAAAGTGTTGGAATCACAGGTGTGAGCCACCCCACCCAGCCTCAGAGGTTTTCATAAGTTGTGTCACTATTATTGTTCAGCACAAAGAATTTTTAAATTTTCATTGTGATTTCATTGTTAACCTAAAGATCATTCAAGAGCAGATCATTTAATTTCCATGTATTTGAATAGTTTTGAGTATCCCCTTTGGAGTTAATTTATAGTTTTATTCCACTGTGATCTGAAAGGATACTTGATATAATTTTGATTTTCTTAAATTTATTGAGACTAGTTTTGTGACCTAACATATGGTCTATCTTGGATAATGTACCATGTGCTGAAGAAAAGAATGTATATTCTGCAGTTGTTGGGTAGAATGTTCTGTAAATATTCATTAAGTCCATTTGTTCTAGGGTATAGTTTAATTCCGTTGTTTCTTTGTTATCTTTCTGTCTTTATGACCTGTATATTGCTGTCAGTGGAGTATTGAAATCTCCCACTATTATTGCGTTGCAGTCTATCTCATTTCTTAGGTCTAGTAGTAATCGTTTTATAAATTTGGAAACTCCAGTGTTAGGTGCATAAATATTTAGGATTGTGATATTTTCCTATTGGACTAATCCTTTTATTATTATATAATGTCCATCTTTGTCTTTCTGTTTTACTGTTGATGTTTTAAAGTCTGTTTTGTCTGATATAAGAATAGCTACTCCTGCTCATTTTTGTTTCCATTTGCATGGAATATCTTTTTTCACCCCCTTACCTTAAGTTTATGTGAGTCCTTATGTGTTAGATGAGTCTCTTGAAGACAGCAGACACTTGGTTGGTGGATTTTTATTCATTCTGCCATTCTGTATCTTCTAAGAGGAGTATTTAGGCCATTTACATTCAACGTTAGTATTGAGATGTGAGGTACTGTTCTATTCATCATGTTTGTTGTTGCCTTAATACCTTGTTTTTTGGTGTGTTATTGTTTTATAGGACCTGTGAGATTTATGCTTTAAGGAGATTCTATTTTGGTGCATTTCAAGGTTTTGTTTCAAGATTTAGAACTCCTTTTAGCATTTCTTGCAGGGCTGGCTTATTAGTGGTGAATTCTCTCAGTGTTTGTTTGTCTGAAAAAGACTCAGTTTTGCTGGATACAAAATTCTTGGCTGACAATTATTTTTGTTTTTCAGGAGGCCAAAAATGAGTCCCCAATCCCTTCTGGCTTGTAAAGTTTCTGCTGAGAAACCCACTGTTAACCTTGATAGGTTTTCCTTTACAGGTTTTCTGATGCTTTTGTCTCACAGCTCTTAAGATTCTTTCCTTCGTCTTGACTTTAGATAATGTGATGACTATGTGCCTAGGTGATGATCTTTTTTTGCAATGAATTTCCCAGGTGTTCTTTGAGCGTCTTGTATTTTTAAAAATTCTTTTTTCTTTGTCCGTGTTGGATTGGGTTAATTTGAAAGCCTTGTCTTCAAGCTCCGAAGTTCTTTCTTCTACTTGTTCTAATTTATTGTTGAAACTTGCCACGGTATTTTGTATTTTTCTAAGTGTGTCTTTCATTTCCAGAAGTTGTGATTTTTTTAATGATATCTATTACTCTGGGGATTTTTTTATCCATATCCTGTATTTTTTAAAAATTTCTTTAAATTGGTTTTCACCTTTCTCTGTTATCTCCTTGAGTAGCTTAATAAACAACCTTCTGAATTCTTTATCTGGCAATTCAGAGCTTTCTTCTTGGTTTGGGTCCATTGCTGGGGAGCACGTGTGATCTTTTGGGAGTGTTATAGAACCCTGTTTTGTCATATTACCAGAATGACTTTTCTGGGTCCTTCTCATTTGGGTGGACTATTTCAGTGGAGAGGTCTGAAACTCAAGGCCTGCTGTTCAGATTCTCTTGTCTCATGGGGTGATCTCTTGATGTGGTGCTCTCCCTCTTCCCTGGAGATGAGGCTTCCTGAGAGCCAGACTGAAGTGATTGTTACTGCTCTTCTGGGTCTAGCCACCCTGTGGGCTACCAGGCTCCAGGCTTGTGCTGCAGTATGTCTGCAAAGAGTCCTGTGATGTAATCTGTCTTCAGGTCTCCTAACCATGGATACCAGCACCTGCTCTTGTAGAGGTGGCAGGGAAATGAAGTAGACTCTGTGAGAGTCTTTTGTTATAGATATGTTTAGTGTGCTGCCTTTCTTGAATGCTGATTATGCTAGCAGTGAAGTTGTCACATGGACAAACTCAGGATTTCTGGTTAGCCAGGATGTTGCAGGCAGTGGAATTAGGTGTTTTTTCTCCTTCCTGGGATCAGGTTTGTTCTGTCATGGGTTGCTGTAATGGCCTGAATTGGTTGACCTCCAGCCAGGAGGTGGCACTTTCAAGAGAGCACCAGCTGTGGTAGTAGTAGGGGGATCTAAGCTTGCCCTAAATTGGCCAAGGTAAGTATTTCAATTTCTCAGGTGATTGGTGGGCCCATAAAGCTCCCAAGAGTTTCTGTCTTTTGTGTTTGGCTACCAGGGTGGGTAGAGAAATACCATCAGGTGGGGGCAGGATCAGGCACGTCTGGGCTCAGACTCTTCTTGGGCAGCACTTGCTGTGGCTACTGGGGGGGATAAGGGGTGTTTCTCAGGCCTATGGGGCTATGTTCCAGAGGGGATCTTGGCTACCTCTGCTGTGTCATATAGTTTGCCAGGGAAGTGGGAGATAGCTGGTAGCAAGAGGCCTCACCCAGCTCCCATGCAGCTGGCGAGGCCTTTCTCACTCTTGCAATATTCCCACTCAGAACTTGCCCCGGGCTGTGAGCCACCCTGCTGAGAAAGCAGGCTTTCAGACCTCACCCCTCCTCATCTGCCCACTCCATAGCCAGCTCCCATGCTCCTACACTCAAACCTGCAGCAGCTCCTGCTTGTCCCCTGGACTCTGCTTAAGAAAATTTGTGCCCAGTTGAAACCACTACTAATTTCAATTGGGAGTTTTCTTCACCCTGCAATCCCTCCCCAATTCTGCTGGCTGCCTTCCCCAAGGGCCCCTGTGAGAAATAGTCAGAGATGGCTTCCCTGGGCTCAAGCTGGAGACTGGGAGTGCCTAGAAGGCCCATCCCACTGCTACCTCTACTTTTTATATTTCACGCAACTTCCTAATTCTGTTTCAGCTCTAGGCAAGGCTAAATCTTCCTCTCATGATCTGGATTTTCAGATTCTCCAGTGGGGATGTATGTTCAGAGGCAGATATCCCCCCCAACATACTTTGGGGCCTCAGTTTTTTGCCTGTTTCACAGAATTTGCAGCAGCATGCCACTTCTTTCAAAGAATCTGTGAATTATTTTGGTTTTCCTTGCACATTCCTGCAGTAGTTCTTGGAGCAAAAGATCATGGTGTTCTGTCTGTCCATGTGGGAGCTGCACGTTAGCCCTGTCTCCTATCTACCATCTTCTCCAGATAATGTTTTAAAATGCACAAGAAACAAAACATATAATTACATAGGAAATCAATTGAAATACAGTTATCAAAATATTAAAAACATATTTTGGCCGCAGTAATCCATGTGTTTCTTTATTAATGTATCAAATAACAAGATCTAGTGGCAGGCTGAGTAACCCCAGTGATTTTAAAGTAGTGATGAGAATAAATGACATTTTGAGACATCTCCACTAATGGTAACTTGAGATTAAAGTAGCTGGGATTTCTGTTGGTGATAAAGTCACAGCTCCTGCTGATACCACTGTGCTATTTGTCTACTTTCATCATGGAAGAGAATGCTAACCTTCAGTTAAAATGGAATAAAGTAGCCATTTTTTACCACCCAAGTATTTGGACTCCATAAATTTCTATTCATGCATTTCTTGGATGTCACTCGACCCAGGGCTAAGATTATCTGTTCTATGGGAAGCCTTAACTCAGATCTGTTGCCTTCTCAGGCCTCATGGCCCCAGCTGGACACTCTCCCTGCCTGGCTGGTTTTGATTGAGCCAACAAGGGCAGGGGCCCTGCCAGCATATGTGGCCTATGCAGATGTTCTGCATCCAGACCTTGGGAACAGGAGGGTAACTCCAGCCTCAAGTCATGGCCACCGTGGCTTCCAGGTGAGGCTGGGGTAGAAGTGGAAAGGAGGGTTGGGACTGGAAGGTATTGGCCATCTCCTGAGGAGGGACTGGGGAACACTCTCTCAACTCTGCCCTCAAAAGAGTCATTTCTACAGATGGATGGAGAGGGCTAGCCCCTGACTGCTTCCTGGCAGAGCCTGGCCCTGGATAGCTTGGGCTTGGTGCTGGGGAAACTATGAGCCCCACGAGATCCCAAAGAGAGTGAGAAATGTGGAAGATACCTCACTGAACTCTAGAGCTCTTCCCATGCATTAGGGGTGGGGGCTTCCAGGAAGGGGGTCCTGGAACTAGTGCTTTGTCTCCAGTGCTTACTCTGCAGCATCCTAAGTGGTCCTAGACAACCAGGTATGAACCACGAAGAGGGAAAGAGGAAGGAATGCTAGTTCAGCAGCTACTGCTGTATCCTTAAACTCAGGTGTGTAAGAAACTGTTTCATGTTCCGTAACCCAAATTATTTCTGATTCTGGGCTCCCGCTCTACTACGATGACAGAAAATTAAATCCCAATGATTTTCTAGACTTATTGCCTTTCTGGGGGGTTGAGTCAAAGCTCTGGGGGCTGATGTAAGTCCAGCTATTAAGGGGTTTCCATAATGGTTCAGTCCTGGAGTTTCTTTGCTATTTTCCTGCTGTGCCTGTGGGATCAGAAAACTGAGGCTTCTGGCTATGCCTGGGGAGCCAGCTCTCCAGGAGACAGAGAAAGTCTCTTCTGGGCTACCCCACATGCCCATTTCCTCTTTGGGTTCTTACTGCCCCTGCTGAGGCTCTGTCTGGGGAGTGGGCCCAGGGAGCTTTGCTCTTGAGTTTCATGAAATTTTTCTGCTGTCAACATGTCCTGATCAGTTTTGAGACTTTCCTCAGAGACCTCTGGGATCATCTGTGATCCAGGGGGACTCATAGGTGTTCCTTGCCTCCTTTTGGATTCCTTTAGCAATAGACCCCAAGAGCAGAATTTGAGCACAGGCAATTTATTCGGGAGGTGATCCTAGGAAGCACTCAAGGGAAATGAGGAAGTGGGACAGAAGAGGGAAGGCAGCCAATGCAGGGTGGCTAAGGACCAGGTCACCCCCATGGGTGCCTGGAACTCCAGCTCTGGGAGGCTGCATGGAACACACCTCAGAGTCGTGCTATCCCCATCTGTAGGTCAAGGAAGCTGGGGCATCTCTCCATCAACTCCCATAGGTTGTGGGTCCTTTCATGTCCTGTGGCCAAAAAAGCCCTCAGATAGGGAATTGCAGGTGCCTGCAGTAAAAAGTTACAGGTGTCTTTTGCTAGGGGAGGTGAATGTGGAGGGGATACGGGCAGGGCGCCATCCACTCCACCCTCTCTTCCCCGGGTGATGTATCCAGGTCCACAGGTTGTTTGAGGGGAAGGAGAGAAAACCTCTGCTAACTTGTTAAAAATACCCTCCTGTGCACTGGCTTCTTTCAAGGCTGCTTTCCCCACCAGTAGTGCTCTCATGCCTGTTTTAGGGGGTCTCCTGGATGGAGCTCTGTAGGCTGGATGGGGAACAGTGCAAAGACGAACTGGACTGAGCCTCAGCCCTACATGACTCAGACAAGAAAGAAATAAGACTGCATTGAGATAGCACTTTTATGTGAGGCAAAATGTTGTCAGGGCCACCAGAGGGGAGCAAGACAGCTGGGGACCCTTAGAGGAGGAAGGCAACATCTCTGCTGGGATTCTGGAAAGTGTCAGGGAGATGCTGGCTTGTGAAAGTGTGGTGGGATTTGCAGGGTGGTGGAGGAGAGTGAGGGCATCCTGGCAGAAGGCACAGGAAAAGCAAAGGAGCTGCTGCTTGAGAGTCCAGGGAGGACAGGACTGCAAGGAGGGAGGCCTGGGCAGGACTAGGAGTGGAGCCTTCAAAAGGCAGGCAGGCTGGGCCTAGCTCCACCCTACTGAGCCCTCAGGCACTTCCTCCTGTGGAGGCCACCAGGAGAGCCGGTCCAGCTACTAATGCAGTCTTGGCTTTAGGGCAGTTCAACCCAGCAGTGCCAGCTGCCAGGCGCTCCAGTTAGAAGCCACCACCCTCATTAGCTGGCATGAGATCAGCTGCTTTGAGTCTCAGAGCTCCGGATGTCTTAGAGGTTTGTAAATCACCAGATTAAAAAACTAATTGCAGCATTTGCCCTAAGCCTGGCTCATTCCTGTCAATGACTGGTTTTGTTTCATTTCTGGTGGGGGGTGCGGAAACTGCAGAGAGGGGCTCAGTAGAATCCTGGGCAAACCTGAGCCTCAAGACGTGGTGGGTGTTCTGCCCTGGGAGAGCCAGGCTCTGACTTCCATGGTGGCTTCAGCTATGCCTACCTGGCCTCTGAGTGCCAGGCAATAACATTCACCCTCGAGTGCACTTTCCAGGAGCCTTTGAAGAAGGAGGGAAGAGCATTCGAGGACACCATTCAATTGGTTAGGGCCTGACTGGGGGGCACAGCTTCCCTCAGCCACACCACACCCTGGGAGGAGGAGGAACAGGCTATAGGGCTGCTGAGCAGAAGTGGGGAAGTGGCAAGGCTCAGAGGCCACTAGGTCACTTTAATCCAGCCCTGACCCCGAAGATGCTTACTGACCTAGGTGGCTTTTGGTCAGCATCTCAGCTCTGCCCTGTGGTCCTCTACTCCCTCCAGCCCATCCCCACATGACTCACTTTGGGTCTCCCTCCTGACTTCTCCATCCTCTGCAAACTCCCACAGCCTCCAAGTCTCCCCACAGCCTGGCTCCCTACCTTCCTTGCTGGCCTGCCAAAAAGGGCTTTCCAAAACACATATTGGCTGTGCCACTCTCCTATTCCCCACTTTCAAGGGCTCCCATTGGCTGAAGAACAAAATTTCTCAGACTGACATCCCAGCTCCCCTACTCTTGAAGGGTTATGGCAAAGTACTTCTGGTGTGACTTCTGGCTCTACTATTCATCAGCTGTGTGACCTTGGGCAAGGTGTTTAACTTCTCTGCACCTCAATTTCCTTGTCAGTAAAATGTGGATTTAGTCCCTAAATCCTGGTGAGGATTAAATGAGTTAGCACACGGAAAGCATTTAGCACAGTGCATGGCACATAGTAAGTGCTCAGTAAAATGTAGCTGTTATCTATTTCACACTACCCTGCCGCAACGGCTGCCTAATATTTTGACCACCCTTAGCTATCTCAATGACCTGAAGTTCTGTCAAGACTTCCCAGTACAGCTCTATATTAGCTATCTATTGTGTAGCAAATGACCCCAAACTTAGCAGCATAAAACAATGAATACTTATTATCTCACAGTTTTCGTGATCAGGAGTCTTAGCTGGGTTCTGTAATTCAGAACCCAGCTAAGTTCAGCTGGGTCCTGTAATTCAGAGTCTCACAAGGCTGCAATGCAGGAATCAGTCAAGGCTGTGGTTTTACCTGAGGCCCAGCTGGGGAAGGGTCTGCTTCCAAGCTCATGTAGTTGTTGACAGAATTGTTTCTTGCGGCTATAGGACCAAGGACCTCACTTTCTTGCTGGCTGCTGGAGGTCCTTGAAGGCTGTTAGCTGGAGGCTGCCCGTGGTTCTCGAGGCTGCCTGAGCTCCTTGACATGTGAGGTTCCCCAACATGGTTGCTTGCTTCGTCAAAGCCAGTAAGGGAGAGAGAAGCTCTAGTAACAGCGTTTCAGTATTGTGTAGATACTTCTGTCTCGCTGGGTTCAGACTCCTTTTGAAGTCCCAGCCTCTACAAGGTCAGGGCTGAGTGTGGGTCAGGGTCAGGGTGTGATCTCAGGTCAGGCATGAGGACAGAGCTCCAGGGACATGCTAGAAAGGGACTGGGATTTTGTTAGATTGATAATGAGAACCAATCAGTTGGTTTTCAGAAACAAGCACAGCCCTTTCCAGGAGCCACAGTGAGCCCAAAGCTATCAAGACCCTGGGTTCTCCTCATGAAATAAGGTAACTACACTGGGGGATGGAGAAAACAGCATGAAGGGGACCCAGAGTTTGTTTCTTATACTCAGCAAAGCCACTCTGCTTATCTGGGGTAAAGGCAGAAATTTCTATTTATTCAGGTGCTACTCAATCCTACTCCTCTTTTTGGCTCAGAGAAAGGAGTGCACAATTCCTGCTGGACCAGGCCTTCATAAATGAAGGCTATGTCCGGGCTTGATCATCACTCCGAATGATGGGATTGCAGGATTTCCCTATGAGAAGGGGGTGGCTGGTCCAGTTTTCCCTGTGGCATGAGAAGAAGCACAGGGTGGGCAGAGCAGTGACCTGTTGGGCAGGGAGCAGAACTGAGTAAGTATTAAGGAGACTCTGGGCCACACCCTGGGCTCTGTTGGGGTGTATACTTGTGCCCATTATATTGTTGAAGAAATTGAGGCTGGGAGAGGCTAAGGGACCTGGGGAAGCTCACATAGTGAATAAGAATGGACTGTTCCCACAGCTCCTATCCTGCCTCCCTCCTGTGCTCTGATGTCACGGTCTTTAGGCCCTGTATGTGTACTTTGCCTTTTTGTACCATATGTGGGAGGTGAGATTTGGCTGGGGGATCTTTGTGGCCCCAGGACTGAGAAGCATAGTCCCCCTCTGGAACTGCAATATATCTTTGTTTTGGGGGAAGGGCTGGAAGTTTCAGACCCTGGTGGTTTGGAGGATGGTTTAACCTCCTAGCCCGTATTCTATGGAGGCAGAGGACAGAGCAGGGTATGTTTTGGGGAGCCAATAGATGACATATGTGTTAGAAACAAGAGACAGTCCCTAAGCTGGACAGTCTGAGAGATTGTCTGCCCATCTCTGAGGAAGCTGAAATCCAAAGAGCTCCAAGCTACACACCACACAGTGTGGGGCTGGGCTGGAGCTTGAGGTTCTTTTCCCACTTTCTTATGATCTCTCTGGAGGTCTGGGAACCCAGGAGCACCCCCACGTCCCTGGCTCCCAAAGAAGGCTCTCCCTGCTGGCTGCTGAAGCCAGGGGAGAGCATGCTCTGGGTAACCCAAGGTCTGGTTAACAGAGAACTGTTGCTTAAGTCATAGATGAATTTAGAGCCCCCACAAAATCCTGCTTCCCTGGAAGATAGCTAAACTCTGTGTAAGTGTCAGGGGCTCCTCAGCACTTGGAATGCCACCATCTGTGCTCTGGTGAGGCATGCAGTGCGGTGACGTGTTGGAGAGGAGCCAGCTTCCGTCTTCCTCTCAGGGTTACAGGCTGGGGTCTGGGTTATCTGCACTGGACAATGGGCACACATTCCATCTTGAAGAACAGATGTCCTGACCAGCACCAGCCACTTCACATGCACGCAAAGCCTGGAGTTGCATAATGGCTTTTCCGTGGAGCCGGAGGGAACTGGCTGGAAGCAGCAGGAGTGATTTAGGTATGTCACAGGAAGAGTTGCTTCTTTTTGCCAAAGACCCATTGGGAAGGGAGGAGAGGCAAACCCACCTTCCCAGGAGCCTAGTTCCCAAGGGCTGGGTGCTCCTTACTGCCAGGGAGGAGTCAACAGCCTCTTTGTCTTCCAGAGTGGGAGAGGGAGTTTGCCAAGGAGGGATGAGCTGCCTTTCAGACGCCTCTAACCAGGCTCCTGGAGGAGGAAACAGGATGAAATGAATCGTCCAGGAACAGGGAGGGTGGAGACTTTGCTTTGAGGGTTGGGGTGGGGATTGGTGACCAGAGCAGTTGTTTGAGAGCACTTCACCCCTGGGCACAGGGTGGTGTGCTGCAGGTTGCAGGGGGCAGGGAACCACGGGCTGTGCCACGCAGCCCTTCCTGGAAGCCCAGTCAGGAGCTACATGGGCTGGGTCCTGATGGGCACAGTGGCTTGCTCCAGGCTGGAGTGAGCAGCCTGTTGAAAGCCAGGGCAGGTGAATCCTAAGCCAAGATTCCTGCCTCCTACACCATTGCAGGGCTCTCCTGAAACCAGAAGGATAGGTTGAGTCCTGGCTCTGTGGTGATCTTGACCATGCCATTAATTCAGCCTCTGCCCCTTCTGGACCTCAGTGTTGTCACCCGTGGAATGAAGGTGTTTAAGGGAAGGAGGAGAGAGGGAGGGCAGGGGGAAAAGAGAAGGGAGGTGGGTGATGAGTCTGCTCAGAAGAACCCAAATCCCTCCAGATATTTGTTGGTTCTGGTCTTTTGCCTGTTGGCCGTTTGGAGTGGGAGGGCATACCCTTGCTTGTTAATGGAGTGTATCTGTTTTGGGACCCAGGGCTCTGAGTTGAGCATGTGGGGGAAGGGGTGGTGGGTGGAGGGTGACTGAAAGCAGGGCTGAAGGCTGCCCTGGAGCCATCACTATCATCTCTGCCTGAATGTCTGACTTCAACCACCTCAAGGGCAATTTTGCAATGAATTCCCAGGCACATAGCCTCAAGTGTCCAAATGTAGACACTTTAAGAGAGTACCGGGACATGCTTTAAATTATGTATATTACACAAATATTTACATATTCATTAACAAACTATTTTATTTTATTGGTGGGCTTATGCAACATTTTCAATTAAGAATTCGAGCTGGGTACGGCAGCTCACACCTGTAATTCCAGCAGTTTTGGAGGCTGAGTTCGGGAAATTGCTTGACGCCAGGAGTTCAAGACTAGCCTGGGCAATATGGCAAGATCCTGTCTCTGCAAAAAAAATTTTTTAAAAATTAGCCAGGCACAGTGGCACACACCTGTAGTTGTAGATACTTAGGAGGCTGAGGTAGGAGGATCCCTGAGGCTGCAGTGAGCTATGATTGCACCACTGCACTCTAGCCTAGGCAGCAGAGCAAGATCCTATAAAAAAAATTGTTTCAAATATAAAATTCTTCCTAATTCATAATAGTAACATATAACCATGTACACTAAAACAAAAACCATTATGTGGATTATTCGGACATTAAAAATAGCATAAGCAGGCCGGGCATCCTGTCTCATGCCTGTAATCCCAGCACTTTTGGGAGGCTGAGGCGGGCAGATAGCTTGAGACCAGCCTGGGCAACATGGTGAAACCCCACCTCTACAAAAAATACAATAATTAGTTGGGTGTGGTGGTGCATTCCTGTAGTTCCAGCTACTTGGGGGGGCTAAGGTGGGAGGATTGATGCTTGCTTTCCGGACATGAAGGCTGCAGTGAGCCAGGACTGTCCCATTACTGGTAATACTAACTTTGATCACTTGGCTAAGGTAGTATCTCCCAGATTTTTTCACTTTAAAATTATCTTTTCTTCCCTTTGTTATTTGCGGGGGGTTTTTGGTTTATTTTTCGTTTTTTCAAGGAAGGGTCTTACTCCGTTGCCCAGGCTGTTCCTATTGGAAATGACACAACTGTCATTTCCAGCTGTAATGTCATTACACAACTGTAATCCCAGCACTTAGGGAGGCCGAGGTGTGTGGATCATGAAGTCAAGAGATCGAGACCATCCTGGCCAGCATTGTGAAACCCCGTCTCTATTAAAAATACAAAAATTAGCTGGGCATGGTGGCGCACACTTGTAGTCCCAGCTACTCAGGAGGCTGAGGCAGGAGAATCGCTTGAACCCGGGAGATGGAGGTTGCAGTGAGCTGAGATCACGCCACTGCACTCCAGCCTGGGTGACAGTGTGAGACTCTGTCTCAAAAAAAAAAAAAAATGTGGTTGATTTTTGTTCGTTGATCTTGTGTTCTGCTACTTTGCTAGACTCACTTCTTATTTGGAGGATTTTTTAAAAAGATTGCTTGTGATTTTCTACATAGACAGTTGTATCATTTCTGATAGAAACAGTTTTATTTTTTCCTTCTCAATCTATTTATTTTTCTTCTTTTATTGCAGGGGTTAGAAATTCTAGTACTATATATATATATGTGTGTGTATATATATGTATATATATGTGTATATATATGTATATATGTGTATATATGTATATATATGTGTATATATATATGTGTGTATATATGTATATATATGTGTATATATATATGTGTATATATGTATATATATGTGTATATATATGTGTGTGTATATATATATATATATATTTTTTTTTTTTTTTTTTTTTTTTTTTTGAGACAGAGTCTCACTCTGTCACCCAGGCTGGAGTGCAATGGTGCAGTCCACTGTAATCCTAGCACTTTGGGAGCCTGAGGCAGGCAGATCGCTTGAGACCAGCCTGGGCAACATTTTATTTATTTTTCTTCTTTTATTGCAGTGGTTAGAAATTCTAGTACTCTCTCTCTCTATATATATATATATTACGTGGTGTTTATGTGGTGAATTACACTGATTGTTCTTTAAATATTGAATCAGTCTTGTATACTTAGAATAAATCATACTTGGTCTTGTTGCATAATTATTTTTATACATTTCTAGACTGAGTTTACTAATTTTTGTTGAGGATTTTGGTGTCTAAGTTCATGGGAGATATTGGTTTGTAGTTTTCTTTTCTTGCAATATTGCAGTCTGGTTTTTTATTATTTTTTTATTTTTTTTTATTTTTGAGACAGAGTCTTGCTCTGTCTCCCAGGCTGGAGTGCAGTGAAACGATCTCAACTCACTGCAACCTCTGCCTCCTGGGTTCAAGCAATTCTCCTGCCTCAGCTGGGATTACAGATGTGCCAGTAGCTGGGATTACAGATATGCACCATTATGCCTGGCTAATTCTTGTATTTTTAGTAGAGACAGGGTTTTGCCGTGTTGGACAGGCTGGTCTCGAATTCTTGGTCTTATGTGATCTGCCTGCCTCAGCCTCCCAAAGTGCTGGGATTATAGGCGTGAGCCACTGTGCCCAGCCTGCTGTCTGGTTTTTATATCAGGGTAATACCAGTCTCATAAAGTGAGTTGGAAAGTATTCCTTCCCCTTCTATTATTCTGGAGGATGTTGTGTAAAGTTGGTGTTAAGTTAAAAAAAAAAATTTGGTAGAATTCTCCACTGAAACTACCTGAGCCTGGATATTTCTTTTTTAGGAGTTTTAAAATTACGAATTCAATTTCTTCAGTGGTTATAGGACTATTCAGATTACCCATTACATCTTGGTTAAATTTTAGTAGTTTGTGATTTTGGAGGAATTGGTCCATTTCTTCAAGGGAGTAAATTTTTTTTTAAATCCACGTTTATTTATTGACTTTTCATTAGTTCAAATCCTTGAGGGGTACAGCATCACTCAGATTCCGTGTCCAATAGTCTTAGCAGGAAGATCGCTTTGGAATTTGGCATGAACCATGCCACTGTTTCCGTGGGCCTTTTTGCCCAAATAGAATTCTGTTTCATCTCAGGCATAAACACCTTCAATTTTAAGAAGAGCTGTGTGCTCCCTTTGGTTCTGGAGACCCCGTTTATAGCCAGCAAAAATGGCCTTGGACCACAGTCTTCCAGACATATTTCCTTTTATAAGTCCTGTTACCAGCAGGCCTCCACAGGAGCCAAGATGGGGGGAAGAGCAAGGGAGTCAAATTTATCAGCATAAAATTGTAGTATTTCATTTATGACACTGGTGATTTGTGTTTTCTCTTTTTATCTTTGTGAGTCTTGTTAGGGGCTTATCATCTTTTTTAAATTTTTCAAACAAGCAGGCTGTTTCATTGATTTTTCTCTATTATTTTTTAATTTTTAATTTCACTGATTTATAATCTTATCTTTATTATTTCCTCCCTTCTGCCTGCTTTGGGTTTATTTTTCTTTTCTTTTTCTAAAGTTTCTTCAGATGGGTGCTTACATTATTGATTCGAGACTTTTTCTCTTTTCTAATGTGAGCCTTTAGTATTATACTTCCCTCTCAACCATTTAGCTGCACCTCACATATTTTGATATGTTATATTTTCATTTTAATTTAGTTCTATACATATATATGTGTGTGTATATATGTGTATCTCTGTGTGTGTAAACATATGTATGTATGTATGTGTGTGTGTGTGTGTGTGTGTGTGTGTGTGTGTGTATATGTATTTTTTTTTTTTTTAAGACAGGGTCTCACTCTATCACCCAGGCTGGAGTACAGTGGTACAATCTTGGCTCACTGCAACTTGCACCTCCTGGGCTCAAGTGATCCTCCCACCTCAGCCTCCTGATTAGCTGGGACTACAGGCATGTGCCACCACACCTGGTTAATTTTTGTACCTTTTTTTTACATGCAGCCCAGGATGGCTTTGAATGCGGCCTAATACAGATTCATAAACTTTCTTAAAACATTATGAGATTTTCTTGTGATTTTTTTTTTTTACCTCATCAGCTATCATTAGTGTTAGTGTA
The DNA here is from genome assembly GCF_000001405.40 of Homo sapiens. Taxonomy (NCBI): domain Eukaryota; kingdom Metazoa; phylum Chordata; class Mammalia; order Primates; family Hominidae; genus Homo; species Homo sapiens. Next base: position 42,468,770 of record NC_000003.12, on the reverse strand, counting down.
TTTTGTGTGTGGTCCAAGACAATTATTCTTCTTCCAACGTGGCCCAGGGAAGCCAAAAAATTAGACACCCCTGGATATGGTCTGTCTTGGTGCGTGTACCATGAATACTTACAAATAATGCATATTCTGCTCTTGTTAGGTGGAGTGTTCTATATATGTCAGTTTGATTCTTTTGGTTGGTTGTGTGGTTCAGTTCTTTTATATTCTTGCTAACTTTTTTTCCTAGTAGTTCTAACAAATGCTGAGAGTGGGGTGCTAAAGTTCTCAACTCTAATTGTGGGTTTTCAATTTCTCCTTTCAGATCACTCGTGTATTTTGAGGCTCTGTTATTTGGTATTTACACATTGAACATTGCCATATCTTTCTGGTGGATTGATTCTTTTATCATTATGTAATGGCCTTCTTTGCATCTAGTAATTTTCTTTGCTTTGAAGTCTACCTTATCTGACATTAATATACCTTTTATTGGGCTCAAAGTTTGCACGGTGTATTTTTTCCACCTTTATACTTTCAACGTACCTGTGTCTTTATATTTGAAATGAATTTCTTGTAGGCAGTATATTGTATCATCTTTAAAATCTACTGTGCCAATATCTGTTGTTTTATTGGTATATTTATATTCATTGATGATTTGCCATTTTCTGTTTGTTTAATCTACTTATCTGTATTAGTTCATTCTCACACTACTATAAAGAACTACCTGAGATTGGGTAATTTATGAAGAAAAGAGGTTTAATTGACTCACAGTTCCACAGGCTGTACAGGAAGAATGGCTGGGATGCTTCAGGAAACTTACAATCATGGCAGAAGGTGAAGGGGAAGCGAGCACATCTTACCACAGTGGAGTAGGAGAGAGAGAGTGAAGGGGAAGTGCTACACACTCTTAAACAACCAGATCTCAGGAGAACTCAATCACTATCATGAGAACAGTAAGGGGGAAATCCACCCCCATGATCTAATCACCTCCCATCAGACCCCTCTCCCAATATTGGGAATTACAAAATTTGAGATGAGATTTGGGTAGGGACACAGAGCCAAACCATATCATTCTCATTCTGTATTTCTCTTTTCTTTTTGTTTATTTGTATAAATTTATGGGGTATAAGTGCAATTTTGTTACATGCATAGATTGCATAGTGGTCAAGTCAGGGCTTTTAGGGTAGCCATAACTCAAATAACATACATTGCACCCATTAAGTAATTTCTCATCATCTATCGCTCTCCTACTCCTTCACCCTTCTGAGTCTCCATTATCTATCATTCTCCTCTCTACATCCATATATACACATATTTAGCTCCCACTGCTGAGTGAAAATCTTCAATATTTGTTTTTCTATGTCTGACTTGTTTCACTTAAGATAATGACCGCCAGTTCCATCCATGTTACTGCAAAAGACATGGTTTTATTCTTTTTTTAATGGTGAATGGTATTCTGTTGTATATATACACCACATTTTCTTTATCCAATTATCTGTTGATGGATATTTAGGTTGATTCCATACTTTGCTATTGTGAATAGTGCTGCAATAAATATATGAGTGTAGGTATCTTTTTGATGTATTGATTTGTATTTTTTTCTTTTTGAGACAGGATCTTGCTCTGTTGCCCAGGCGGGAGTATGGTGGCTTGATCATAGCTCACTGCAGCCTCGACCTCCCAGGCTCAAGAGATCCTCCTGCCTCAGCCTTCCAAGTAGCTGGGACTACAGGTGCACACCACCATGCCTGGCAAATTTTTTAATCTTTATTTTTAGTAGAGACAAGGTCTAACTATGTTGGTCTCAAACTCCTGGGCTCAAGCAATCCTCCCACTTTGGCCTCCCAAAGTGCTAACATTATAGGCATGAGTCACTGTGCAGGCCTGATGGGTTGATTTCTTTTCCTTTGGGTAGATACCCAGTAGTGGGATTGCTGGATCAGATGGTAGTTCTATTTTTAGTTCTTTGAGCACTCTCTGCACTGTTTTCCACAGAGATTGTACTAATTTTCATTCCCACCAACAGCATATAAGAGTTCCCTTTTCTCTGCATCCTTGACAACATCTGTTATTTTTTGACTTTTTAATAATAGTGATTCTGACTGAGGTAAGGTGATAGCCCATTGTGGTTTTAATTTGTATTTCTCTGATGTTTAGTGATGTTGAGTATTTTTTCACATACCTGCTGGCCATTTGTATTCTTCTTTTAAAAAATGACTATTCATGGGGCTGGGCACGGTGGCTCATGCCTGTAATCCCAGCACTTTGGGAGGCTGAGGCAGGCAAATCACGGGGTCAGGAGATCGAGACCATCCTGACTAACATGGTGAAACCCCATCTCTACTAAAAATACAAAAAATTAGCTGGGCATGGTGGCGGACGCCTGTAGTCCCAGCTACTCGGGAGGCTGAGGCAGGAGAACAGCATGAACCTGGGAGGCGGAGCTTGCAGTGAGCTGAGATCGCACCACTGCACTCCAGCCTGGGTGACAGAGCGAGACTATCTCAAAAAATATATATATATACTATTCATATCCTTTGCACACTTTTGGGGGGTACACAGTAGGTGTATATATTTATGGGATACATGAGATGTTTTGATACAGGCATACAATGCATAATAATCATATCATATAAAATGGGATACCCATTCCCTTAAGCATTTATCTTTTGTGTTATAAACAATCCACTTATACTCTTTTAGTTATTTTAAAATGTACAATTATTATTGACTATAGTCACCCTGTTACACTATCAAACACTAGGCCTTATTCATTCTTTCTAACTACTATTTTTGTACCCATTAACCATTCCCCACATCTCCTCCCTACCCTCCACTATTCTTCCCAACCTCTGGTAACCATCCTTCTGCTCTCTATCTCAATGAGTTCAATTGTTTTATTTTTAGATCCCACAAATAAGTGAGAACATGCAAAGTTTGTCTTTCTTGGCTTGGCTTATTTCACTTAGCATAATGACCCTCAGTTCTATCCATGTTGTCGCAAATGACAGGATCTCATTCTTTTTTATGGCTGAATAGTACTCCATTGTATATAAGTACCACATTTTCTTTATCCATTCATCTGTTTATGGACATTTTGGTTGCTTCTGAATCTTGGCTATTGTGAACAGAGCTGCAACAAACATGGGAGTGCAGATATCTCTCTGATATACTGATTTCCTTTCTATTGGGTATATACCCAGCAGTGAGATTGCTGGATCATATGGTATTTTTATTTGTAGTTTTTTGTGGAACCTCCAAACTGTTCTCCATAGTGGTTGTGCTAATTTACATTCCTACCAACAGTGTATGAGAGATTTGTGCACCTTTAAATTTTTTTTTTTTTTTTGAGACAGTTTTGCTCTGTTGCCCAGGCTGGAGTACAGTGGCGTGATCTCAACTCACTGTGACCTCCGCCTGCTAGGTTCAAGCAATTCTCATGCTTCAGCCTCCCAAGAAGCTAGGATTACAGGCATGCACCACCACATCCAGCTAATTTTTATATTTTTTAGTAGAGACAGGGTTTCACCATGTTGGCCATACTGGTATTGAACTCCTGGCCTCAAGCAATCCACTTGCTCTGGCCTCCCAACGTGCTGGGATTACAGGCATGAGCCACTGCTCCCGGCCAAAAACTTTTTTTTTTTTTTTTGAGACAAGATCTCGCTCTGTCCCTGAGACTGGAGCATAGTGGCATGATCACGGCTCACTGCAGCCTTAACCTCCTGAGCTCAAGCAATCCTGTCTCAGCCTCTGAAGTAACTGGGACTACAAGCACATGCCACCATGCTCAGCTCATTTTTAAATTTTTTGTTGAGATAGGGTCTCACTATGTTTCCTAGGCTGGTATCAAACTCCTGAGCTCAAGCAATCCTTCTGCCTCAGGCTCCCAAGTAGCTAAGACTAAAGGAGTGCATCACCACACCTGGCTGTGTATTATCTTTTTGATGTGCTATTGGATTCAGTTGGCTAGTATTTTCTTGAGGACTTTTACATCTATGCTCATTAGGGATATTGATCTGTGTAGTTTTCTTTTTTGTTGTTTTTGTTGTGTCCTTGTCTGGATTTGGTATCACGGTGATGCTGGCCTCATACAATGAGTTAGGAAGAACTCCCTCCTCCGTTTTTGGGAATAGTTTCTAGAGGATTGATATTAGTTCTTTGTACGTTTGGTAGAATTTGGCTGTTAATCCATCTGGTCCTGGGCTTTTCTTTATGGGAAGATTTTTAAAATTACTGATTCAATCTTGTTATTGGTCTGTTCAAGGTTTCTATTTCTCCTAGTTCAATCAGGAAGATTGTATGTTTCCAGGAATTTATCCGTATCCTATAGATTTTCTAGTTAGTGAGCATATAGTTGTTCATAATAGTCTGTGATCTTTTGTGTTTCTGTGGTATCGGTTGTAATATTTCCTTTTTCAGTTCTGATCTTATTTATTTGGATTTTTTCTCTTCTTTTCTTTTTCTTCATTAGTCTGGCTGGCAGTTTATTAATTTTGTTTATCTTTCGAAGAACCAACTTTTTTTTTTTTTAAATAGAGATGGGGTTTTGCTATATTGGCCAGGCTGGTCTCTCAAACTCTTGGCCTTAAGCAATCCTCTTTCCTCGGCCTTCTAAAGTTCTAAGATTACAGGCATGTGCTACCATGCCCAGCCCAAAGTCTTCTTATGCTTATGTTGTTTTGTGTCCAGAGATTTTTAGTTGTAAGAGAGAGGACCAAGGAGAATGGGACAATTCATTTGGGTGGAACTGGAAAACTGTATAGTTGTTTTAAAATGAAGCATTATTAGTGTAAACAAGTCTCAAACACTCTTCTCCAAAGTAACTTATTGCTTGGTAAAATAATCTGTGAGGCACTTAAACATTACCTGAGCAAAATCTGAAAAGCACGCATTCCTCTCAGCAGATTCATCTCTGGTGACACGAATCTTAGTAGAATATGCAAAAATGAGCTAAGTATCACACATAACTCTAAAAAGGAACTTCTTATTTTGAGTTAGACAAAAGATGAATCCATGCAGTATTTGTGAAAACTAGATCCAAGTCACAGTGTTCTTAAAAGTTACTATTGTAAATTAAAGCAGATTAAAACAAATCCAAACAGTATTTGTCCAAATTAAGATGAATCTAACCAGTTTTTGGTATCAGGATCTTGAACCTGGACCTTGGAACTGGACCTAGACCTTGGGCATTGTCCTAGTCCTTATGAATCTTGGATCTAGATTCAAATATTTTCTTTGGACTTAGAAATTGGATCAGTATCTTTAATTTTGAAGCTGGATCTTGGACCTATACCTCTGATCTGATCATGACCTGAATTTGGTTCTGTGCCTTGAAACTGGACATGAGCTCTTGACTTGTCCTTGGACTTCAATCTCTAAACTCTAAGTTGAACCTCAGACCTAAACATCAGACCTAAACCCGGGCATGACTATCAATATGGATGTTGGACCTGGACTTTGTACCTCTGCAATGGACCCTGACTTTGGATCAGTAACCAAGTCCTGGACCTGAACTTTGTACTGGAAATATGGACCTGGACTTTGTGCTGGAAATATGTCTCAGACCTAGACATTGGTCTTATGCCAGCATCTTGAATCAGGACCTGATTGTTGGATCTGAATCTTGTGTCTGGACTTCAGACTTTGAACTGGTCACAAACCTTAGGCCTTGGCCTAGACTATTTACATGGATTTAGATCTTGGACTGAACATAAGATCTCAACTTAGATTTGAATTTTTCCATGAGCTGGGACTTGATTTTAGATCTCATTCTTGGTCATGAACCTGGATTTGGGACTTGAATCTTGGGCATTGACATTTGACCTTGGGATCTTTGAGCTCAGACCTGGAGGACCTGAACATGATCTTGCTTAAAACTTGGTGCTAAAACTTGATCCTCAACCAAGACTGTGGGCCTGAGCCTTGGACCTGGACTTAGACCCTGACTTTGATCTGGTCTCAGATGTTGAACGAACTTGGATTTATAATGTGGATTTGAACTGGACCTGGGTCTTAGATTAAGACTGGGAACCTAGAGCTGTATTTTGGATCTTAGATCTGGACTTCTAAACTTGGATTTGGACCTCAGATCTGGAATTCTGACCTGGACCTGGAACTGACTTAGGATATGAATTTTGAATCTGGAATTTTAGTCATGGATTTTTTCATATCCTTGGATTTGCCAGTAGACCTGGATCTTGGACCTGAGTCTAGATCTAATATTTACATATTAAGTTAAACCTAGACCAGGACCTGAGGTTTAGACCTTGTCCTTGCCCTTCTACAGTAAACCTGCGTTTGGATCTGGACCTCAGATGTGGAACTGGACTTGGATCTTGGAAATCAGTCTTGGGCCTTGACCAGAACCTCAGACCTGAACCTTGAACCTTGGCTTTGAACTTAGACCTTGGATCTAAAGTTTGGACCTTGACCTCAGACTTTGACATTTATTTGCTTCTTTGTCCTGAACTTATACCTGGAAATTAGACCTGAATATAGACCTTTGGCCTGGATCTTTGACCTTGTTTTGATCTAGACATTGGACCTGAGCTTAAACATGGAAATTGGACTTGCACATGGATGATGGGCCTGTACATGTATCTGGGCCTTCTACCAGGACATGAACCTTGACCTGCATTGAGCTTGCATTTGAATGTGGACCTCCAACTTGGAACTGGACTTGGGATTAGGACTTCAAAGTCAACCTGGAAACTTGGACCCAAACTCAGCTCTGGACCTTAGAATAGGACCTTGACCAGAACCTGACATGGCTCTGGATATGGCTATGAGAACTTTGATGTGGACCTTGGACTTGGACCTCACACCTAGAACTTCAAACTGGATCTAGACTGTGAGCCAGGACTTTGAACTTTGGATTTGGCTTTGCATTGGACGTTAGACCAGACCTTATACACGAGAAATTGGACATGGATCTAGACCTTTTATTTTGACTTTGGACCATGATTTTGATGTTGGAACTAAAGTTTTAACTTTGATTCTGATTCTGAACTTGTTTTCTTTCTTATTGAGCAAGTACACCTGATTTTATTTAATTTTCAGCAAGAACATACTTTTGAGAAGAATGTACAAGACTGGGCTTGTTTATATATTTGGGGAAACTGCTTGTTTTCACACTTATCTGATTCATCTTAATTGGCTCTAACTTGAATAAGAAAGTACTTTTGATAATAATAGTATGTGATAATAGACCTTTTCACACAAATATTGTTTAGATTCACTTTAACTCACTCTAACTTGCAATAGGAACTTTTGTGAACTCTATGTGAGTCTTAGCTGATTTTCACAAATGCTGCTAGAATTCAACAGTGTAATTGAGAGGAATGACTTTTTTTTTAATTTTAGATATTTTGCTTATAAATGCTTATGTTCATTATAATTTCTTCTACAAAGCAATAGGGAGGTCCATGTTTTGAGGTCTAGGTTCAAGGTCCAAAATCCATTTCTAAAGTCCAAAACCTAGATTCAGTACCCTGGATCCAATGGTCTAGATCCACATCCAAAGTTCAGGTTCCAGGCCCAAGATCAGGTCTAATATGAGTTCAAAGAAAGGTCCAAGATCCAGGTCCAAAATTCTTACCCAGGTTTGAGGGCCAGGTGTAAGTTCTAGGTGCAATGTCCAGGTCCAATGCCAAAGTCTAGGTCCAGGTCCAAAATTCATTTTCATGGTCTAAGTTAAGAGCAAAGTTTCATGCCTTAGGTTGGGTCCTATGTGCATTTCAAAGCAAGGTCCAAGATCCAGATCCAAGATTCATATTCAGGCCTGAGATCCAGGTTTAAGGTCCAGTTTTTAAAGTCCAGGTCCATGGTCAGGTCCAATGATCTGGCCAAATCCCAGTCTAAGGTGAAAGTATAAAGTCCAGATATCAAGGACAAGTCTATGTCTGAGGTTCAGGTCAAGATCTATAGTACAGGTTCAAATTCCAAGTCAATTGTTTCAGGTCTAATACCCAGGTGTAGGTCTAAAGTCAGGTTTGAGGTCCTGGATAAATCTAAGCATAGCTTAAGTTCCAACATCCAAGTCAAGTGTCATGGTGGTTGGAGATTTTATGTTCACTTCCAAGGCCTTCATTCAAGGTCAGTTCAGGTTTATGTCCGAGGTCCAGATCTGATGCCATAGTCCAATTTCTAGGTAAAAGTTCCACAGTTTATCCTTGGGGTCCAGGTTCAAGGTTTATGTCTGAGGTCCATATCCAAGATTTAAAGTCCAGGACCATATCCTAATTCTAGTTTCAAAGTTTTATTTGAAGGTTCAAGACTAGTATGTAGATAGTCATCTATTTTATCATTTACTACGATAAAATATACACAAATCTATTATAAAAAGTTAAAATTTATTAAAACTTACACACACAGACTGCACATGTTGCTATTCACAGTCAGGATAAATTCAAAAGTAAAGATGCAATATTAAATCATAACTGCATAAAATTAACCATGATACATACTGTATTACTGTAGTAATCTCGTAACCACCTCCTGTTGCTGTTGCAGTGACCTCAAGTGTTGTAAGGATCTGCTTAAAACACTGTGTGATGCTAAGCACCTTCACATGAAGAATCCAACCCTCCAGCAAATTGCATTTTGCAGTAAAAAGTGATCTCCTGCAGTTCTCCTGTATTTTTCATCATGGTTAGTGCAACATTATAAACTTTGAATAACACCATGGGACACATACAAAGTACCACTAATGACGCTGGAAGTGCTCCTAAAAAGCAGAGAAAAGGCATGACATTACAAGAAAAAGTTGAATTGAAAAAGTCGAAAAATATGCACCATGGATTGAGGTCTGCAGCTCTGGCTGCCCACCATTTTAAAATTAATGAATCCAGTGTAAGGACTATTGTAAAAATAGTGAAGTCATCGTGCCAGCTGTGCCAACAGGTGTGAAAACCTTGGACTTACTGTGAAACAGGTTGTTATCTCATGTTGAAAATGCAGCTCTTGTGTGGGTGCAGGATTGCTATAAAAAGGCATATCCTATAAACTCTAATATGATTCAAGAAAAAACCAAGTCATTATATGACAACTTAAAGCAAAAGGAAGGATCTAAAGCCTGAGAATTTAATGGCAAAAAAGGATGATTTGATAATTTTAGAAAGTGATTTGGCCTTTAAAATGTCAAAATAACAGGAATAGCAGCTTTTGCCAACTTAGAGGCAGCAGAGAACTTCCCAGGCACCATCACGAAAAGCACTGAGGAGAAAGGATATCTGCCTGAATAGGTTTTTATGCAGATGAAAGTACTCTATTCTGTAAAAACAAAAAAAAATGCCACAAAGGGCATTTATTAGTAAGAAAGAGAAGTGGGCACCAGGATTTAGGGCAGGAAGGGATAGGCTAATGCTACTGTTTTGTGCAAATGCAATCAGGTTTATGATTAGGAGTGCTCTTATCTGTAAAGCTGCTAACCCTAGAGCCTTGAAGGGAAGAGATAAACTCCAACTGCCAGTCTTTTGGTTGTACAACAAGAAGGCCTGGACAATGAGAACACTTTTTCTGGATTGATTCCATTGATGCTTTGTCCCTGAAAGTCAGGAAGTTCCTTGCCATTAAGAGACTGCATTTTAAAGTTATTTCACTATCAGACAATGCTCCTTGGCCACCTCTGGGTGAACCCATGAGTTCAACACTGAAGATGTCCAAGTGGTCTACTTGCCCCCAACACAACGTCTCTAATTCAGCTTCTAGATGAGACAAGCATAAGGACAACTAAGTTGCATTACATATAGTATTCTATGGGAAGGATTGTCAATGCTATGGAAGAGAACCTCAAGAAAATCTGGACGGATTAATTACACCATTGAAAATGTCATTGTTGTCATAGTAAAAGCTGTGAAATCTATCAAGCCCAAAACAATAAATTCCTGCTAGAGAAATCTGTGTCCATATGTGCAAGATTTCACAGAATTTATGACAGAGCCAATCAAGGAAATCATAAAAGAGATTGTGGATATGGCAAGAAGGTAGAGGATGAAGAGTTTAGAGATATGGCTGTTGGAGAAATTCAAGAGCTGACAGACACTACACTAGAGGAATTAACAGAAGACGACTAATGAAGATGAATGCTTCTGAACCAGTGTCAGATGATGAGGAAGAAGACATAGAAGAAGCAGTGCCAGAAAACAAATTGACAATAGATGATCTGGCAGAAGGATTTTGATTAAACAAGATGGCATTTGACTTATTTGATGACATAGACCCTTCTATGATGGGGCACTGAAACCAAAGCAAATGATGGAAGAAGAATTGATACTATATAGAAACATCTTTAGAGAAATGAAAAAGCAAAAATGTCAGACAGAAATTATGATGTATTTCCACAAAGTTACACCAAGTGTGCTTGTCTCCACTGTCTCCCCTTCCACCTCCTCCTCCCCTGCTTCCCTGAGACAGCAAGACCAACCTCTTCTCTTCCTCCTCCTTAGCCTACTCAACCTGAAGATGACAAGGATGAAGATCTTCCTGATGATCCACTTCCACTTAATGAATATCAAATATATTTTCTCTTCCTTATGATTTTCTTAATAACATTTTTCTGTAGCTTACTGTATTATAAAAATACAGTATATAATACATATACAGAATATGTGTTAATCAACTGTTTATGTTATTGGTAAGTCTTCCAGTCAATAGTAGGCTATTAGTAGTTAAGTTTTGGGGAAGTCAAAAGTTATATATGGAGTTTCAACTATGCAAGTGGTTAACGTCTCTAACCTCCATATTGTTCAAGGGTCAACTGTATGCCCCTCCAAAGAAGGCTTAACCTAGTGTTTCATCAGTAACTGTATCCCTTCAAAATCCTGGATCTCTGCATGATGGATGTTTGTTCTTGTAGTTCTGTCATTATTTTGTTTCAATATTCCACAACCTAAGGTCTGAATTGTAGGATTATCTACAACCATCAGACTCCATACAACAGTGATGTAAAGGAAGAGGGGATGAGGAAAATAAATTAAATTGTATCATTATATATTAATACATGGCCCCTTAGGAAGAAAATGTGGTAGGTTCAGTGTCTGTTTCTGTAATGGCCATAGTTTTCACTTATGGATTTCTTCTTCTAGCACCCATTCCATGTTCTTATGGCCTTAACCAGCCTTTTATATGGATTTTGACTCGTTGGGTAGTCCAGCCTTCATCCTGAGGGAGTTGAACCCTTATTGCCTTGCTTGTATAGAGTTACTGTAGTCTTCTCTGAACTTTTACACTGTACGTGGTGGCCCTGAAGGGTCCGTAGGAATTACCTGGGTTCTAGGAATAGCCTCTTCCCCCATTGTGCAGCATAAACCTTATTTACTATATTACATTATTTACCATGTTTCCACTGATTTTGTTAAATAAATGCTTCTCAATTTGTTGTAAGCCCTTTGGCCACTCTTCAGAGACTTTGAATGATTATATTTGCTAATCTTGACCAATCTAATGGATGTTTCTCTGTGGGAGTGGTTTTCCAAGTTCCTCAGACTGGCATTCTATTGTAAGGTTCTATACTGCATGCAAAGTGGTATAATATCACCAGAAATTATTCTGTGATAAATTAAATATATATAAACCACAAATCATACATAAAGTAACACAACAATGAGCTAACCAAGGAGATAACTATCGAACCATAAAAACGCTTAATCTAAAAATGTAGAAAAAGAAGAAAAGAGTCACAAGGCACAGATGAAACAAATAGAAGCCCAACTATATAATCACATTAAATGTAAATTATCTAAGCAGCTCAACTAGAAGGCAGAGATTGCCAAACTGGATTAATTAAAAAAAATCTGCCTACAAAAGACTTCTTTAAATGTAAAGACAAAAATAGGTTTAAAGTTAAAAGATGGAAAAAGATACACCATGCTAAATAATTGAAGTAATATCAGATGAATTTGAGTTCAGAGCAAAGACTAATAACAGGGATAAGGAAGATCTTTTTTTATGACAAAGAGGTCAAATGATCCTAAGAATTTATACTCCTAATAATAGAGCTTCAAAATGCATGAAGCAAAAACTGAGAGAACTGCAAAGAGAAATAGACAAATCCACAACGATAGAGATTGTAACTGTATTAGTTTTCTATTGCTGCAGAAACAAATCGCCACAAACTTAGTGGCTTGAAAAAACGTATATTTACTGATCTTATAACGTTCTTTAAGTCAGAAGTATGATACAGGTCTCTCTGGGTTAAAATGAAAGTTTTCTGGACCTCATTACCTTCTGGAGACTCTGGGGGAGAATTTATTTCCTTGTCTTTCCCAGTTTATAGAGGCCATTAGTATTCCTTGGCTCATGCTCCCCCTCCTCCATCTTCAAAGCCAGCAATGTTGCATTTCTCTGACCTTTTCCTCTGACCACATCTGAGAAGGGCTCTTCTCAGAGCTCATGTGATTACACTGGGCCCACCTGGACAATCCAGGATAATCTCCCTATCTCAAGGTCTGTAACCTTAATGACATCTGCAAAGTCACTTTTGCCATGTAAAGTAATACATTCAAAAGTTCTGGGAAGCAGGGCATGGGCATGTTTGGAGCCTACTATTCTGTCTATCACAGCATCCTTCTCTCAATAAAAGAAATTAACAGGGATATAGAAGACTTGAAAAACATTGTCAAACAACTTGATGTAATTCATATTAATAGGGCATTCCACCCCCCAAACAGTAGAAATACATATTTCTTACTAGTGCACATGGAATATTTACCAAGATCTACCACACTCTGCTATAAAACAAGTCCAGACAAATTCAGAATAATTTAAATCATACAAAGTATATTCTTTGACCACATTGGAATTAAATTTAAAATAAATAACAAAAAGGTGTCTTAAAAATACCAAATATTTGGAACCTAAATAGAACATGGGAAAAGAAGAAATCATAAAGAAAATTATAATATAGTTAGAACTAAATGAAAATGAAAGCACAATATATCAAAGTGTGTCAGATACAGCTAACGCAGTATTTAGGGAGAAATTTATATCACTAAAACACCTAAATTCATTAATTTGAAAGTCTCCAGTTAATTACTTGAGATATCACATTAATAACCTAAAAGAAGAAGGAAAAAATTAAACTTTAAGCAGAAAAAAAGAAAATAATAAATATCAGAGAAGAAACAAATGAAATATAAGTCAGGAAATCAGCAATGAAAATCAACAAAACCAAAAGCTGGTTCTTTGAGAAGATCAATAAAATTAATAATTCTCTAACCAGATTGAAAAAAAAAGATAGCAGATAACAAATTACCAACATCAGGAATAAAAGAAGTGACATTGCTGCAAATTCTACTGATCAATGTAATTCAGCTTATTAACAGACTAGCCAAAAGCAAACGTATGATCACTTCAATTAATTCAGAAAATAAACTATATTAGTTTCCTAGTGCTGTTGTAACAAAGTACCACAAACTGAGTAGCTTAAATTTATTCTTTTATAGTTCTGGAGGGTAGAAATCTGAAATCAAGGTGTCATGGAGGACCTCTGCTAGGGTAGTGTGGAAGGGAAATGTGGGGTTGGAGTCCCCACACAGAGTCCCCACTGGGGCACTGCCTAGTGGAGCTGTGGGAAAAGGGCCACTGTCCTCCAGCCCCCGGAATTGTAGATCCACTGACAGCTTGCAATGTGTGCCCAGAATAGCCACAGGCACTCAATGCCAGCCTGCGAAGGAGCTGCCCAAAGCCATGGGAGCCCACCCCTTGTATCAGTGTGCCCTGGGTGTGAGACATGAAGACAAAGGAGATCCTTTTGGTGCTTTAAGATTTAAGGACTGCCCCGCTGGATTTGGGGCTTGCATGGGGCCTGTAGCCCCTTTGCTTTGGCCAATTTCTTCCATTTGGAATTGGTGTACCTACCCAGTGCCTGTACCCCCATTGTATCTTGGAAGGAACGAAATTGTTTTTGATTTTACAGGCTTGTAGCCTCGCCTCAGATGAGACTTTGGACTGTGGACTTTTGAGTTCATGCTGAAATGAGTTAAGACTTTGGGGGACTGTTGGGAAGGCATGATTGGGTTTGAAATGTGAAAAGATATGAGATTTGGGGCAGGGGCAGTGTTGGAATGATATGGTTTGGCTCTGTGTCCCTGCCCGAATCTCATCTCAAATTTTAATCCCCACATGTTGAGGGTGGGACCATGTGTTGAGGGAGAGAGGTGATTGGATCATGGGGACAGTTTTCTCTATGTTGTTGTTGTGATAATGAGTGAATTCTCGTGAGATCTGATGGTTTTATAAGGGGCTCTTCCCCTTACACATGCTCTCTCTTGCCTGCTACCTTGTGAAGAAGGTGCTTGCTTCTCCTTTGCCTTCCACCATGATTGTAAGTTTCCTGAGGCCTCCCTAGCCATGCAGAACTGTGAGTCAATTAAATTTCTTTCCTTTATAAATTACCCAGTCTTGGGTAGTATCTTTATACAGTGTGAGAATAGACTAATACAGATGCTTAATATTATCAGCCCATGGGTCAAGTCCATGACCACTGTCCAGGTCTAAGGTCATGTTTAAGGTTCTGGCCCAATCCAGGCCCAAGGATGAGGTTCAAGGAGCAGAACTAAGATCCAAATTCACATCCAAGGTTTAGTTGTAGATCCAAGTTCCAGCTCTAAGGTTATGTATGTCAAAGGAATTGGATAAATCAAGGTCCAAGGTCCAGGTCCAATGTCTATGTCCAAAGTAAAGTGTGAGTGCCAGCCAAGAATTTTATATCCGACCAAACTAGCTTCATAAACAAAAAAGAAATAAAGTATTTCCCAGACAAGCAATTGCTGAGTGAATTAATCATCACCAGACCAGCCCTACAAGAGATGCTTAAGGGAGTTCTAAACCAGGAAACAAAAGAATGATATGATACTCACTACTGCAAAAGCACACATAAGCACATATCCCATGAATCCTATAAAGCAACTACACAATCAAGACTACAAAGCAACAGGCTAACAACACTATGACAGGAACAAAAGCTCATATATTAATATTAACCTTGAATGTAATGGCCTAAATGTTTTTATATAGCGTTATCTCAAACTGACATCCAGCTGGTGGTACCATGTCAAAAGGAAACCTTTGGCTGGATGAGGTGGCTCTCACCTGTAATTCTAGCACTTTGGGAGGCTGAGGCAGGCAGATCGCTTGAGTCCAAGAGTTTGAGACCACCCTGGGCAACATGGTGAAACCCCGTTTCTACAAAAAAAAAAAAAAAAAAAAATTAGCCAAGCATGGTGGTGTGTGCCTGTAGTCCCAGCTATCTGGGAGACTGAGGTGGAAGAGTTGCTTGAGCCTGGAAGGTTGAGGCTGCAGTGAACAAAGATTGTGCCATTGGACTCCAGCCTAGGTGCTGGGTTACAGAGTAGTTTAAAAAAAAAAGAAAAGGAAAGGAAAGGAAAGAAAGCATTTTTGTGGCTTTGTTGTTTTTTTAGGGGACTCAGGTTGACCAAATCAAAGACTGAGAAGTCATAATGAGGGACGTGGAAGGAGGGCTTGGCTTAACTCAGGTGAAGACACTAGCAGGAAGACACTGGCCACCATGATAGAGGCAGGTGCACCATGCACATTGCAACAGTATCCTTTTCTGGTACTAATTTTCTACATTAAGACTGGCTGGGGGTTATGCTGTGGTAACAAAAATCCCTCAAATATCAGTGATTTAACCCAACAAAAGTCTATGCCAATTGGCATCCCATCTGCCAATATGCAGTGACAGGTGCAATATTGGCAGTAACTGCTACACAGTCACTCAGAAACTGAGGCTAACTGAGGCACCGCCATTTTTTAGTTACTATATCTGGGCCTGGTGGTCAATGGCCAAGAAAAGAGAGACTGGAAAGTTGTGCATGGAACTTTAATTGTCTCAGCCCAGAAACGTTACACGTCACTTCTGTTCATATTTCACAGTACCCATATTTAATCAGTCAGAACTAAGTCATATGACCCCAAAACAATTACAAGGAGGCTGAGAAATGCAGTCTTCTCTGAGTGGGTGTGGTGGCTCACACCTGTAATCCCAGCACTTTGGGAGGCCAAGGTAGGCAGATCACTTGAGGTCCGGAGTTTGAGACCAGCCTCACCAACATGGTGAAACCCCGTGTCTACTAAAAATACAAAAATTAGCCAGACATAGTGGCACACATCTGCAATCCCAGCTACTTGGGAGGCTGAGGCAGGAGAATCACTTAAACCTGGGAGGCGGAGATTGCAGTGAGCTGAGATTGCTTTGCCTCAAAAAAAAAAAAAAAAAAAAAGAAATGCAGTCATGCAGTCTTCTCTAGACATCATCTACCTTGTTGCATTCCAGAGAGTAGCCCTTCAGTCTACCTTCAACACAGGATTTGGTTTTTGTTTATGTTTTACCTTTTTTACATTCCCAATGCCTGGCAAGTGGTTAATAAATATTTAGTGAATGAATGACTAAACAGGTGAAGGTTTTCTAGCTGAATGTAAAGGAAAACAAGAAAAGAAAAAAATACTGGGTCCTAGCATCCACAGCCACAGTGGTGAACTGAGTTGAAGGTGTGTGACCCCCAGGAGGTGGGTGGATGTGCACTGAATACCTACCTCAGGAGGTAGGGTGCATAATCTCTTTCCAGGGAAGGGTCCCAGGGCTCTCCCTGGGTATTGAGACAGCCAAGTGCAAAGGGGTTCCCAGAAAAACTCCAACCAGCCTGTTCACTGGGAGGAGTGTGCACTGGGGTGGAGCCACAGAAGCTCTTGCTATTTGCAGTGGGGAGGAGCCTGGTCCCCCCTCTTCCTGGATGGAACCTGGGATTCAATCTGCCAGGCAGGAAGCACACTAGCAGAACTCTGGCTTTGTGGAAAGTCCCTGTTTCCCTTTCTTTTCCTTTCAAAATCCATTAAAACCCTGCCCTTCTCACCCCTCAAACTGTGAGCAAGCCTAATTTTTCATGGCTGTGTGATAAGGACCCCTTTAGCTGAACTAAGGAAAGAGTCCTACGACAGTATGTCAGGGAGTCAGACTTACAGCTGGGATGTTGCTATCCTGCCTGAGATGCCCTAAATAGAATGGTATTTCAGCCTGCCAGCCTAGGATCCTGTCCAGAAATGGTCCCTGGGTGGAAACAGTCTTCCACGAGTCACTGGGACAGGGCTGCTCATGTGTATTGGGCCCAGATTACTAATTTCACCCATCATCTGGGATCCCTGAGCCATGAAACCAATTTAAAAACTGATTCTGAGAAGACTTGTATGTGAATGTTCTTAGCATCTTTATTTGTGAACCCCTAACTGGAAATAACAAATATTCATAACAGGAAAATGGATAAACAATTTGTGGTATATGTTCATACAATAAGATCCTACTCAGTGATTAAAAAAAAGAAAAAACTACTGATACATATGAAAACATGGACAAATTTCAAAAGCATTATTTAAGTGAAAGAATCCAGGCATTTAAAAAATGCACACACTGTGGTTTCATTTACGTGAAGTGAACAGGCAACCCTGGTTGGCAACTGCTTGGTGGTGGGTGTGGAGATTAGCAAGGAAGTTGCCCAGGGCACTTCCTGGAGGGATGTGAATGCTCCATGTTGCAATTGGCGTGATGGATACATGGATGTGTATATGGGTCAAAACTTTTTGAATTATATGAACCTAAAATGGATTCATCTTATTGATGTAATTGACATGTCTGTAAAAAGTTATGACAAAAGATAATTTAACAAGGCAAAAATAAAATGAATTCTAAGCTGGTGAACCCAGTGGGGCCTGGGCAGATTCTCATTCTGCAAACTGCCTAATGTAGACACTGCTGGCTGTGAACCCACCTGTTTGTTCAGACCCCTCTCAAGGGTTTGACCCAGCACCAACTCCATGCATGACCCTAATGGTCTAAACTTTGTCTCATTCCCCTGCTGGTGATTGGTTCACAGAAAGACATGTGACATAATTTTGGGCCAGAAAGAAATGAGGAGTCTGTTGGGCATTCTTCTTGAGACAATTTGCATACTTCTGTAAGAGGAAATTAAATGAGGTTATTTTTTTGTCTCAGTTCTGTCTGAAGACCCCAAGAGTTCAAATTCTCACTGCCATCTGCCAGCTATGTGTCTCAGCTTCCTCATCTTTAAAATGGGGATGACAATAGCAGCTTTGCCTGACATGGTTGAGAGGATTTCCTCATTTAGTTACCAGTAAGATTTTGAGCGCTTGCTCTATGCCAGGGACAGTTTGAGGGGCTGAAGAATATACTAGTGAACAAAATTGATGACATCTCTACTATAAATGAGACGAGGAAAGTAAAACCCATCACTCAGCATCCAGTTCACGGTAGCTTTTTTTTTTTTTTTTTTTTTTTGAGACGGAGTCTCGCTCTGTCGCCCAGGCTGGAGTGCAGTGGCGGGATCTCGGCTCACTGCAAGCTCCGCCTCCCGGGTTCACGCCATTCTCCTGCCTCAGCCTCCCAAGTAGCTGGGACTACAGGCGCCCGCCACTACGCCCGGCTAATTTTTTGTATTTTTAGTAGAGACGGGGTTTCACCGTTTTAGCCGGGATGGTCTCGATCTCCTGACCTCGTGATCCGCCCGCCTCGGCCTCCCAAAGTGCTGGGATTACAGGCGTAAGCCACCGCGCCCGGCCCACGGTAGCTTTTATTATGACAATTGAAACCAGAGGCCCCAATATTCTGTGAAAGGATAATTTTCAAAGACTGGTTTAAAAAAAAAAAAAACTCTTATACAGATATAAAAATGAACACATCTTAAAGATTTTACTTAGCTAGTTAATGAGAAAACTATAAAAATGGCAACCAGTTAAAAGGAGAACAGATACATTTATAGATACATTTTAGAAATATTGAAATGAATGTTCAAAGGGATGCAAAACTGGCTTTTCCATAGAGGGGAGGGTCATCTCTCCTCTGCACAGAATTTATTTACATGTCTCTGAGCAAGAATGATTTTGCATTGCTATCAGTTATGTATAAGATACAGAGTTGCAAATTATCTTCCATAGAATCAGAATTAGATAACCCAGACCAGTGCGTTCTAAGCAATGCATAGTTTTTCATCAAAGCACACATTTTTCAGTTCTATTGGCTGAGTGGGTTTTCTGTATTATCTCAAAGAACTTCTGTAATTGTAAACCAAAAAGTGCACAACAGTGCTAGTGGGGCTCTGGTGTGATGGAGGCACATGCCAGGAGCTGCACAGCAGGTTATCAGGGCAGGCTTCAAGGAGGAGTTGATGCTGGAGCTGTGTTGAAAGACCTTAAGTATAAACCAGGCAGACATCAGGGAGCAGAGGGGCACACCAGGAGGAGGGAAGGTATGAATAAAGTCTGAATTAGTTACAAGTAATAGAAACTGACATAAGTTTGCTTAAGCAAGAAATGGGGGACTTATTACGTGGTCACAAAGTGTCTCATGGGGCTTAAAGGCAGGGATGAAGGAGTGCCTTGGAATGACCTAGAAGCAGGGAAATGTTGTTCCCCATTTCCCACCTTTTCTCCTCATTGCATGGCCATTTCTTTCTCTTGTCAAAGCACTACATTAGCTAGAGTGGTAAGAATAGACCTTATTCACTGCAATAGGGAAGAGGGTCCAAGTGAAGTGAACTCAGCTTTGACTTGTGCAGAGATGCCTGGGCATTTTTTTTTTTTTTTTTTTTTTTTTTTGAGACGGAGTCTCGCTCTGTTTTCCCAGGCCGGACTGCGGACTGCAGTGGCGCAATCTCGGCTCACTGCAAGCTCCGCTTCCCGGGTTCACGCCATTCTCCTGCCTCAGCCTCCCGAGTAGCTGGGACTACAGGCGCCCGCCACCGCGCCCGGCTAATTTTTTGTATTTTTAGTAGAGACGGGGTTTCACCTTGTTAGCCAGGATGGTCTCGATCTCCTGACCTCATGATCCACCCGCCTCGGCCTCCCAAAGTGCTGGGATTACAGGCGTGAGCCACCGCGCCCGGCCGCCTGGGCATTTTAAAGGGAGAATGAGGGAGTAGAGGGGAAACAAGCAGGGGCTGGAGCAGAGACTGGGTTTGTTAATCTCATGTGTACCTCCTACAGGCCACAGCAGTACAAGTTAGAGCCAGGTGCCCCCTGAGTTGGGAGAGGGAGAGCGCTGAGATTTGCATTTCAAAGAGATGGCTCTCATGTCTTTGGGAAGACAGTTCTGGGTGGTGGAAGATCTACATTTTAAAGGGGAAGAGAAAGGATTCATAACTGTGAGCAGCTTTCTAAAGTAACTGCTCAGAGGAGGTGGGGAGAGGTTCAGGGGCCTGTCTGTTACTAGGTTTTGTCTGGAGCAAACAGTAAGTTCTTCTGGCAGCATTGAGGTTTCTGAGGTGAGTACACTAAGAGGTCTAGGGTCATCCTATGGATGTGGTCTTGAGCTATTAGAAACTATATTAGTGTTTTTGCACATCTTATAGCTTGGAGGTGGATGAAAGTATTTGTGCTGAGAGTGTGCAGTTTTTCAAAGGCCAAAGTTGAGGTCTTGTTGAAAAGAGGGCTCAGAGGAGCCTGTCTAAAGTTTGGTCAGGAAGAGACTCCCAGCCAGGCATGGTGGCTCACGCCTATAATCCCAGCACTTTGGGAGGCTGAGGTGGGAGGATCTCCTTGAGTTCAGGAGTTTGAGACCAGCCTGAGCAACATAGTGAGTCCTCGTCTCTACACAATAAAAAATTTAAAAAGTAGCCAGGCCTGGTGGTGTGCATCTGTGATCCCAGCTACTAAGGAGGCTGAAGCAGGAGTATTGCTTAAGCCCAGGAGGTTGAGGTTGCAGTGAGCTGTGATCACACCAGTGCAGCCCAGCCTGGGGACAGAGCAAGAAATTGTCAAAAAAAAATAAGTAAATAAAAATAAAAAAGAAGAGAGACTTTGTCACTCTCTCCCCACAGGCTGGCTTCCTTTGTTTCTAGTTTATGTGATAGAATATGTCTGCCTTGGGTGAATTCCCTAGAGGTAGAGCCTAACAGGGATTTGGGTCATCTGTTGGGGTAGTGTGTTTAGGAGAAGCCTGTAATGGAGGGAAGAAGGAGGATAGGGAAGGAGCAGAGTTGAGCAAGGACGGTGGCCTGACCCAGGTGGAGGGGCCTTTGGGATGTAAATTTGCTGCAGAGTTGTCCTGCCTTGAGGGCTGCCCTTGTGTACCTCTGAGGCTATTGGCTTGGGGTGGGGTGGGCTCTGTGCAGTAGGAGATTTTCCAGAGCAGGGGCAGCTTTGACATGTTAGCAGCCAATAAGCACCTGGGGGATGGGTGTACCACCCTGAAAAGGTGGTACTGGCCAGGGCACTCACAACATACAGTTTGGGGCTGCCACCAACACCTCCTTTATTTGAGATTCCAGCCAATCTGAGCTTGGAATCTCTTACATCAGTTTCATATTTCGAGGGTGAGAGCACTCTGATCAGCCCACTTGATTTTGAAGCTCACACTGAACCTGTCATCTATGTATGGTCTGGAGGCCAGGTCCACATGTCCACTCATGTGAATGGTAGTGGTAGTAGTAGACATCTTGCCAAGTTGTACAAGGCCCAGAGGCACCATTCCTGTTGTAGTCTAAGGGGTTGTGACCCAGGGATGCCACTCACATAGGATGCCATTCACATGGGATACAATGTGTAAGGTTCTTTGGAGTAGGTACTATAGGGGCCTTAGTAGTGGGGGTGAAGGGCATTTCCCAGAAAATGAGTTTGTAAAAAGTAGTCCAGGTCACAACTATCCACCCAAAGTGCTGAACTGTCCTAGAGTGTGAGGTGGGGCTGGGAGGAATGAGGCTGGACACATCAGCAAGACCCAAAGCACAGAGGGCTTTGTCTGTCTCATTAAGAGTTTTTATCCATTCTTCCACCCAAGTGGGGAAGTTCGTGGAGAAAGGCAAAATTATAAAAGGGGCTTTCGCCTCAGGGCCCCCATCCAAAGCTGACCTTCTGGGTGAGGCCCTGTACTTTGAGCCCTGCTGAACTGTGTCATCCTCATCAAAACTCACCTGTCCCATGTTCCAATTCCTTGACCTTTCTCTTGCACAAGAGCTGGGTAATCTGGTAAATAGCTAACACGTTGATGTTGTAAACCAAAATTAAAATTCTAAGCCCCACAATGGACTGAATGGACCCCTTCTTGGCCAAGGGGATCTCAAAGAAACCTGAAACCCTGATTCAGGTCTTGATGGGAATGTAGGGTTGAACATGCCTCATTATAACCTCCTCCCTTTGGAATTTAGGCACAACTGACCAGAATTAACATTAAAACAGAGATCTTAATAATGGCAAAACAGACTCTTTGTAGCAGTAAGATACAGCATTCCAATGTGACTCTAGTATAGTAACACATGACAGAGAGTAGGCAAAGTATTTTACCCCAAAATATATTTCTTTGATATGTTTTAAAATGGCCCTGCTGAACAGTCTCTTGTGGGGGAAATTTGCATTCTGTAGAGAATCTCTTTCCCTTACCAGGTCTTTTCCAGAGTCTGACACCTTTTAAGGTCTGATAAGAGACATTTGCTATCTATTCTCTCTGAAGCCTGCTACCTGGTAGCATCATCTACATGATAAGAACCTTGGTTTTCACAACCTCCCTTATCTAACCTCAAGAAATCTTCAAATCCACCTATGACCTGGAAGCCCCCTGCTTCAAGATGTCTGGCTTTCTGGGCTGAACCAATGTATACTTTCCATGTTCTGATTTATGCCTTGCCTGTAACTTCTGTCTCCCTAAAATGTAATAAAACCGAAGTGTAACCCAACCACCTTGGGCACAGGTTCTCAGGACCTCCTGAGGTTGTGTCACGGGCCATGGTCCTTAACCTTGGCAAAGTAAACCTCTAAATTGATTGAGACCTGTCTCAGATACTATATGAGTCCATTTTCACACTGCTATTAAAAACTGCCTGAGACGGGGTAATTTATAAATGAAAGAGGTTTAATTGACTCACAGTTCCACATGGCTGGGGAGGCCTCAGGAAACTTGCAATCATGGCAGAAGGCAAAGGAGAAGCAGGCACCTTCTTCACAAGATGGCAGGAGAGAGGGAGAAGGGGGAGGCAGCACACTTTTAAACAATCAGATCTTGTGAGAACTCACTCACTATCACAAGAACAGCATGGAGAAAATCTGTCCCCGTGATCCAATCACCTGGTCCCTCCCCTGACACATGAGGCTTACAATTTGAGATGAGATTTGGGTGGGAATACAGAGCCAAACCATATCATTCTGCCCATGGTCCCTCCCCAGTCTTACCTCCCTCTCACATTTCAAAACCAATCATACCTTCCCAATAGTCACCCAAAGTCTTAACTCATTCCAGCACTAACTCAAACATTCAAGTCCGAAGTCTCATCTGAGACAAAGCAAGTCCCTTCTGCTTATGAGCCTATAAAATAAAAACAAAGTTAGTTACTTCCAAGATACAATGGAGGTACAGGCATTGGGTAAATGTTCCTGTTCCAAATGGAATAAATTGGCCAAAACTTAGGGGCCACAGACCCCATGCAAGTCTAAAACCTGGTAGGGCACTCATTAAATCTCTGTGTGTGTATGTGTGTGTGTGTGTGTGTGTGTGTGTGTGTGTGAGAGAGAGAGAGAGAGAGAGAGAGAGAGAGACAGTCTCACACTGTCAC
This sequence comes from Homo sapiens, assembly GCF_000001405.40. Classification (NCBI taxonomy): domain Eukaryota; kingdom Metazoa; phylum Chordata; class Mammalia; order Primates; family Hominidae; genus Homo; species Homo sapiens. The sequence goes on along the minus strand of NC_000003.12, from coordinate 42,445,224 downwards.
CCAAGCTGGAATGCAGTAACATGATCTCGGCTCATTGCAACCTCTGCCTCCCAGATTCTCATGCCTCAGCCACCCACTCGAGTAGTTGGGATTACAGGTGGGCACCACCACACCGGCTAATTTTTGTATTTTTAGTAGAAACGGTGTCTCCATGTTGGCCAGGCTGGTTTTGAACTCCTGGCCTTAAGTGATCTGCCCACCTCAGCCTCCCAAAGTGCTGGGATTACAGACGTGAGCCACTGCACTGGCCTCATTAAATCTTAACACTCCAAAATAATCTCCTTTGACTCCATGTTCCACATCCAGGACACGCTGAGGCAAGGGGTGGGTTCCCAAGGTTTTGGACAGCTTTGCCTCTGTGGCTCTGCAGGATACAGCCCCTGTGGCTGCTTTTGCGGGCTGGTTTTGAGTGCCTGTGGCTTTTCCAAGGGCATGGTCCAAGCTGTTGGTGGATCTACCATTCTGGGGTCTGGAGGACGGTGGCCCTCTTCTCACAGTTCCACTGGGCAGTGCCCCAGTGAGGGCTTTGTGTGGGGGCTCCAACCCTACTTCCGGTACCAATTTTCTGTATTAGTTTGTTTTCATGCTGCTATAAAGGACTACTGGAGACTGGGTAATTCATAAATAAATGAGGTTTAATTGACTTACAGTTCCTCATGGCTGAGGAGGCCTCAAGATACTTACAATCATGGTAGAAGAAGGAGAAGCAAGCACCTTCTTCACAAGGTGGCAGGAGAGAGAGAGAGAAGGGGGAAGTACCACAGTTTTAAACCATTAGATCTCATGAGAACTCACTATCACGAGAACAGCACAGGGAAAATCTGTTCCCATGATCCAATCGCTTCCCACTAGGTCCCTCCCTTGACATATGGGGATTACGGTTAGAGATGAGATTTGGGTGAGGATACAGAGCCAAACTATATCAGATATTTTTTGATTTACAATGTGTTAGCAACACATACAAACCTTGGCCAACATTGATCTCAAAGTGCCTTTATTTGAAGGAGAGATTGATCCCGCGATCAGATTCAGATTAGAATCCAAGCCCTCTGGGTACAAGGTTTCCAGAGAGCCTTTGGGACCCTGTCGCATTCCACTGATCAGGCTGCCCTGTGGCAGTCCTCTGTTCTGAGCACACCCTTTCCATCTCTGTCCCATTGGCTTCAGTGAGAGCCCCAGCCATGGGCCATGTGGCAGCATCACCAGTAGGTGGCAGTGGCGCCACGTTCCTAAGGCTTTAGGCAATCCGTGTAATAAAAGGAGAGGAGCATGAGGAATGGAGCCCAAGCTTTGGAGCTACCCAGTAAAATGGGAATTACTGCTTTGTCACTTAGTGGTTGTAGGCCTTGGGTAAAGGGCTGGATTTGTGCCTGAGATTCTTCCTCTATACTGATAAATTTGTGTAGTTGTCAGAACTAATTGTGTCATTGTAGCAGCTTTCAAGCTAAGCTTCAATCTTCCAGAATCATAATTTACTGAGGCTTGTTATGTTTAGGTTTAGGCTTGCTGTAAGATCTTTACATCTATTAATTCATTTATTCCTCAGAAAAGCCTGCAAAACATACCCTGTTATCCTCATTTTCTAGGTGGGGAAACTGAGGCACATAGAGGCTCAGCAACTTGTCCAACATCATGCAGATAATGTAAGGCAGAGCTGGGATTTGAACCCAGTAAGTCGGCTTCAGAGCTCTCTTGTATAACTGCTTGGCTATACCACATCTAACACCAGGGGGTGTTTTGGTCGGCTCCCATGTTGCTGTCACTAGCTACAGCCCATGGCAGAGTACGTGTTTTCTGATGAAGAAGGAAGACAGCAAAATCAGAAAAAATACAAAGAGAGATGCTTCTTCATCACACCACCCCAAAGCCTTGTCAACTTTCCAGACTTCGTGACCCATGGACCTAAGATTCTGCTGAAAGAGTCTTCCACAAGACGTTAATATTTTCTGCAGCTGGGAGAAACAGCTCCCACCACTCTTGCAAATTACTTCCACTCCAAATGAGAAGCAGTCCTGCAGCCTGGCTGCTTAGAATATGTGGGGATTTGCGAGGGAGGCATTGCTGGCACTCTTCTGGGGCCATTACTTCCCTTTGGTGCCCATCCTGAGTGTCCAAAATGCATCGCCTAATCCCCCTTCACACATCTTGATGTGTTCCTGCATTCCTGGCAGACTACTGCTGATGCCAATGATGGCAGGAGACTCCTGAGCACTCGCTGTGGTGGGCTCACCATCTCCATGGTACTGGCAATGTCTTTGCCTTGCACTGCCCTCACATCACAAGGCTGCTGCAGCGGGCTCCTGCTCTGGAATCCCTCAGCCCATGCATTGCTGTGGTTGCCCTGCAGGAGACGCTGCCACAGCCTCCCAGGCTGGAGCTCCATGTGCTGACCTAGCCAGGACCAGGCCCTCAAGGCCCAGGTAAGGATATGGTGCCAGCCCTTGGGACTCCTCTGAGAACTCACCATGTGGAGCAACTGGAACACTCATAGACCGCCTGGAGGAGTGTGAAATGCTACAACCACTTCAGAAAATTACTTGACAGTTACGTAAAAAGTTAAGTGTTTACTTGCCTTATAACTTAGGTCGATCTGTCCTATAATTATCCTCCTAGGCATTTAATCAACAGCAGTGAAAAGCAATATCCGCATCCAGTATTGTGCAAAAATATTCGTGAGATTTTATTCATAATAGTTCAAGACTGGAAACACACTAGGTGTCCCTCAACAGATGAATGGACAAATTATGGTGTATTCCTGTAATGGAATACACCTCACAGCAATAAGAAGAAATGAATGACTGATGCACCCCACAGGAATGAATCTCACAGACATAATGCTGAATGAGAGAACCCAGACACAAAAGAGGTTATGCTCTATGATCCCATTTATATGAAGCTCTAGAAAATGCAAACTAACCTATCGTGATAGAAATCAGAACAGTGATTTGCTTCAAAATGGGAGGTAGAGGAATTGGGGGCAGATTCCTGGGAACTTCTCTGTATCTCAGCCTCCAGCCTCCTCAGCCCTTTGCAGATACCTTAAGATGCCGCACACCCTACTTTGTTGGCTCCATCCATGGTGAGCTGGGGGAGAGATTTGGGCAGCGGTAAAATCTACTACAGACCTATAATTCCAGGGACTTTAAAATTCCAGAGGCTGTGTAACAGGGAATGTTATCAATTCTCAACAGTCATTTTCTTCTTTTATTCCTGATTGTAGCTGGGCACACTGCCAATCAGCCAAGTGATTACTTACTCCAGCTTCTCTTGCAGCAAGATGAGACTGTGTCACTAAGAGATGGCATATGTGACTTTCCAGAAGAGGGAAAGAACTGCTCTTTTTCCTCCTTCCTCCCTCTTGCTGCTTGGAACACATATATAATGGCTGAGGCTCCAGCAGCCCTCTTGGACCACAAGTTTGAAAGTCACCTGCAGTGAACGCAGAGGGAATTCCAGAAGGAGCTTTATGGAACTGTTACAACAGTCCTGACCTGCCTGCCTCTGGAATTTTGTTGTTGTTGTTTAACAAAATAAAATAAAATTCTGTGTTTTGGCCACTGTGAATTGGGGTTTTTGGTTACTTGCGGTCACACTCAACCCCAAGTGATACAGATTGCAGAGTACGGAAGTTTAAGGGTACAGATTCAGGAACCAAACTGCTGGGCTCACACTCCAGTTTTGCCACCTGCCAACTAGGTGAGTCTGGGATACTCACATGACTTCTTTGCTTCTGTTCCCTCATGAGGAAAATGGAGATAAAAATGCCTACCTCATAGGACTGTTGCAAGGATTAGAAGAGCTGACAGAAGAGAATATAATGCACTTAGAAAATAGTAAGCATCAAGTTCTGTGAACAGTTCCTGGGATAGCAAGTGCTCAGTAAGTATGGACTTTTATTGTTTTTGTGTGGAGGCACATGGTGTGTGTGCATGCATGTGCAATCTTGTCTGCATGACCCTATCAATCCCTACTGGTGTTGTCTGATGAAACTGTCACCCCTCTGACGCCCATGGAATGCTCCCTGCAGGTGGCAACTGCGTCCTCCTCATTTCGACTTCTAAGCCCTCACCCAGAAGTGGAGTCTCATGCTTCCTCGGAGGCAGAGCTTTTCCTTCTCCTGTTGCAGGCTCCGCCAGGCACCCCATGGTTTCTCTCCCCAGCATCGCTTCTTTGTCTTTGTCTTCCTCACCTGCTGGGGTGAGGAGGCTCTTTAGGTTTCCCCTAGAAAGGAGGTGCAAATCGGGATGCCAGATTTAGCAAATAAAAATACATATCACCCGGTTAAATTTGAATTTCAGGTAAACGATAAGTAGTTTTTTATTGTAAGTATGTCCCAAATATTGCTTTTTTTTTTTTTTTTTTGAGACGGAGTTTTGCTCTGTCACCCAGGCTGGAGTGCAGTGGCAAAATCTTGGCAAACTGAAACCTCCACCTCCCAGGTTCAAGCGATCCTCCTGCCTCAGCTTCCCAAGTAGCTGGGATTACAAGCATGCACCACAATGCCCAGCTAATTTTTGTATTTTCAGTAGAGGGGGCGTTTCACCATGTTGGCCAGGCTGGTCTCAAGCTCCTGACCTCAAGTGATCCATCTGCCTCAGCCTCCCAAACTGCTGGGAATACATGCGTGAGCCACCCTGCCCAGCCCCAAACATTGCATTTTATCTGGCAGCTCTAGGCATGGTCCCTAGGATCCCCCACCCCACTCTGCACCCATCTGAGGTCTCTGCTGTATTCTTCATCCCCTATTGGTGACAGGTGGGTGGGTTGGGGAGCAGGGCCATTTTCAGGGAAGCTCCTATTTTCTTTCTCTCTTGCTGCCCCTTATCATTCTCTCCCCACCTCTGCCCTGAGAAACTTCCTCTCTTCTGAAGCAGGCAAAACTAGCCCTGATCTATATCTCAGGCCTTGGAAGTTTCTAGGTTACCTGTAAATTTCCTTTGGGTTCTTACAACTCAAAGTTGACTTTCCAAATTCAAAAGCCAAGCCAAGATTTTGACTCCCTTCTTCTCCCATCCCTGCTGTATCAACCCTTCCCTGCTGGAAGTCTTTGCTGTTGGGGCTGAGGAAGAACTGGGATGCATGAGGAAATGCAGCAAACATTTCCAAGTATCTTCCAGCAACACACAGAGGGACTTGTTGAAATCTCCCCACAGTTCCATTCTTATTCCTGTCCCAACTCTTTGTTTCCATGGCCACTAGGGTGTTTTCTGTCACCATTATCAGTCTGTTAAAGGACAAGTGCACCTGGTTTATTCACATCTTTCTCCCCTATTATCTGTCAGAAAATACAACAATCAGCTCTTTATGTTGCTTCCCAGAGGGCACTGCCATTGTGTCTGCTCTGTCAGCCAATGCCAAATGCATCACAGCAGAGAATCCCAGCCCATCCATCTGCCGTGTGATCAGGACTGAGATGAGAAGGGAGAGGAGGCTTCAGGGACTGTTGGAAATTGAGAAGTGCTTTCTTCCAGCCAAGCACAACTTCTGGCAGATGTTGCTGCAATGTCCCTGCATCTCTTCCTAATGGAGCATCTGCCCAGTAAGCTTAGAACATGTCTCTGCAGACGTGTTCAGGAGACTGAGGAGACCTGGGCATGACGTTACCTACACGGCACAGTGAACCAGCGAGACAGAGGGACACGGGCAGCTAATTCTGGCGAGTGTTCCTCCTCAGCCATCAGGCTAAAAATGTACCCATTTGTGTAAGACATAGGCCTTAGTCACTGAAGAAAGTGAATGTGTGATGAAGAGAAGCGTCCTACACTTGGCAAACTTGCTGAGAATTCACACTTTCTGAATCAAAGTCACTGACATTTTTGGAAGATCCAAATTTAATCAAGGCATTTTCAAAAGATTCAAACTGAATCAGAAAGACATGAGGCCCCATTAGTGACACGAATCTCGATGACTAGTTGGAATTGCATTTGCTAGGAAGCATAATTTTCACTGAAGGTGACAGAAAATTCAATTTCGTAGGATTTGGGAGGGGGGCCTGTTTGAAGTTACATCATTAGGATCAATTAGAAAAGAACAGTTACGCCTGAGATACCGTGTATGTTCCAATGTGGAGCATGCAATTTCTTGGGAATAGGGTGGGCAGAGGTTTTGAAAGGCATTGTTTAAGCCTTGAGGATTGTAGATTCAAACAAAACCTTATTTAAAAGCCAAATATGCACAATACGAAAGTGAGCTGCTTTGAGGAGCAGGCCTGGAGGTGGCTCTCTGTCCCCATCTGGTATTTGCCATATCTGCCTGTTTGTTAATTATTCCTCCCCCTGCTAGAGTGTCAGTTTCATACCAGCAAGACTTTGACTTGTTCACTGATGTATCCCCAGCACTTTGAGCAGTGTCAGACACAGGGTGGGCCTTGTATTTATTGAATGAATGGGCGAATGGAAAGCCTTCTGGGGTGTGTAAGACACATCCACTATTATTAGCATTACTATTAGCATCTAAGGCCAAATGTCTTTCCTATGCTCTAATAAACTTATTAAGCAGTTTGCACACATGATCTTATTCAACAACCCTGCACAGTAGGTATGTAGATCCCTAGTTTATAGATAAGGACACAGAGCCTTAGAGAGGTTCTATGCCCCAAACCTCAGGACCAGTAAGTGACGAAGCTGGTATTCAACACAGGCTTGCATGGCTCAAAGACTGGGAAGTACCTTGCTTCTCTCTCTCTCAATTAAATTAGTATGTAATTTATATACCATACAATTCAGTGGTTTTTAGGATAGTCATAGAGTTGTGCAACCATCATGACAATTAATTTTAGAACATTTTCTTCATCCTCCACTGACCTCCTTACCATTATCAGTCACTCCTCATCACCCCAGCAAGTTCCCCAATCCCTAGGTGCTCACTAAACTAATCTACTTTCTGTCTCTATAGATTTGCCTACTCTGGACTTTTTTTTTTTTTGAGACAGAGTTTTGCCCTTGTTGCCCAGGCTGGAGTATAGTGGCGCGATCTTGGCTCACTGCAAGCTCCACCTCCTGGGTTCAGGTGATTCCCCTGCCTCAGCCTCCCAAGTAGCTGGGATTACAGGCTCCCACCACACCCAGCTAATTTTTGTATTTTTAGTAGAGATGGGGTTTCACATGTTGGCCAGCCTGGTCTTGAATTCCTGACCTGAAGTGATCCACCTGTCTCAGCCTCCCAAAGTGCTGGGATTACAGGCATGAGCCGCTGCACCTGGCCTTTTTTTTTTTTTTTTTTTTTTTTTTTGAGACAGGGTTTTGCTCTGTCATCCAGGCTGGAGTACAGTGGCACCTTCTCTGCTTACTGCAACCTCTGCTTCCTCAGCTCAAGCGATCCTTTCATCTCAGCCCCCTGAGTAGCTGGGACTACAGCTGTCTTCCCCCACACCTGGCTGATTTTTGCATTTTTTCGTAGTGATGAGGTTTTGCCATGTTGCCCAGGCTGGTCTTGAACTCCTGGGCTTAAGTGATCTGCCCGCTTTGGCCTCCCAAAGCACTGGGAATAGAGTGGGCAGAGGTTTGAAACACAGTATTTAAGCAAGTGACGGTGACAGTGAGCCACCTCTCCTGGCCTATTCTGGACATTTTATATAAATGGAAACATACATACAGACTTTCATGACTAGCTTCTTTCTCTTAGCATGTTTTCAAGGTTCATCTGTGTAGCATGTATCAGTGCTTTGTTCCTTTGTATTGCTGAATAACATTCCATTGTACAGAATGTTTTTGGTCCCAGATGGTCCCTTTAAGTTTTTCTCAGGTGAGAAAATTTCCCCAGCCCCTGAACAGAAACATGAATGATTTGTTTCCCATGCAGTCTTATGTCATATGGTCATTTTGGATTAGTAATGAGAATGCATCCAATTGAGTGTATTAATCAACACTTCGGTCTTGTTTTAAAGGGTAGGTTTATTATTATTTAGGTATGGTGAAGCCAACAGATCACATGACTGTCACTGAAAAGATAGTTTGTTACTCACAGTTCCCAAGAGGAGGGAGCATTTCCACTGTCACTCAGGGCCACACAGGGAAGCACCAAGGTGAGTCAGGAGGCAGAGCAAGCAGAGGGGAATGTGGGCAAGAGGCTTTATTGTAGTTGATGCTGGAAGGAATGGATGAAGCCAGGTAAGTAGGTTTAGGGTGGGTTGGCTGAATTGAGTAATTTCAGGGGGTTCTGGGGGATAGGGGTTATCTCTAGTTGCCTAGTACCTGGCCCTTAGGTCATCAGTGGCCCACAGTGTAAAAGCCTAATAAAGGAGGTGGCTAGGGAAATGGGCCATGGATGAGTTGGTTTGCATGTGAAAGGCACACTCAAAGATGAGTGGAATCTTTTTTTTTTTTTTTTTTTTTGAGATGGAGTCTTTCTCTTGCTCTGTCGCCCAGGCTGGAGTCTGGAGTGAGTGGCACGATCTCGGCTCACTGCAACCTCTGCCTCCCAAGCTCAAGCTATTCTCGTGCCTCAGCTTCCCGAGTAGCTGGGATTACAGGTGTGCAACACCACACCTGGTTAATTTTTGTATTTTTAGTAGAAATGGGATTTTGCCATGTTGGCCAGGCCTCAAGTGATCCACCCATCTCGGCTTCCTAAAGTGCTGGGATTACAGGTGTCAGGTGTGAGCCACCCAACTTGGCCTTTTTTTTTTTTTTTTTTAACTATCTCTGGGAATTGGCTATCCTTGAGAGGGACAGTCTCTTCAAGGTCAGCAAGACCCCAAGAAGTCAAAGCACCAAAAATACAGACTAAAAAGACATGATTACTCTATCACTCGAAGGTAAGACTGCTCTCCACGCTAAGGCCTATAGTTGGCAGCCATCTTCCTCAAGGAAGGAGGGGTGACTTCTGCTTCTTCCATACCCACCTCTCCCCCACTTGCAAGCTGTTGCTGGAGACCCCCACCAGGGTTAGGTGGATGAAGGCAGGATAGTAGGTGCAGACCTGCATAGTAGTGTGTAGTACCTGCAGTAGTATGGTACTGTCAGTGTGCCCCACAATCCTGGGATGGCTCTATTGGCCCACTTTTTATGACCCTTACTCTCCTAGCTGTCTCCGTGAGCAGAACTCAATGTGGCCCACATCTGGTCCGCAAGAGACACAAACATGCCCCTAATATCCCGGGTAAGAGTGAAACTCTAGGCCATGGTGCCTGAAGAAGCTCTCTGCGTGTTCCCATTGAGGCCCACTCTTTCCAGGCCGGAAGCAGTGGAGGTACACCCCATCCAAGCTCTTGAGGCTTCAGCACAGCTTCCTCCAAAGGATTTTCTCTCAAGTCCTACCTCATTCCCCACTCCAATCTAATTCTACATCTGGATCCAGCTGAGGGTTGCTACTTCCTTAGTAGGTCTGTGTATGGAGAAGCTGTGAGTCAAACCCACTTGGCTGCCTAAGAGTTATCATGGTGAAGCATCCTCTGAAACCGAGGCCTGAGGAGGTCTGTTTTAACAACCTACTAAATAGGCATCACAATCATGCAACTGCTCAGGGTTTCCTCTTTTCCTACTGCCTGGATATTAGGAGCTTCATGATTCACAGAGCTGAGGTCCACTTTTCAGAGTAGAATAGATTCACAAGCTAGCAAGATAACATTTTCCATGAATTTGTGGGAAGATGTTAATTTCCAGGTTAACACCTTTGCCCATCCAGAGCTACCTGGAGGGGGTCCTAGCTTCTCAGATGGTGATTGCCCTCACTGACTTCCTTCTCCTTCAAGTTATTTACTAAAAATACTTTATACATTTAAGGAAAGCCCCAGGGGCTGGAGGCAGTGGCGTGGTGGAGGGCAGGTAGTTTGGAGAGGTCTCTGGGATCATGAATCCTGGGTGAACTGAATTTATTTAACCTGGGATTTTATCTGTGTATCCCCAAGAATCACTAATACCCATCTGATTTCAGCCTAGATTGGAAGCCTGGGCTTAATTTCACAAAAGCAGGTCTTCGCGTGCCTTTCCAGCATACGGAGCAGTTGAAGGGAGGAAAACTAAGTGGGGATTTAGCATAAAAGCTTCAAAGATTTGCAGTCCCTGATATGATATTCTTCCAAATAATCAGTCCTCCACTTTTTCAAAGATTTTATGACTTTTCTTATCCAAAACAGTAAAACAAATGCAAGCTTTGATGTTTCTGAAAACCAGCTCCAGGCAGAACCTTGAACGTGTCTCAAGTTGTGATCACAGAAGCAATGAGCTCCTGCTGGGGCTGAGGTTCTGAAGGGCATTTCATGATAAATTTATCAAAGCCACAGGAGCCAAATCTTTATAAATAATTCTAGCATCCTTCATTACTCATTATTTGCCATCAGCCCACTGGGGGCAATTAGTTTTCATAGAAAGGAGAGGCTTCCCATTTACAGAGTTGCAATCGCAGCAGTTTTATTTTTATGAACCTTTCATTTCCTCAATCTCCAGATTAATTTTTGCAATGTTGGATTTTTTTTTATTTATGAAAGTCCTGTAAAACAGCAGTGTTGCAACTGAATCTAAGGATTTATCCATTCATTTTGGGGTCCTCTCCTAATGAAATGAGCCCCCACTCTTTGCTGGGTGGTGTGTTAGGAAGAGGATGTGAAATCCATGCAGACATGTCTGGAGAAATTCACATGAGTTGGAGAAATTCACAGAGGTGAAAACAGTTAGAGTTCAATGGGAGAATGCCATCACAGAGGCTATGAAAAGCAGATAAAGAGTAAAAGGAAAGACAGCTGGGTTTTGGAGGATGTATAGAAGTTAGACAAATGGAGGAGGAAGACAGGTTCTTTCAGGAAGATGGAACAGGGTGTATGATTACATGAAGGTCTGAATCAGCATGGAGGTCTGAGAGCAAAGAGAATCTTTCCCACTACTGTTGGATCCTGAGAAGGCAGCAAGATCTGAGAGAGAGGAGGGTTGTACAGTGTGTCTAGGCAGAACAGGCTCATTCCCTGCTGTTTTGAGAGTAGAAATATACAATCCCTGGTGTGTCTGCCATTTAGAAAATACAAACAGCTTAAAATTCATTTTTGCAAA